>NC_000003.12:159463149-159766180 GCF_000001405.40 Homo sapiens
AGCATATATATACACATTGCATTTATTATATAGACATGGGGAAAAGTCTATAGAATATTGTCAATTCAAACAGTAGGTTTTGTAATTTTTTTGTAAATATGTTTTAAAAGTGCATGTATTTGCAGAGCTTTTGGGAAAGATATCATCAAATTATAATAGAGGCAAATTTTAGGTAGTAGAATTTAGTTGATATTTACTTTGTTTTTAGTATTTTCTATTTAATTTGAATTTATTTAAACACAGCCACAATGATAGATGTTACCATTTATTGTGGGCTACTTGCCAAGTACTCTGTTTGATGTTTTACCTATGGTAATTCATTTAGTTCTGAGGGTCAGGGAAGTGAAGAAGTGTTCCCAGGGTCATACCACTAGTGAGAGGCAGAGATGGGATTCAAACCTGTTTTTCTGATTCCAAAGCACCTCTTAGGCATTATGTTACATAATACTGAAGTATCATTTTTCCAAAAATACAAGCTAATAAAATATGTTCTGTCAGTCTTACACAGCTGCACTTAATTGCTCTTCTCCCCAAAACCTTCCCTTGTCCCCATATCCCCAAGTATGACAACCATGGAAGAGAACAGAATGAGATATATATATATATATAAGATAGACACACATAGCACAAATAAAGGTTCTTAAAATATAAACAGAATTATTTTACATATTACATTATTCTGTGAATTGGTTTACATTTAAAATGTACATCCTATACGTCTTTCCTTTTCTGTACATATTGATCATGCTCAATGTATTTGACAGTTTCATAATAATCTATTGTATGGATGTGCTATCATCATTTAACCAGTCCCCCATGGATGATCATTTATGTCATTTGTATATTTTGCTATTATAAACAATACCAGAATGAACATCTTTGTCTAACTCTATGTCTGTTCACATGTGAGACTGTCTTTTGCAAGATAGATTTCCAGAAATAGAATTACTAGGTCAAAAAAACATAGGCCTTTTCCTGTATCAGAATTTCTGAAAATTTTAGCAGCAGTGAGAGAATATGATTCAGGAACCAGCTGCTTATATTCTTTTGTGGCCTCGTTTCCTACTCACAGCCTCACCAGCACTGGCAACTGTCTGCACATTTGTATCCAACATCTCCAAATTGATTTGTAGAAAAAGGTAACTGGGGTATGAATTGTGTGAGTTCTGGTGAGCTCTTGGCCAACAAGTTGCTATGCACCCTTGCACAATAAATGATGCCACAGGTGACATTTCTTTTTCTGTAAAATCAGACTTTTCTAGATCTGGCACTAAATGTTTCTTAACTCTAAAGATAAGGATTACATTTTGGTCCTCTGACTTCTTAGATTTTGAAAAATGTATACATACTGTAAAGGGTTATCTTGCCTCATTGAAGGTTCAAATGGTATGGTGATAAGACCATATTAAAAGCATTTATAAAAGGTTCATGGTAAAGAGTTCATTATGGTTCATTAAATCCCTTCATGCTTTTATCCACTTTAGTTACTGTATTTCCTGTAAATGGGATTTATGCCAGGGCCACGTTAACACCATTTCACATTCTGCTGTGCTATTACCCACGGAGCTTGAATCAATTGAATGAAAGAGGTCTTTTCAAGTGTATTGATTTTCATTTATCCAAACTCATCTGTTTGCTTTGCCGCATGCTCATACATGAGAACAGGGCACAGCTAATCTTCTCTATGGTGTTGCTTTTTCCTCTAAGCATTTAATACTAGAATAGACATATGACAGATATTGGTATAAAAATTGCAGAATATTCACTAGAACTACAGTTTTTTATGGGTGATATAAGGGTCTGGATCTCGTTCTCATGTCAGAAAGAATGTAGCCTAAAGCAAGACATTATAGCCTTCCTTCCTGCATGAAAGCAGTCACCTCCTACTCTTCCAGCCCCCAGAGAGCTCAGTTCAGGGATGCTGTCCTCCTCTCCACAAGTAAAGGAGTGTTGCCTATACAGTAGTTCTTCTAAGAAGTGCAAATTTTTGCTCACTGTCAGGGAGCTAAGTTTTCTACTGCTGCTTTCTACAGAAATACTCCTTATTTTTTTGGCCAGGTATCAAACTGAAAATCTGAACAAAAGGAAGTATCCAATAGGGAAAATAATACTTTTAATGTGCATTGTAATGCTCTTGTTCTACATTCCTAGCTTAATGTGTATGATTGTGTGTGTGTGTGTGTGTGTGTGTTTGTGTGCGTGTGTGTGTGTGTGGAAATTAGAGAGAAAGAGAGAGAAAGAGAGACCATTTATTTTAATCTACAGTTAGAATTTTGAGATGAAAGCGTTTTAACAATTTTTATTGAATTGTTGTGTTAGTCACTGGATAATATGTGGCTATGTGGTGGAGGATTAAATGATATGTTCTAGGCTTCTAGTAAATAGATCTTGACTTCTGCTCAGGTAAATACTGAAATATATTTACCTGGGGGATAAATACTGACTAAGGCAAAGCAAAGGTCAGTATTTCCTTTGAGTTGCAATAAATATTTCTATACACTTAAACATTGATTTTATGTTATAGCTAATGATCAAACATTATCCAAAGCCACAGCAGAAAATATTACTATCAAGCTAATTCTAAGGCATCTTTCTTTTATGCATAATGCTACAAAGGATAATCACTTTTGGCTTAATTAAGATCTTGGCCTAAATGTTGGCTCAGCCTGAGTCCTTATTGTGAAATAGAAGATGAATAGATTCATTTATGAAAAGCTCAAAGTACATAAATATAACAAACATTAAGCATTATTGACTTAAATAAAATGAACAATTAACAAAAGTTTGAATACGATCCTACTGAGTGAATGAGCTAATTATTTTTCCTCCTACACATTTATGTCATGGGCTATGTTACACAATTTTTGAGAAATAATTCATAGAAAGGATTTTTTTGAAAAAAAATTTCTTTCAAAGGAGAACTATATCATAGTAACTATAAAACATTTGAGTATCATTTAGCTAGGGGGTAAGAAGTATAGAAATGTATCTTCAAGAAGATTACAATTTAATTGGGGAGAAGAGCAGATACATGCAAATACAGAATTGTGTAGTTGTTAAAAACATGAGACTTTGTAGTCCCAGCTACCTGGGACTACAGGGGAGGTGGGAAGATCATGATTGTGCTACTGCACTGCAGACTGGGTGACAGAGACAGACCCTGTCTCAAGAAAGAAAGAAAAAAAAGAACATGAGATTTGGAATTTTAATGAGTATGAATTCTAGCTCTGGCACTATGACTTCTGACAATGTTTTCTGAGCCTTGGTTTCCGAATGTGTACAAAGGGGATAATAGAATTGATTTCATAGGGTAACAGTAAGAACTAAAGGTCTGGAAAGCCCTGAAAAGGTACCTATCAAAAGGAGAACACTCCATAAGTGGTAGCTGTTTTGATGATGTATTGCTACCGTGACAGATGAAAATTCTTTTATGGAGGTAACTCAAGGAAGTACATATGACTGCATTTGGAATGAAGCACTATTTTTAGCTTAATTCCAGAGAAAAGAGCTCTTACAATTGTATTTCATGGTTTGTCAACACTTCAAAAAAATGGTGTGGGATTTGAACTAGAGGCTGACTGAGGAATAGGGTTTTATTAGTTGTAAAAGAGGAGTGATGAGCATTACAACTGCCAATAAAAGAGCAGTCATCTGTTCAGCCTGGGCCTGAGCGCATCCTCCTTCTAAATATTCTCTCCTAGGTTAATACCAACATTAGCTCCAAGTTTTAAAAGTATCTTTTCAACTATTTCTTCTGGGTCTCCTTTGTTTCTTCCTGTTTTGTTTTAGTCCCCCCAAATGAAAAACCACTTTCAATAATAAATAAACAACATTAAAAATAAAATAAGAAAAATGAACATAACAAAAAATATCACTTTCCTGTTAATATAAAACCTCCTGTTAATACTTTGCTGAAGGTCCTTAAAAGCCGTTCTGTACCTCTATCTCTGTGTGTGTCTCTCTCTGCACATACACACACACACTTGTCTAATCTCATTTCTTCCCTCAAAAATATGCAATATGCCATAAATATCTTTTCACACCAAAGAAAAACTTCATTATATTTAAATGAGTATATCACATTTGATTGCATATACATATAACAATTTAATAAACTCTTTAGTGGGCGTTTTAGTTGTTTCCAGTTTTTTTCTATTAGGAAAAAAGTGCTATAGTGCTACAGTGAGCATCCTTGTACATTCATTTTGGCCCACTTACATGATTATGGTTATCCCCTTAAGAAAAATAACTAGAAATAGAATAGAGGAACCAAAAGCACATTTACAATTTTGGTATTTAGAACCAGAAATGAGAAGTAAAATCACCACATTTTAATCTTAGAAGACTTAAAAAAAAAAATAAAAAGAACTGGCCAGTCTTAACTTTCATGAATAAATAAAACAGCCAGTCTTTTAAAATTAATGTTTGAAACCAAAGCATGAAAAATAGGAGTACATAATTAGAAATAGTTATTTTGTGTAATTCTATATAAAGCAATGTCTTAACAATAGAAAAAAAGAGAGAAAAAATGATCAAATTGAGGTGTTTTTATTGTATAAAGTCTTGCCAATTAAACTAACCAAACCTTTTAATTTAAATGTCTAACTACACAATTAAATTAATTGATTTTCCAGCACAATTGTCTGACATTTTGATGAGTTATTATGGAATGTTGAACTAAATTGAGTGATTGTAAATATCTTGTAGAGAGGACCTGTGAACTAGTACTAATTTAATCCCTTCTATGCAATTCTCCTTTCCTCTCATTTCTTCTTAGAATATATAGAGTAATTTACTTTCATTTAATCATGGGTTGTCTTGTTTTCACATTTGCATATAAAGCCTCCAGTCAATGTGACCTGATTGATTGTTCCAAGTGCGGCTTCTTGATTTCTTGACCTGTTAGTGCTAGTTAATTTTGGAAAATTTGGTTTATTTGTCAAAGTCTATATTATTTTCTTGATGTAATTCTCAGATTTATCATAGTAGGCTGGATTTAATGATTCTGTCCTGTTGAATATGTGTCTGTGTATAACAGACTAATTTTTGAACCTTGTAATTTCCTTAAATCATTGTAAAATTTTAGAACTAGAAAAATTATGGTTCATTATTTCCCAAAGTTTAGCCCTCAAGGTATATATGTCCCCAGATAATAATGTCGTATGTGTTATCCAAAAATAAATATATAAGTGAGCAGACATAAGTAAATTTGGGAAATAGATAAACAGCAGGTTTTTCTACTGAAGGACTTTCACAAACCTGTATGTGCCAAAATCCTATATGACATGCAACCATTCACAGAGTGATTTGACCTCACAATTAATTTTTATAAAGTACTCATTAAAACGGTATTATTTGTGTCACTAGTTAGATAAGCACATATTTAATCCAATCTCCTCATTTTACATATGAGTGAACATTCAGAAAGATTAAACAATGTCAATATTCTAAAGAAAAATAAACTATTTTAAAATAAAATAATAAAATAAAATTATTCTAAATTGGCTTCATGGTATGTTATTGCATGTTGAATATGAACTGCCAATCAATAGGGAAATCACGAGTGTTTTATATATATATATAATATAATATATAATATATAATATAATATATATATATATATATATATTTTTTTTAGATGGAGTCTCACTCTGTTGCCCTGGCTGGAGCACAGTAGTGTGATCTCAGCTCACTGCAAGCTCTGCCTCCCAGGTTCATGCCATTCTCCTGCCTCAGCCTCCCAAGTAGCTGGGACTACAGGAGCCCACCACCACACCAGGCTAATTTTTTGTATATTTAGTAAAGACGGGGTTTCACCGTGTTAGCCCGGATGGTCTCGCTCTCCTGACCTCGTGATCTGCTTGCCTTGGCCTCCCAAAGTGCTGGGATTACAGGCATCAGCCACTGTGCCTGGCCAATCACAAGTATTTTTATTAAGGAAACAGAATTATCAACAACTGTGGTCTACTCATTCACACACAAGACCAATTTTAGGACTTTGCAACCCCTGGGAGCTAACATTATTGGAAAGACATTTAATATTAAGCCAAAATGTGAAAATATAAAGTATTACCTACATAAAACACAAATAAGAAGGTGAAAGAGGTGAATTTTAAATCCCATGTGTTTTTAAGTAATGATGGAGTATGGCATAATAGAAAAAGTAACCTGGATTGGAATTCTAGTGCTGACACCGCCAAGCTAAAACTAGGGCTTCATCCTAATTTAAGCATAATTATTAGCTGAATTCAGAGTGAAATTGGGAAATTTCTTAAATATTCTCTGAGCTTCCATTTCATAGGAGTACAATAATACTCTCCTGAGAAGGTAGCTGTGAGAATATAATGAGATAGTTAATATCAAAAAATGGATAGTACTCATTCAACAAGTATTCATTTATTTCCTTTCTTGGGGACAGAAATGTGCAGGAGCAGGCGGGCCTTGGTGGAAGACCACCATGAGCACTGGGGAACAGGGATATTGGGGAGAACGGCATCTTTAAAAAGCTAGAACTTTTATCAAACAATTTTCTCTCCCTCAGACCAATCCTGAAAAAAACTTCTACATGAGTCCCTGATGAGTTATTTCATTTATTCAAAGAACTAGTGATTGTTACTTTTATCATAAACAGTTCCAGAACAAATCACATGAAAAAGCTACCCAGTACAAACTATGAAGCAAATATAACTAGATAACCCAAAGATGTATCACAAAAAGTCAATTCCCCTTGTTAATATAAATGTTAAAATGTTAAATACTAGCCATGAGAATTCAACAATGTTCATTAAATAATAATGAACATAACCAAGTATGTTTCATTCTAGTAATGCAAAGATAGTTCAATGCAATGAAACATTTATATATAATACTTCACCAGCTTGTTAGACATGAAAACCCACATGATTATCAATAGATGTAAAAAATGATTTTGATAAAATTTAACACCAGTCTTCCTAAAAACACTAAAAATAATAAAAAGATGCTTAACTTAAATGGTGTTATTACAAACTACCAGATAATATTATATTTCATCATGAACTACTGGTATCATTTTTACTAAAATCAGAAACAAAACAAAAATGATATGGTCATCATTATTGCATTGAACATAATTTCCAAAGTAATATTAAATCAAAGACATGAAACATAAATAGTTTTATACATGGAGAAGAAGAGAGACGTGGCATGACTGTATACACAGACAGTCAAAGGTATAAGAAAAAAACCATCTGGCATAACAAATGATTCAGACAAATAGCTGAATGCAAGATGAATACACAAAAATCTGCTATTTCTGTATTCTATACTGTTTTAGAATATCATTTAAAAAGATTTTGTTCACATTAACAACAGAGCTATAATGGGCCCAGTAATAATCTCACATTGAAAATATATGTCCTATTTGAAGAAAACTGTACAGGCACACACACATATACACACATGATAAAATAAAAGAACCATGAATGATTTATTTTCCAGGTTAAGAAGACTAAAATACCAAACCATGTCCTTTCCTTTCCTCTCAAATCTGTCTGTCTGTCTACACAGAACACAGGGCACAAATGTCTGTAGCAACATTATTTCATCAACTGTCGAACCAAAACACAAACATTGGTACATCCACAAACTGCGACTACTACTCATCAATAAAAAGGAATGAAGTATTGATATATATATATATAATGACATGGATGAATTTCAATTCATATCTTCAATACTAAGATGAAGAAACCAGACTCAAAAGACTATCTCATGTATGATTCCATTTATATGACATGCTGGAAAAGGCAAAGGTAGAGGGGGAGAAAATCAAACCAGTGGTTGCCTGAGTTGGAGGAGAGGGGAAAAAATTGCTACAAAAGAGCATAAGAGAATATTTTGGGGATGGTGGTGGTTATATGATTCTGTAAGTTTGTCCTAATTTATAGAAGGGTAAATTTTACTGTGTGTGTATTATATCTAAATGAACAATAAAACAACACACACACACCCCTAAAAATAAAAAGTGAACCATTAAAAGTCCATCCTGGAAAGGAGTTGTTTGCCTTTAGTCCTACAAGAGATTTAAATGTATTTCAAAGCAAAAGAAATAAAGCAGTGGCTTATTTACAAGAGGATAAACAGATCACTGGAAGAGAAGATGTGAGCACAAAATCAACCTCATTCTACATGATAATTGAATATGCAGTAAAAAGCGGCCTAACCAAAATGAGGAAGAGAAAGATTCTTCAGTAAATTGTCATAGAATACTAACTAATGAACAGCTTTTCCATTTAGATTTATAACTCACACCATAAAATAAAATAAATTACATATCAACTTTAGATAATCAGTATCAAATCTTTAAAATTAAATCATTTGCCAGGACTCTAATAAATTTAGAAATATTATAAATAAATGACAAAAATAAATCCAACCATCTAAAATATACATTACCATACAAATAAAATCCACAGAGAAATAAAAACAATGAGAAGATGATATTCCCAGTAAAAACTGCAAAAAGAGCTATGTTTATTATTGTACAATGCAATGTAATTAACAAGAAAACATTAAAACTCTGTAATATACTAATTGGGCAAAGGACTTAATCTCACCAGCCATAAAGAAGTAAACGTAACTAGTGGAACATAAAGAAGTAAATGTAACTAGTGGAAATCAACTTATGGAACCATTTTAATATGGTAAATATTAAGATGCATGTTATTTTTAATCACAGCATGCTATCCTGTTATGTGTACTGTGACACTGATGAGCTCTTCTCTTGTTGCTGATAGTAAAAAATTGAACATTTAGAAAGACATATATGCAGTATAAAAGTATTCCCTTCTCTGGTCATTTTTTTACCTTTATTATTTCAAATAAAGAAAGACAATATTTACATGAAGATATTCATTGAAACCTTATAGCAGTGGGAAAGTGAAATCAACTTGAATGTTAACTCTTGTACTGGATAGAATAGTATGCAGTCATTACTATTTTAATTATACAAACTATAAAACAGCATGGGAAGAAATTGTTATGATCTTAAATGAAACAAGCATAATACAAAATTGTATGCATATTATCTATTCAACTGTGTTTTTAAAGAGTTGTGTGTAGAGAAAAAGACAGAAGATACTATTTAAGGACAACAGTAAATGCTCATACAGCTCACACTGTGCCGCGGGCTGTCCTAAGACCCTGTTGTGTGATAGCTCATTAAATATCGAATACTCACAACCTCACAACTTCCATTTTGTCAATTAGGAATTTGAGCTACAGAGAGGTTAAGTAACTTGCCCAAGGTCACACAGTGCAATTGCTGGTATTTACATGCAGCAGCCTTTTACCTCTTATGCTATATTGCCTGAGTCGGCTGTGCTCCCTGAATCAGAGAAGCTGATGTAATTATGTTAAGCTGTGGTTGTGTTACTACAACCTGTGACTTATTTTCCAATCTTTCTGTAATATTCTTATTTAAATACACACTTCAAAAATGTTTAAGTAGAAGACATTTAGAGGCCCTCGGCGGAGGGATAAAAAGTATGAAGCACAGTGAAGGAATCACAACTACCCATCTATGCCAAAGGAAATTGGCCCATGTGCTGCCCAGAGGCTGTAAAACTTAAGGAGCCACCAGTACCGACCTGACCAGCTGAGAAGCTAATGGGTGTGCTGTATGAGTGTATGTGGGGTGAGGGAACCGGAAGGGCTTCCTGTAGTTAAGATTCAGTGGAAGAATCACATATGTGGAGTCACACAGTGGGTTGTGATGCAGTTGAGTCAAATGTTTGTTCTCTAATTCACCTGGGCTCATCTATACCAACACATTAGGTAGCAAGGACCCTGATTTACTAGTCCCAGTGAGTGATCATTATTTTGCATTATATAGAAAAATAAAAAGAATGCTGGATGTGTTTCTGTTTTGTCAATGAACTCAGTTTAAAAAAAGTACAGACTGCCCAGATCCATATGAAACAGTTATAACAGTTGTATGCAAAGCTATATAGCTATAGGCTAAATTACTTATTAAAGTCCATTGGAACAATATTGACTTAAAAAGTTGTATAATTTATCTATAGTTTTGGAAACAGAAGAGACAATTTACTGTCAATGCTTTAGGCTGCAATTGGGGAAAATAAAAATTATAAAATAGCCCATATTTTTAAAAATATCACTATGGGAAAAAAAAGCATTGACTCTGTTACTTTGTCATCTAAATGTAACGCATGTTTCTTATTTGGCAGAAAAGCCAGCAATTCCTGTAATAAAAGTTACCCT
This sequence comes from Homo sapiens, assembly GCF_000001405.40. Classification (NCBI taxonomy): domain Eukaryota; kingdom Metazoa; phylum Chordata; class Mammalia; order Primates; family Hominidae; genus Homo; species Homo sapiens. The sequence continues at coordinate 159,473,413 of NC_000003.12, forward strand.
AGAGGATATGTAGGAATAAGCTTAGAAAAATGTGAATAAAAGAAATCATAAAGAATTACTTGGAGCTATAGTTGTTGATCATGAGGATTATATTTGACAGGAAAATATATCCTTTGGGAAATCCTATTAATTCTTAAAAGAAAATTTGCTACACCCTGTACAATTGTTGCAGAATGTCTGATGCTAAAACCTATTTTTATTGAATTTGGGCAAGAAGGGTTTCTAATGCCCTGAAATCTACCCTACAGGAAATGTAACTACGAAAAAAAAAAAAAAAAAAAAGAAAAGAAAAGAAAAAGTAAAAGAAAACAACCAAAACATTAGCAATCTAAGTTTATAAATATTGGATGGACAAAGCATCTAGATTTATAAAAATTTTACTTTTGATTTTTGCACACAGAATTTCAAAAATAAATTCTTGAAATCAAGAGGAAACAGGTATGCCTAATATTTTAAGTGCTACATAGTTTACATAACACATCATGAAAAGATTAACTTTGCAAATAATTTGATCCCCTTTTTTTCTCCCACCCCAATTGTCTTTCAATCTTCAGTGAGGATAGTTTTTCATTCCAAAATGCAGGTTAAATTGTCTCTAAATAAAAAATGTCTGGTTTCAGATGGACACTTATTCACTCTGAAAACAGGCTATTTCTTATCTTTTTATTAAGTGTATTGATCTCCTTTTAAGCATTTTTCAATAATAATTATTCTCCACTATCTGTTTGATGTCCTAGAGTCCTGTTATATAGATATGAGACCAAAATATCCCAGCTTATAAACAACCTCTAATGCTTCAAATAGTTATTTGGTTTTATGAACATGGTTTCAGCTTTGCTTTGTTTTTGACCATTTCACAGAATCTGTCAAACCACGAACATATTAAGCAAACTTCAAGATTTCTGAAAACAACACAATTAGGGATGATGGACTGTGTCTGCAAGGTGTGTTCCTGTTGGTCTTTGTTCTGAAAGCTTTGACAACTTCTAAAATGGTGTGCCAAAACTTGCTAAATTGCCAAAGCAATTTTAAGGTCCTGATTAAATAGAGTATCTTATGAATAAGTATATTGGTTAAGTTCTGCATTTCAGAAAGCTTAATCCCCAAAACTTATTATTTCAAAATCTCTCTAAACGGTATCCAGATCCATTATTTTATTAATAATAGAATATATGTAAATACAGAAACAGAAAATATAGATAGGGATCCCAAACACATGCCCACAGGAGCCAGACAGGTAACATAAAGGAGTGAGTCCAGCCAGATGTAAGATTAGGTGGGAAGGGAGCTTAAAGGCACATGAAGAACTAAAGAATTCATATCCCACCTAATAGCCAAACAAAACACATTCCCTGGTCAAATTTGGCTCTTGAGGAACCACTAGTCAGAGACCTCCAGTGCAGATAAATTGAATATGTCCTGTATCCATCCTTGGATGTTTTTGACAATTACTTTAAAAAGTAAGCTTTGACAATAATGAGATACTACTTAACACCCAGTAGGACAGCTATTATGAAAAAGATGGATAATAACAAGTATTGATAAACACGTAGAGAAATTAGAACCCTCATATATTGCAGGTGGAAATGTAAAATGATGCCATTGCTGTGGCAAGCAGTGGCAGTTCCTCAAAAAATTAAACATAGATTTATCACATCATCCAGCTACTCCACTCCAAGAGAACTGAAAACATACATCTATATAAAAACTTGTACATGAATGTTCACAGCAGCATTACTCATGGACAGAAAGTTGAAAAAACCCAAATGTGCATCAACTGATGAATGAACAAATTGTGGTATACTCATACAATGAAATATCATTCAGCCATAAAACAGGAATGAAGTACTGATACATGTTACAATATGGATGAACCTTGAAAATTATGCTGAATGAAAGAAGCTGGACATAGAAGACCACATATTGTATAATTCAGTTTATATGAGACGTCTAGAATAGACAAATCCATAAAGACAAAATGTAGGTTAGTGGTTGCCAGGGGCTGGAGAAAGGGAGAAATGGGAAATGATTGCTAATAGGTATAGGGTTTTTTTGGCAGGGAGTGAAGAAAATGGTTGGAATTAGATAGTGGTGATGGTTGCAACTCTGAGACTATACTGAATACTACTGAACTGTATGTTTTAAAAATAGTGAATTTTATTGTATTTAAATTATATTCCAATAAAAGTAAAGGCTTGGTGTGAGTTTATTATCTATTTTACTTTTAGCTTCATGCTGAAAACATAGAGCTCCCCTCTTAACCCCAAACCCATTACTAATTTTGGAGTTTCTTGTACTTAAATTTTTCATATATATGATCTCAATTCTGTATCTCTTTTAGGCAACTTCAAAAATTTTCTTCCATTAGCTAGGAGTCACTCCAGTTGGATATAATTAGGAAAAGAAGCATTTGAGAGCTGGGAGTAGAAACAGGAATTAAGGCAAAAGTTATGGCAGGAGTTGAAGCTTTCATAACAAGGTCTTGGGAAAAACAGAGGAAACTATGGGTAAGTAACCCTCAGTTTAGACAAGGACCCACATTTCTGTGTCTGTGAGAAGGCAAATGCTGAGCTGTGTAAACCAGAAACCAGGGATCTGTACCTCGAAGCTGCCACTTGGGCCTGGTTAGGATGTAGAAGCCTCTGAAAGTTGACAGCTCAGAGTTGGAAAAACTGAAAAGAATCTTTGGTTGAAGGGCCAGTCACAGGAGAACAACTATGTTTCTTAGTGGGCAGCTCCTCTCTGACCATTCAAAATGACTTTACAGGCATCTTAATGAGGCTTCAAGGGAGAATACAAAATGTTTAACGTCAGTTAAGGGCTGATAAGGCAAAATCCATTGTATTGTACTCACTAGCATTAATTTATGATATATAGTATGCCATTGATATGATCTTGAGATACTAGTGGGTTGAGTTTATTGCCCACAATATTTATAACACCTTTAATCTGAATTTCTAGCTTTATTTATTCTATAATGTCTTAAATTCTTCAACTTCAGATTATCTTGTAAAAGAATTTTCATTTGTGTTTGAAGAGGTAAGCTGTTGCATTTGGTTGAAGAAGTTCAAAATATTTAGGTATACCAAACTTTTATAAGAGTAGACTCAGTAGTTTTAATTTTTATTTAAGCTATCAGTGTGCACTATGAATAGAATACGCAACTAAAAACAAAGCACAATAAAAACTAGACCATTAAAAAATGGAAATACAAATTATGGTAAATTTATATAATGTGATGTACAGCAATTTCTAAATGTTATTTTATTTTTAATCGGCAAATCATAATTTTCTATATTTATGGGCTACAATGTGATGTTTTGATAGGTACATACAATGTGGAATAAAATCAACCTAATTAACATATATACCCTCATGTATCTACCATTTTGTATACAGACATTTGAAATTTACTCTTATTTTGAAAAATACAATATATTTTTATTGATTATTGTCACTGTGCTGTGGAATAGATCTCAAAACTTATTCTGTCTATCTGAAACTTTGTAACTTTTGCCCAACAATTCCATTCCTTCCTTTCCCCTTCCCCAGCCTCTGGTAACCATCATTCTACTCTACTTCTATGAGCTTGACTTTTTTAGATTCCACATACAAGTGAGAGCATGTGGGATTCATCTCTTTGTGCCTTGATTATTTTACTTTGCATAGTGTCCTCCAGATTCATCCACATTGTCACAAATGACAGAATTTTCTCCTTTGTTAAGGCTGAATAGTGTTCCATAGTGTATATATTCCACATTTTCTTTATTCATTCATTGGTGGACACTTAGGTTGAGTTTATGCCTTGGCTATTGTGAATAATGCTGCTGTGAACATCAGAGTGCATGTATCCCTTTGACTTACTGATTTCAATTTTTTCCGGATATATGACAAGTAGTAAGATTGCTGAATCATATGATATTTTTAATTTTCTGAGGAACCCCCATATCATTTTCCATAATAGCTGTACTAATTTACATTCCCACTGGCAACATACAAGAGTTTCCTTTTCTCTGAACTTTCACCAACACTTGCTATCCTTCATCTTTTTGATAAAAGCTATTCTAACAGGTGTGAGATGGTATCTCCTAGTGGTTTTAATTTGCATTTTGCTAATGATTAGTGATGTTGAGCATTTTGTCCATGTACTTGTTGGCCACTTGCATGTTTTCTTCTGAGAATTGTCTGTTCAAGTCCTTTGCCCATTCTTTAACTGTGTTATTTTTCTTCTTGCTATTGAATTCTTTATATATTTTAGATGTTAACCCCTTATCAAATGTATGGTTTGCAAACAACTTTTCCCATTCCATGGGTTGTCCCTCACTTTGTTAATTGTTTCCTTTGCTGTGCAAAAACTTTTTAGCTTGATATAATCCCATTTGTCTATTTTTGCCTTTGTCATCAATGCTTCCAGGGTCATATTCAAAAAATTATTGCCTAGATCTACATCATGGAACTTTTTGTGTTTTCTTCTAGTAGTTTTACACTTCGAGGTCTCATTTTAAATCTTTTTTTTTTTTTTTTTTTTTTGAGATAGAATCTCACTGTCACCCAGGCTGGAGTGCAATGGCATGATCTTGGCTCACTGCAACCTCCATCTCCTGGGTTCAAGTGATTCTCCTGCCTCAGCCTCCAGAGTAGCTGGGATTACAGGCACACACCACCACGTGCAGCTAATTTTTGTATTTTTAGTAGAGATGGGGTTTCACCATGTTGGCCAGGATGGTCTCGAAATCCTGACCTCAGGTGGTCCACCCACCTCAGCCTCCCAAAGTGCTGGGATTACAGGCATGAGCCACCACACCCAGCCTTAAATCTTTAAACTACTTTGAGTTGATTTTTATTATGGTATAAGAAAATGATCCACTCTTATTTTTCTGCACATGGATAACCAGTTTCCCCAACACCATTTGTTGAAAAGACTGTTCTTTCTTCATTGGATGTTCTTGGCACCTTTGTCAAAAGGCAATTCACTGCAAATGTGTGGCCTTCATTTGTGGGCCTTCTATCTTGTTCCTTTGGTCTATGTATCTGTTTTTATGCCAGTACCATGCTGTTTTGATTACAATTGCTCTATAATATGTTTTAAAATCAGGAAGTACAATGACTCCAGGTTTGTTCCTTTTGCTCAAGATCATTTTGGCCATTCAGGGTCTTTTGTGTTTTCATATGAAGAGTTGTATTTTCTATTCTGTGAAAAAAATGGCATTGAAATTTTAATAGAGATAGCATTGAATTTTAGATCACTTTGGGTACTATGGACATTTTCACAATATAATTTTTTCTACCCATGAGCATGAAATATCTTTTTATTTATTTGTGTTTTCTTCAATTTCTTTCATCAGCATATTACAGGTCTTTCACCTCATTGGTTAAATTTACACCTAAGTATTTTGTTGTTGTTCCTATTGTAAATGGGATGGTGTTCTTAATTTTATATTTGGATCATTTATTACTAGTATATAGAAATGCTACTGAGTTTTTGTATGACGATTTTGTATCCTGCAACTTTACTAAATTTATCAGCTCTAATAGGTTTTTCTGGTGGAGTCTTTAGGGTTTTCTCTATATAAAATCATGTCATCAGCAAATAGAAACCATTTTACTTCTTCCTTTCCTATAAAAATGTCTTTTCTCTTGCCTAATATGCATCAATTTTTTAAATATTTACAAAGGTTTAAAAAGGCATGAGGAAATTCACATAATATTAAGCCAGAAAAATAGAATGCCAAATTTTGTGTATCATGCAATGTTAATATCAGAAAAAGTTCAGAATAAAGATTAAAATTTTGGCAATGATTATCTCTAGTGAGATTACTAATGAGTATTATGCTTTTTATATGTTTCTGAATTTTCTAAATTTTCTTGTATATACTTTAATTCAGAAAAAAACTTCAAACATTCACTAAAATAAAGTTCAAAAAAAAATCTAAAAGCCAGGTCTGAGAAAGCTGAAATTCCCAGATGTCATTGTATATGATGGAACATATGCAAGAAGGATAAGACAACATGATTCTGTCTTCAGGATGTAGAATAGCCTTTATGTCATGAGTTTTGCAGTATTCCAAAGGCTGTCAATTTTTTCACATACGGTCAGATCAAAACTTTATATAATTAGACAAGTTGATTTAGCTTCTAAATAACAAACACATTTATTTTTCCTAATAGTAGGCAATTAATTACTTGGCTAGTTTTAATTCAATTTCATTTTGCACTGGATATTTAGACATATAAGCTGTACCTTAAAAAAAGGATTTCCCTGAATGGACGGTTAACTCTCCACCTCTACTCCACCCACATTTACAGATGAGAAAACTGACACCAAGGAGATATGTAGGAGAGAAAAATGATTACAAGCATTCAAGATTCAGGTCCAAAGTACTCCCAATGGATTTGTTGTTTGTGAACTAATATGCACTCATGGAGCCTCTATAATGTGCAGCTCTATGCAAAGCTCTTTTCCTTACATCATCTTGTGGAACCCCCATAACCTCACAGTAATGAAGACGTTATTTCTAGCTATACTGTGGAGTTGGGGAAAATTGTTAGGCTCAGAGGTTATGAGAATTTCTCAGGATCACTCAGCTAGTAAGTAGCCAAACTGGAATTCTCATGTAGACCATTTGACTCTGAAGCCCACCAGCCTTCTAACACATAGAAAACAACAGGTTTTATTGTCTAAGGTCATGGCTTTCCATCCTCAATATCCTTGGATATGGCACATTTGCTACCTGCCTCTACTTGTAGCTACTTGAGTGAGTCATGGTCAGAATCCATTTTTCTTTGGTGTTAAAGAATGCTTTTGAAAGGGATAAAGGTGGAAGATACTTCCTGTTTGGCACAGTGTATGAGTATGTGGTTATAATAATCATCTCTTGCCCCACTATTCTCACAAGTTTTTAGAAACTCCTCCCTCAGAAGATGCCATCACTGGTAGTTGATCCTGGGAAGTTGCCCAGTAGTTGTTCCACATGTTCCCTCTGTACCAAAACATAGACAAATCCAATTTTCTCACTCTGTTTCTAGGTTGATGTCAATTTGAATCATGGCTTGATGAAAGAGAGTAAAATGATGATGGCTTGGAATAATTTAATCTTACCTCTATATAAAATATAATTTCTTTGGGAATTTTGTGGGTTTTTCTTTTCTTATTGCTTATTCTCTCAGCATTTATTATAAATCCCTTCTCTCAAAACAAAAGAACACTAACATCTCTCTCGTTTAACAGAGACTGCTTTAAACATTGCTCTCTCCTCCCTTCCCACCTCCTCTTTGACTAAACCAAGATTTTTCATTGTGAAGGTTTGACTCATGATAACCTAGGCAAAGAAAGGTCACTTTGGTGTCTCTTATGAACAGCAGCATCAGCAACACCTGGGTGTCACGCACGTCCTTGTGAACAGAGTCCACCAAATAGGCTTCGTTTGAGCAACAAGGCTGTTTATTTCACCTGGGTGCAGGCAGGGTGAGTCCGAAAAGAGGGTCAGCGAAGGGAGATAGGGGTGGAGCTGTTTTATAGGATTTGGGTAGGTAGTGGAAAATTACAGTCAAAGGGGGTTGTTTCTCTGGTGGGCAGGGGCGGGGGTCACAAGGTGCTCAGTCAGGGAGCTTCTGAGCCAGGAGAAGGAATCTCACAAGGTAATGTCATCAGTTAAGGCAGGAACCGGCCATTTTCACTTCTTTTGTGATTCTTCAGTTACTTCAGGCCATCTGGATGTACACATGCAGGCTTGGCCTCAGAGGCCTGACACTGGGGTCTTATTAGAAATGTAAATTATCAGGCTCTAGCCCAGACCTACTAAATCAGAAATTCTGGAGATGTGGACCCAGCCAATTGTGTTCTTAAAGCCCTGCAGATGATCTTGATGTACCATAAGCATGAAAACCATGTCCATATAAATGATTTTCTTTTAAAAAAAAGTTTTAGGTGATACAGTCTACAGCTCTGAAGAGATCACTAAGATAGAGTGAATTAAGTGTTCTGTATTGACTGTACACTTACTAGTGTTGGCAGATAAAATACAAGATGTCCAGTTGAATTGAAATTTCAGATATACAGCAAATAAAATTTTGGTATCTCCCATAAGATATTTGGGACTTACACTAAAAAAAAGTTGTTTATGGGAAATTCCAATTTTACTAGGTATTCTGCATTTTTATTTGTTAAATCTGGCAACCTGATCACCAACCCATTTTTCTGTAAGTGAGTTCTGAGAGGTAGGAGTAACTGCCAGTTTGGTGGGACCAGGTAACTTTTCTTGTTTTGACTGTACAGTAGGGCAAGCTGGTAGGAAACACTATGTAATTCCTGCCTGTGTCTTTTATAAGCCCTTTGCTGCATGCTGTGATTTGAGAAAATGGTAATTACTATACTTAACATTTCTTGTTTATTTTGTATCATGGAAAAAGAGAATGTCTTTTCTCCATTTTAACCTTAATAAGAAAACACAAGGTGTCTTCCTCCAGAGAATTTCAGAAAATCGGGCAGAGTGGACAAAATGAAATGGAGGTTGTGGGGTGATTAGAAAAATAATAGAATGGCAGTCAGGAAGCTGGGGCTAATTTTTTGGTCAATTTGTGTGTTAGGGGAGGTGGTATGAGCGTATGTGTATATGCATGGGTGCATGCATGGATGGGGTATACAAGATTAGAAAACTAATACTTAACTGAATTTCTACTGGTGTCAGGCATTGTGCACAGTGCTTTGCATATCACGTATTTCATCTTGATGTTATTTCAGAAACATTCCTTGAGAAAGGTATGTTGGGACAAGGTAGCTTAACACAGATGTCAATATTGCCCCTCCAATGCTAAGTGTGCTTCTCCAAGAAGCCATTACCTCTGCTTTGCCTGCATAGGTAAAAGAAGACACCTATTTATATTTATTGCCCATGGCTTCCCTTCAAGAAGGACGTATGAATACTTTTAGAAGAGAGGGAAAATATGTCCTAAACTGCAAGGAGTTCAATTCTGAGGTTGCCCTGAGGAGAAATCTTCTAACAAGCAGCTATGGAAGCATTGAATGATTCACTGAGATGTAACACGATTCCAGAGAGACTCAGCTGAATGTGGTTCACAAATGTAATCATCTTATTGAGTACCCTGATCTAAAGGTACTAATTATGAAGCACTGTGAAAATGACAACTGCATTTATTAACTAGTTTACATAAATATGTATTTCTTAACCAATAATAGAAATAGTTTGTCTCAATCTTGTTTTTCTAGTATATGCACACTTTAGCTACTAAGGATTAAGGAGAGAGACATAAACAGCCAAACACCCCTCCCATCTCCTACCTCTGAAATGCAAGAGGATTTCAGATGGGAGAGTAATTATAGGTCAACAGAAACCACATGGTCCCTTACACTCTCCAACTACCACCTCGGGATAAGCATGACAGTGGAGAAAAGCCTGCAGTCACATTTCTGGCAATGCCCAACAGTGAGTAGTACATTTTCATTGAATAACAAATGTCAAATGGCCAGGCAGTGGGAGAACAGAAAGGAGAAAAGAGACATTGGGCCCCAGGGGTCTGGACTGGATTTAAGGAAGGGCAGGTCAAAATTCCTAAAACTATTTGTAACTTTCCATAAAATTTAAACCAATATATATCTTATCACTCTTCAAAGCAGCCTCCCGACCAATTAGTTTAGCTGCAATTTGGGGATAGCTGACAGAGCTCCCACTGTTTTTCACTAGCCATTAACCAAGCAGCTGTTTTGGGAGATTTTTTTTCTAAACGAATTCAAATTTAGGAATCACTTTTATGGGCACTCAAATTGCTCTTATTTCTCCTTTGCGGTCAAAGATGCTGGTTTTGTGATTTCTATCCGAAAGACAAGGGATTGCTTGACATAATGATTTCATTTGCTTTACTGGGTCTACACAGAATTTTATTTAATCCACAGAAAGCAGTGGGAGAAACGAGAACAACCTGAAGGACAGGAAAGTATGTCTGTCCAATAGTATAGATACTAAACATTGGCATGTGACATTTGAACCCTGCAGGCATTCACAGTTATTTAACAGATGCTTATTACATGCTTTATTAAGCCAGGTGCTGAAATGTGGTGCTAAGGAGCCCCTGATAAAATACAGCAGGATATGCATGCCAACATCAGTGACAAAAAAAATACTTTTGATTTGGAGATATTCCATAAACTCAAAGTTTCCAGAAAGATTATAAAATATAACTTACTTTTTAACTTCTTGCATTTTATTAAATCAACACACTATTCAGAATTAAGTGGAAATGAAATTTGTGATAAAATTGATCATTTTTAATCTTTAGATATTTGTTTTCTGTATCAATAACAGCCTTGAACTACTATGTATGCATGGCTATATACAGATTTGTATGCATATATAAATGCATGTAAATATGTATGCATATATTTTGCAGTGTTCTGGCACAATGTAGTTGCTCAACAGATAGTAACCATTATTATTACTGAGTACAGCAAACCCACATGATGATGTGATAAGTGGAAGTAAAACAAAAATCCAAATGTGGAGTTACTTTGTTGTGTAGTGAATTTAAAAAAACAATATTTTCATCTGGTCTACAATCCCTCAAAAGCCTACAATATAAATTTAAAAGAGGTATTTACAGACCACAGTGCAAACTAAGAGAGTTCCAAAGAGGCATTGCTTTCTCCTGCATTTAAAAATGAGAGTGGGGAGGGTACCAGAGACACCACATGGGAACAGGCATGATCATAGGAGTTTATACTGTACTCCAATTAGTTGAAAATTATGAACATGCATGTTACATGGTAGCTGGTAAACCAGAACGTTCAACTAACCAGTTGCCTCATTTCTCAAACATTTAATACAAATGAAAACGTTACGATTTTATTGAAAGTATATTTTAATTTGTGTTCCTTAGGCTATATCAATATGACATCATTGAAACTAACTGAAAAGTGAAAAACTCAATTAAGGGAAAATGTGATATTTTCAGGCAATCCGTGTAGTTGGAACTATCATTGCTTAGATAATTATGGCCAGAGTTGAGTTTCTCATGGTAGAGTCCACAAAAATCTCCATGGTATGAATGGGAATGGCCTGTTGACACCATAAGTTTTTCTAAGCCAGAATCAGAATCAAGTGAGTATGTCATTATGTGGCAGGAGAGGACCTCCTCTATATTTTGTCATAACCCAAAGAAAAGTTCCTGTCTTCTTAAATGCGGGCATTTATCTTCTTTGAAAAGTCAAACGAGAAACTCTATTTAAATATCAATCATGTTGCAACTTCTGTGAGGAAAAAAAAACCTGCATAAACAGTTGCCTAGGCTGATTAAAATCATGTTATTATATACAAATTAAAACTATTGACCATTTAGGAGAACAATTACAAAGCTCCACAATGCATTGGCACAGAATCCCATCATTGTTTTCTGTCTGAGCCAAAGCAAAGTGACTCTTTCGGTTCCTACAGCTCATTAATTTCCAAGCTGGGTTATTAAGAAAGATAATGTTTAGTTTTTCAGCATGTTGGATTCTCCTCTTCTTTTTGGTTTTTAAAGAGTAAATGGACGTTTTACATTCAGGACATGGATAGTAATTTCATAACTCTGTCTTTATTATCTCATATATTTGACCTTGAGGAACAGAACAAGCGCCAGACTTTTCTACTTTTCTCTTGGCCAAACAGAAGCAGAGTTCTCAAAATCAATGTTTGGTCCTAAGGAAATTTCAGGAAATACTTTCTTCCCTGCTCCCTCATACTTCCTGGATATCCACACTTTCCCAGAATCATCTCAGAATAGCTTTACTATGTCTAAGAGGCAAGGAGAGGATGAGACAAGCTCAGGAGCCAGCCTGCCTGGGGTCAGGTCCGTAGTGGCTCACTTACTGCTCTGAGTGACTTTGAATAGTTACTTCATCTCTGATGTTCAGTAAAATAAGAAAAACATCTATAAAATAAGAATAACACACATAGTACCAGGCTTATTAAGTAAGCACGTAGCAAATGTCGATGGGGAAAAAACATTCTGGAAATCTCTGAAGGGCAACATTTTGGTGGAGTAGAAAGAGCTGTGCTTTTGGAAATTAAACCAATTGGCTGTGAGATATTGGGCCATCTCTTAGCACTTACTTTCTCCTAGGTAAAATAGGAGAATATAATCACTTTATGTGTGTTTGTGAGGAGAAAATTAAAGTAATATGTTTATGGCAAATATTGTTGAAAGAGCATGGACTTTGGCTTCCAATGGAGGGTTTGAATTGTGGCTCTTCCTCTTATTAGCTCTATAATCTTGAGCAAGTTGTCCGTTTCCTTATTTGTAAAACAGGCAGCATAATACCTCCATTGCAGAGTTACCAAGAGAATTTAATTTCTATAAAGTTCCTAATGCATAGTAGGGACTTGATAAATGGCAGGTGCATTGTTTGTGAACTATTTTCTTGTCCATAACACACTATGTAGATATTAGCTACAAACCTCATCACTATTATTTTGCTGTTCTAGAAGTTGGGCCAGTAAGCCTTCTTCCAAACCCCACTTACAACCTGCAAAAATCTTTATCAGTTCCTACCTCCCAGGTGCCAGGTGTATGTACCACAAACTTTGGAACTCAAAAGTCTTATGACTTTTGTTTGAATTTTTATTGAAATTATACATATTTAAGGTATACAGTGTGATGTTTTGGTATACATAATGAACTTATTGTTACAGTTAAGCTAATTAACACATCCATCTCTTTATATGGTTACCTTTGTGTGTGTGGTAAGAACACTTAAGATCTATTCTCTCAGCAAATTTCCAGTATACAATACAGTATTGTTAACTACAGACCCCATGCTGCACATTAGATCTCCAGAACCTATTCCCTCTAAGTAACTGAAACTTTGTATCCTTTGATAACATTTCCCCATTTCCCCCTACCCTCTTCCCCATGTCCCAGTAAACACCATCCTATTCCCGGCTTCTATGAATTCAAGGTTTTTAGATTCCAATTGTAAATGAGACCATGCAGTATTTTTCTTCTGTGACTGGCTATTTCACTTAGCCTCTAGGTTCATCCATGTTGTCACAAATGGGAAGATTTCCTTCTTTTTAAGATTAATATTTCACTGGTAATAGGAAACATTCCTTGATCTGTATGTTTTCTTCTAGGAGTTTTGTGATTTCAGGTCTCATGACTTTTGAAGTCTCAGAATCACCATGTCTTCTGATGCCAAAAGAAGGCACTCCCTCAGGAAGGTGGCCTCATTTGTGATATGTTTCTGCAGCAAATATCAGAAATCCAGACTAAATATATGGGGATTTATTTATGTCACACAGAAGATGCAGGGAAGGCAATGTGAAGCTGGTTCAGCGGCTCAGCAGCGCCACCACAGGCATGGGCTCCTTCCATCTACCTGGTGTTTCTTTTTCAGTCTGTAGCTTTTGTCTCCATGGCTGCTGTGCAAACACATTCCATATCTCACAGGCCAGATCTAGGTCACATAGCCACCTCTAGCTGCAAGGGAGTCTGAAATAAATATTTAATTGGATATATTGTTGCCTCAAATAAAATTAGGATTCTAGGAGCACAAGAGAAGGGGAGAGTAGATATTTTTTGGCAGCTAGCAATGTCTCCAGTAGTCTGAACTCTTGGAGAATAGACTGGTGACAATGAGCTGGTGGCACCTTCAACAGAGCAGAGGCCTGCTCAGGTTGCTTCAGAAGATGGCTTTGCACTAAGATTCTAGCAATTCTAAGATTCACCTGTCTTCTATTATATGGAGCAATGTGGCTTTTCCTGCTTTCAGGGAATGTGGGTGTGCAATTGAGAGAAGTAGTTCATATCTATGGTGGTTGCTTTGTTGTGATGTGATTGATTTTGGTTTGTTTTAGTTTGCGTCAGTTTCATTGCTTCAGTTCGTCTTCATTTTTCTATGGTTTGCAAGTGCCTCAGGTGTCCAGGCAAACACACTCCTGTATCCCATGGTTTACGGCTGGAGGTTTGTCTCCCTCAGGAGACAAACTTTTTGGATGTTCCCCACATTGGTCTGGACCCTCTTTTTAGCTGACAAGACACCCTGCCAGGCATAGCACAGCAGTGCAGGAGCAGCCACCCACATTTCACAGTTGGAGCTGCTTTTTTCCATGTGAACAGGGGAGCACTCAACTGAAATATAAATTCTATCCAAATAAGCTTGGCCCAACTCCACACAGGCCTGAGGTGTTGCTGTGAATGCTCTATCTGAGAAGGGAAGATAAATCAAACACATAAAACTGAGATTGGAGCCATAAATACGAAAAATAAATGTTAATGTCCATAGCAGGCCTGTGTGATAGAAGCCCACCTAAGAAAAGTGTCTATTCTTGTTTGCTACAGGGGATCTTAAAGGGAGGCAGAATCACCTTCTTAGTATGAAAGTTCCCCTCATCACAAGGGAAAATAAAAATTGTTCTGCACTCCCTTCAACCCAGTGGCTAAAGTTTTTACGTTAGTCTTTTAAAGTCTCTGTTAAATTACAGATGCTATTTATGATAAGTGACATGATAATTAGACTTTATCTTCCATAACACATGATCTTAAATACATTTATCAAATTAACTCTAGAAAATTCCACTGAGTCACAGTTTTCCTGGGGGCAGGAATTGTGCTTTTTCCCAGCATCCAAGAACCTGGCATGATGCTGGGCACAGATCAGGCATCAAGGAATGCTGGCTGAACAGGCACAGAAAGACAAACTTTACATGTTCTCACTCACATGTGGGAGCAAAAAATCGAAACAAATGAAATCAGAGAGTAGAATGATGGTTACCAGAGGCTGGGAAGTGTAGTGGTGGGGCAGGAGTGGGGATGGTTAATGGACACACAAAAAATAGCTAGAATGAATAAGATCTAGTATTTGATAGTACAACAGAGTGACTACAGTCAATAATTTATTGTACATTTTAAAATAACGGAGAGTATAAATGAATCATTTGTGACACAAAGAAAGGATAAATGCTTGAGGTAATGGATACTCCATTTACCCTGATGTGATTGTTACACTTTGTATCGCTGTATCAAAATATTTTATGTACCCCATAAATATATACATCTATTATATACCCACAAAAATAATGTGTTTAAAAAAAGAAATATTGGCTGAAGTTGACAGAGGGGATGGGACATGGGGACAGAGGGAAAGGTCTGAGGAGGGCAGAGCTGAGAGACAGATGGCTCTCTCAGGGGACAGGGGTGAGCACTGGCTGCCAAGAAGAAACTAGACATCTGGGGAGAAATTGCACAGAAAGAAGGCCAGAGCAGCCCCATAAAAAAGTCATTCTGTCTTGTGCATTTGGCAAAAGTTATGCTGCCCCTTGGCGCCATCAAAGTGGAGATCAGGAACCAACTGTGCAATGTCATAGGAAAAAAACAACACTATGGAGAGGATAAATATTCGTCACCAGGTCCAGTTCTGGCATCTGCTTCAGATTTATTTTTAAATAAAGCAGATCTTATTAAAGTAATTAGCCAACTGTGAGAATTCTGCTCCTGATTCTGGAATTCCCAAGATAATGGAGCACATGTTGAATAAGAAGATAACTCTAAGCCCCTGTGTTTCTCTAGGGTCTTTTTTTAGTACATGCTTATTGTCCAAATTCATAAGTGTTGAGCTAACGTAATGTTTTAATTGTTCTTGCTCCTCTATATGCAATGATAGAATGCAAGCCATAGCACTGATTAATTTCAAATTTTGATTAAGTGATAAGAAAGTCCTTTTCATCTTTTATTTTAATCATGCAATAGTTTTGTGTATCTTCTTTGTAAATTTGGCTTTAAAATGAGGTGCTGATACTCATTTTTTGATTAGTAAAATATTTGCCCTATTCTTCCATTCTGCCCATGTTGACTCCCTCTATCTCTGTGAATTTGTGTTCTACTAAATTAGACCACTAAGCCAGAAACATTTATTTATTTAAGAAGACTTTTACTATTAGCCTGATAGAAAGGAGTCAACATCTTGTGCTAATTCATTTCATTACATACACACACTATCCCTGAATTTGTCTAGTAATGCTTGTGATAAGGAGATAAAAACCATCTTTTAATTTACAGTACAAATGCTTCACTCTGGGCTTTCTAAAACATTATTTGTGAGAGTGTAAATAACTGATAAAACAATATATGTCAATATTTTAAGTATGTATGCTCTCTGACCAGCATTCGTGTCTAGTATAATCTGTCCTGCTGAAATACTTGTACATAAGAATTACAATGAATGTTCAATACTGCAGTGTGGATTGAAACAGCCAAAAATTGGGGGAAAATGCATGTGTTTATTATGAACAAAGTGGTCAAATAAACAACAAGACAGACATATATTTAATTAAATATGGTTAAATTATATTTAATTCTATAGCATTTTTAAAAGATGATCTATTTGTACAGAGCTAATAGAAAGAATTCTAAGACATGTTGATAAACAAGGTGGTGGTGAAACAATGCATATGGTCTGGTGTCTTTTATATTAAAAAAATTATATATTTGTATATTTTTATATGTATGTAATTTTGTAGAAAGGAGATTGGAAGAATACACACCAAATTATCAGCTCTAGTTACCTCTGGAGAGAAGAGGGGCTGAGTATGAAGAAGGTCCTCAGCATTTTGCTTATATAATTGTATATAATTTGAGTTTTTCACAATGAGAATGTATTCATGTAACTGCTGAGTAATTTTTGTTTTTGATTTTGTTTTGTAATTTATACAAATATTTTACAAATGTATAAAGTACATGTGAGTAGTTTTTACATGTATAGAATGTGAAATGATCAAGTCAGTGTATTTGGACTATCCATCATCTTGAGTATTTACCATTTCTATGTGTTAGTAACATTTCATGTCCTCTCTTAGTTACTTTGAAATGTTCAAGGCATTGTTGCTAACTATTGTCACCACACTGCTATGGAATGTTAAGGCTAACTTTTTCTTAGATCTCACCTTCTTCAGGTTTAAAAATGTAACAATATGCAAATTTTTACTTTCAAATAACCAGGTTCTGTGAGTGCCATGACTTGATGTACAAAGAAGAAAGGATATCAGGAAGAGAAAACTAGAGTAGTTCAATGAATTTTTATAGCTAGATGTGTCATTACCAAACACACACAAACACTCAACTTCATTGAGTTACCCAAGCAATATTTATTGAGTGCCTACAACTTGTCAAGTGCTAAGATAAATGCCAAAGTGCATGCACACAAACATACAGTGGAGAAATGATGAATCTAATATTGAATTAATTGATTTCCTATTAAGGTGTACCAAAGCTGTGGATATAAAATGGAGCCCTCGTGTATGGAGAGGAGATAAATTCTAAGATTTACACTGCAAACTCCACAGAAGGAAGCTGTGGGTTGTCCTAGGGTGGAGTGAGAGGAATTAATCTTTAGATTTTCACTTGTAAGATAACTGGAAAAATGATTACTTATACAGAGAGATGCCAAGAAAGGAAGGAGAATTGATTCAGTGAGTATGGCTCTACACCAAGAAGTTTAGAATCTGATTTTTAAGATACTTCTCAACTTTACCAAGTAAGATCCTGGCTTGAGTTTCACCTTTAAAGGGTCATTCAATAATAAGATGTCCCATTTAATTTACATGTTTATGAACTCATTAAAATTAGTAGTTTGGACATAGACCTTTTGCAAATTCTGGGCAGGTAGGAAGACAGTAACATCAGTGCTGAGCTTCAGCTGCCACACATTCAAGACTGAGACAGTGGGGAGCCAAGATGGCCGAATAGGAGCAGCTCCAGTCTACAGCTCCCAGCATGAGTGACACAGAAAACGGGTAATTTCTGCATTTCCAACTGAGGTACCAGGTTCATCTCACTGGGGAGTGCTGGACAGCGGGTGAAGGACAGTGGGCGCAGCACACCATGCATGAGTCGAAGCAGGGCGAGGCATCGCCTCACCCAGGAAGCACAAGGGGTCAGGGAATTCCCTTTCCTAGTCACAGAAAGGGGTGACAAACGGCACCTGGAACATCGGGTCACTCCCACCCTAATACTGCGCTTTTCCAACGGGTTTAACAAATGGCACACCAGGAGATTATATCCAGCACCTGGCTTGGAGGGTCCTAGGCCCACGGAGCTTCCCTCATTGCTAGCACAGCAGTCTGAGATCAAACTGCAAGGTGACAGCGAGGCTGGGGGAGGGGCGCCCACCAATGCCCAGGCCTTGAGTAGTTAAACAAAGTGGCCTGGAAATTCGAACTGGGTGGAGCCCACCACAGCTCAAGGAGGCCTGCCTGCCTCTATAGGCTCCACCTCTGGTGGCAGGGCACAGACAAAAGACAGCAATAACCTCTGCAGACTTAAATGTCCCTGTCTGACAGCTTTGAAGAGAGTAGTGGTTCTCCCAGCATGCAGCTGGAGATCTGAGAACAGGCAGACTGCCTCCTCAAGTGGGTCCCTGACCCCAAGTAGCCTAACTGGGAGGCACCCCCAAGTAGGGGCAGACTGACACCTCACACGGCCAGGTACTGCTCTGAGACAAAACTTCCAGAGGAACGATCAGGCAGCAGCATTTGCAGTTCATCAGTATTCGCTGTTCTGCAGTCACCACTGCTGAAACCCAGGCAAACAGGGTCTGGAGTGGACCTCCAGTAAACTCCAACAGACCTGCGGCTGAAGGTCCTGACTGTTAGAAGGAAAACTAACAAACAGAAAGGACATCCACACCAAAACCCCATCTGTATGTCACCATCATCAAAGACCAAAGGTAGATAAAACCACAAAGATAGGGGAAAAAACAGAGCAGAAAAACCGGAAACTCTAAAAATCAGAGCGCCTCTCCTCCTCCAAAGGAACACAGCTCCCTAGCAGCAACGGAACAAAGCTGGACAGAGAATGACTTTGACGAGTTGAGAGAAGAAGGCTTCAGAAGATCAAACTACTCCAAGCTAAAGGAGGAAGTTCGAACCAATGGCAAAGAAGTTAAAAACTTTGAAAAAAGATTAGACAAATGGGTAATTAGAATAACCAATGCAGAGAAGTCCTTAAAGGACCTGATGGAACTGAAAACCACAGCACAAGAACTACGTGACGAATGCACAAGCCTCAGTAACTGAGGCGATCAACTGGAAGAAAGGGTATCAGCGATGGAAGATGAAATGAATGAAATGAAGCGAGAAGGGAAGTTTAGAGAAAAAAGAATAAAAAGAAATGAACAAAGCCTCCAAGAAATATGGGACTATTTGAAAAGACCAAAACTACGTCTAATTGCTGTACCTGAAAGTGATGGGGAGAATGGAACCAAGTTGGAAAACACTCTGCAGGATATTATCCAGGAGAACTTCCCCAACCTAGCAAGGCAGGCCAACATTAAAATTCAGGAAATACAGAGAATGCCACAAAGATACTCCTTGAGAAGAGCAACTCCAAGACACATAATTGTCAGATTCACCAAAGTTGAAATGAAGGAAAAAATGTTAAGGGCAGCCAGAGAGAAAGGTCGGGTTACCCACAAAGGGAAGCCCATCAGACTAACAGCTGATCTCTCAGCAGAAACTCTACAAGCCAGAAGAGATGGGGGACCAATAGTCAATATTTTTAAAGAAAAGAAGTTTCAACCCAGAATTTCATATCCAGCCAAACTAAGCTTCATAAGTGAAGGAGAAATAAAATACTTTACAGACAAGCAAATGCTGAGTGATTTTGTCACCACCAGGCCTGCCCTAAAAGAGCTCCTGAAGGAAGTACTAAACGTGGAAAGGAACAACAAGTACCAGCCACTGCAAAAACATGCCAAATTGTAAAGACCATCAAGGCTAGGAAGAAACTGCATCAACTAACGAGCAAAATAACCAGCTAACATCATAATGACAGGATCAAATTCACACATAACAATACTAACCTTAAATTCAAATGGGCTAAATGCTCCAATTAAAAAGCACATACTGGCAAATTGGATAAAGAGTCAAGACCCATCAGTGTGCTGTATTCAGGAAACCCATCTCACATGCAGAGATACACATAGGCTCAAAATAAAGGGATGGAGGAAGATCTACCAGGCAAATGGAAAACAAAAAAAGGCAGGGGTTGCAATCCTAGTCTTGGATAAAACAGACTTTAAACCAACAAAGATCAAAAGAGACAAAGAAGGCCATTACATAATGGTAAAGGGATCAATTCAACAAGAAGAGCTAACTATCCTAAATATATATGCACCCAATACAGGAGCACCCAGATTCATAAAGCAAGTCCTTAGTGACCTACAAACAGACTTAGACTCCCACACAATAATAATGGGAGACTTTAACACCCCACTGTCAACATTAGACAGATCAACAAGACAGAAAGTTAACAAGGATATCCAGGAATTGAACTCAGCTCTGCACCAAGCGGACCTAATAGACATCCACAGAACTCTCCACCCCAAATCAAGAGAATATACATTCTTCTCAGCACCACACCACACCAATTCCAAAATCGACTACATAGTTGGAAGTAAAGCACTCCTCAGCAAATGTAAAAGAACAGAAATTATAACAAACTGTCTCTCAGACCACAGTGCAATCAAACTAGAACTCAGGATTAAGAAACTCACTCAAAACCGCTCAACTACATGGAAACTGAACAACCTGCTCCTGAATGACTACTGGGTACATAAAAAAATGAAGGCAGAAATAAAGATGTTCTTTGAAACCAACAAGAACAAAGACACAACATACCAGAATCTCTGGAACATATTCAAAGCAGTGTGTAGAGGGAAATTTATAGCACTAAATGCCCACAAGAGAAAGCAGGAAAGATCTAAAATTGACACCCTAATATCACAATTAAAAGAACTAGAGAAGCAAGAGCAAACACATTCAAAAGCTAGCAGAAGGCAAGAAATAACTAAGATCAGAGCAGAACTGAAGGAAATAGAGACACAAAAAACTCTTCAAAAAAATCAGTGAATCCAGGAGCTGGTTTTTTGAAAAGATCAACAAAATTGATAGACCGCTAGCAAGACTAATAAAGAAGAAAAGAGAGAAGAATCAAACAGACGCAATAAAAAATGACAAAGGAGATATCACCACCGATCCCACAGAAATACAAACTACCATCAGAGAATACTATAAACACCTCTACGCAAATAAACTAGAAAATCTAGAAGAAATGGATAAATTCCTCGACACATACACCCTCTCAAGCCTAAACCAGGAAGAATTTGAATCTCTGATTAGACCAATAACAGGCTCTGAAATTGAGGCAATAATTAATAGCTTACTGACCAAAAAAAGTCCAGGACCAGATGGATTCACAGCTGAATTCTATCAGAGGTACAAGGAGGAGCTGGTACCATTCCTTCTGAAACTATTCCAATCAATAGAAAAAGAGGGAATCCTCCCTAACTCATTTTTTTAGGCCAGCATCATCCTGATAGCAAAGCCTGGCAGAGACACAACAAAAAAAAAGAGAATTTTATACCAATATCCTTGATGAACATTGATGCAAAAATCCTCAATACAATACTGGCAAACCGAATCCAGCAACACATCAAAAAGCTTATCCACTATGATCAAGTGGGCTTCATCCCTGGGATGCAAGGCTGGTTCAACATACCAAAATCAATAAATGTAATCCAGCATATAAACAGAACCAATGACAAAAACCACATGATTATCTCAATAGATGCAGAAAAGGCCTTTGACAAAATTCAACAGCCCTTCATGCTAAAAACTCTCAATAAGTTAGGCATTGATGGGACGTATCTCAAAATAATAAGAGCTATCTATGACAAACCCACAGCCAATATCATACTGAATGGGCAAAAACTGGAAGCATTCCCTTTGAAAACTGGCACAAGACAGGGATGCCCTCTTTCACCACTCCTATTCAACCTAGTGCTGGAAGTTCTGGCCAGGGCAATCAGGCAGGAGAAGGAAATAAAGGACATTCAATTAGGAAAAGAGGAAGTCAAATTGTCCCTGTTTGCAGATGACATGATTGTATATCTAGAAAACCCCATTGTCTCAGCCCAAAATTTCCTTAAGCTGATAAGCAACTTCAGCAAAGTCTCAGGATACAAAATCAATGTGCAAAAATCACAAGCATTCTTATACACCAATCACAGACAAACAGAGAGCCAAATCATGAGTGAACTCCCATTCACAATTGCTTCAAAGAGAATAAAATACCTAGCAATCCAACTTACAAGGGATGTGAAGGACCTCTTCAAAGAGAACTACAAACCACTGCTCAATGAAATAAAAGAGGATACAAACAAATGGAAGAACATTCCATGCTCATGGGTAGGAAGAATCAATATCGTGAAAATGGCCATACTGCCCAAGGTAATTTATAGATTCAATGCCATCCCTATCAAGCTACCAATGACTTTCTTCACAGAATTGGAAAAAACTACTTTAAAGTTCATATGCAACCAAAAAACAGCCCGCATCACCAAGTCAATCCTAAGCCAAAAGAACCTGGAGGCATCAGGCTACCTGACTTCAAACTATACTACAAGGCTACAGTAACCAAACCAGCATGGTACAGGTACCAAGACAGAGATATAGACCAATGGAATACAACAGAGCCCTCAGAAATAATGCCGCATATCTACAACTACCTGATCTTTGACAAACCTGAGAAACACAAGCAATGGGGAAAGCATTCCCTATTTAATAAATGGTGCTAGGAAAACTGGCTAGCCATATGTAGAAAGCTGAAACTGGATCCCTTCCTTACACCTTATACAAAAATTAATTCAAGATGGATTAAAGACTTAAACTTTAAACCTAAAACCATAAAAACCCTAGATGAAAACCTAGGCAATACCATTCAGGACATAGGCATGGGCAAGGACTTCATGTCTAAAACACCAAAAGCAATGGCAACAAAAACCAAAATTGACAAATGGGATCTAATTAAACTAAAGAGCTTCTGCACAGCAAAAGAAACTACCATCAGAGTGAACAGGCAACCTACGAAATGGGAGAAAATTTTTGCAACCTACTCATCTGACAAAGGGCTAACATCCAGAATCTACAATGAACTCAAACAAATTTACAAGAAAAAAACAAACAACCCCATCAAAAAGTAAGCGAAGGATATGAACATACACTTCTCAAAAGAAGACATTTATGCAGCCAAAAAACACATGAAAAAATGCTCATCATCACTGGCCATCAGAGAAATGCAAATCAAAACCACAATGAGATACCATCTCACTCCAGTTAGAATGGCAATCATTAAAAAGTCAGGAAACAACAGGTGCTGGAGAGGATGTGGAGAAATAGGAACACTTTTACACTGTTGGTGGGACTGTACACTAATTCAACCATTGTGGAAGTCAGTGTGGCGATTTCTCAGGGATCTAGAACTAGAAATACCATTTGACCCAGCCATCCCATTACTGAGTATATACCCAAAGGACTATAAATCATGCTGCTATAAAGACACATGCACACGTATGTTTATTGCGGCACTATTCACAATAGCAAAGACTTGGAACCAACCCAAATGTCCAACAATGATAGACTGGATTAAGAAAATGTGGCACATATACTGCATGGAATACTATGCAGCCATAAAAAATGATAAGTTCATGTCCTTTGTAGCGACATGGATGACGCTGGAAACCATCATTCTCAGCAAACTGTCGCAAGGACAAAAAGCCAAACACCACATGTTCTCACTCATAGGTGGGAATTGAACAATGAGAACACATGGACACAGGAAGGGGAACATCACACACTGGGGACTGTTGTGGGGTTGGGGGAGGGATAGCATTAGGAGATATATCTAATGCTAAATGACGAGTTAATGGCTGCAGCACACCAACATGGCACATGTATACATGTGTAACAAACCTGCATGTTGTGCACATGTACCCTAAAACTTAAAGTATAATAATAAAAAAAAAAGACTGAGTCAGACTTACCAAGGTGAGTGCATGCTAACTCCTTCATATTCAAGTTGATACCACTCTTTATCAATAAAGACCCTTGATAAATGTTCTATCACATGTTCTTCACAGCCACATTATAACAGTTAAGTGTTTATTGAGGGCCTAAGATGTGTCTATGCCACGCCTGCTGCTTTATATGGACCATCTCACTTAATCTTCAAAACCACCCCCAAGTATGTATTATTATCACATTACAAGGGAAGAAACTGGGGCCCAGAAGGGCTAGGAAAACTGCCAGTGTCACCACATGGCAGAATTAAGATGCCAATATTTATCTAATTTTGAAGCCAGTGTGTTGTCTCCTAAAAGAAGATGAATAAGAAGAACAACAAGCAGAAGCAGAAAGAAGGCAGGAAGGGTGAGAGGGAGGGAAGAGCGAAAGAGGAAGAATGGAAGAGAAGGAGGGAGTGAGGGAAGAAGGAAACACTATGATTGATTATGTTGTTTTACACATTTAAAATTGAGTACTGCAGAAATTAGTTTAGTTTGCCAAAGTCACAACTAGTAAGTAGCAAAATCCAGAACAAAGCTCACATTACCCAAGTACCCTCCCTACCGTGCCACTGCTGGCTCTCCGATGTCAAGAAATAACTAACCATGGCAAATCTAACAATTCATTATGTGCTCATTTTACATCTGTATATTATTTTCCCTAAACCATTACTGGAAGGGCAGAAACTTATTTGAATTTTTTTTCTCTCTCCCTGATAGAAATAGTTTTTCTCAATCAAGCCATAATGTAGAAGTGAACAAACTATGTATTATACATTCAAATTACACAGAGCAATAAATAATTGTCAAAGGAAATAAGCAATGATTTCCAAAAATTCAATTGACATCCCCAATTAGATCTACATAAAAAGATCAGCCAATTAACTCTGCCAACAGCTCTATTTCGTTATTCTCACTTGCATTCTAAAATTTTGTTTATATAATTACTTCAGAACCAAAGGGGAAGTAAACTCATTTCTATCTTTTAAGGAATAATTGTCTTGTTCAAAGAGCAGCAATTTTATCCATGAATATGAAAAAGATGCAAAAGAAGAACAACCAGTAATTCCTTGTAAGAGAAAATTGCTCTGGGTTACAAGAAAAAGAAAAGGTTAGGCAGATTAACTAAAAATAGTCTAATCATTTTTGTGGATAAATGTCAAAGGAAAAGGAATAGAACTGGTAGTCTCTGTTTTCTCCTTGACGTAAGCAATTACCAACAGAGCTGAGTGGAGGAAGTCTGCCTTAAGGTGGATTCTTTACATGGAAGTTTAGGAATGTCCATTCTTCAACATTAGGGAAAGGGACAATTATGCTCCCACCTACGTATCTTCAAAATACCTTTTCCTCAAGACTAAGTCACACTTTGCCTAAAAAAAAAAAATCAGTTATCAAAAATATATAGGTACCAAAATGCTCACAGCAGTCCTATTTATGATAGCAACCACTAGAAATTACTAACGAAAAGAGAATAACTAAGTAAATTATGGTATAAACATATGCCATATTTCTTTGATCCTTAGATGTCATTGATTGCAAGTAGCAATCTTATTTTACAGGCTTCTTTGGGGAAAAATATATATGAAATATTCACCAAATATTGTTAACCAATATTGCCACTTATCTGTGCAATTATACATTCTTTCAGTCAAGAGTGGAGTCTTCATTGGCTCTCCTAGTAGAAAGTCTCATCTGAGTGCCTTGACCCTGGGCAGCTTGTATAGCTCAGCACAGATATGCTGCTTTTCTAACCCAGGCCTTGATTTCAACCCCACCCCCATTAACACCTTTGAGATTAACCATTTAATTTCGAGGCACTTGAAAGAATATCAAAGTTCTGTCTGCATTTCTGCATTGGTTAAACTCATAGTTCTTTCCTCTACTGAATTACTCATACCATATATTAAATAGTTTCTCTTCAAAGCAGTCTGTAAGTTTTTGACAGAGATGTTTAGTGCCTGAGTCATGGGCCATCACAATTCAGGATCAGTCACATCTATTCTCCCAGCTGAAAATACTACGATCTACTCTAAAGAAGCTGGCCATTTCTACTGCCTTTAATTCCATCGCCTAAGGTATGGTAGGCTTTCTTCTGCATACACCGTAACTTTTCCTTTCAAAGCCCCATCATACTGTGATCCTTATGAAGACATTAAGTAGTCATACGGATCCACATTTATGTTAAAAGTCAAACATATTTGGTATTGCCAAGTCGACTGAGATGATAATCAAATAGACTGACACTTTCTACTCTTAGGATCACACAGTCTCAGGTATTCATAACTATTATCAGCATCACCTGGGAATTTGTTAGAAATGCAAATTATGTAGCCCCACCTCCAGGTGACTTTGATACATGCTCAAATTCATGAGCTACTGAGATAGTATTCAAAACATCTAGTGCATAGTAATAATCATAGCTACCAATTTCTAAATATGTAACAAGTGAAAGGTATTATGCTAGTTGTTTTACATGCCTAGTATTACTTAACTATCACCATACCCCAATCAGGTATCACTACACCCATTTTATAAATGAGGAAACTGAGGCTCAAAGAAGCTAAAGAGCTTAGGTTTATTCCGTAGTCCGGTTTCTCATTTTGAAACATCAGTGTAATAAATCACAAGTTCAATTACTTGGTCAGTCACATGCTTATCAGTCTCAATTAGTTTATCCCCTCATTTTATACATTTTTTTTTTTAAAAGTGACTCCCGGAGAAGGAAAGCGACTTGCCAAGACTCAAATAGTTAATGGAAGAGCCTGAAGTAGAACTGAAATATTGAAGTTTTCAGTCTGGGCTATTTCCATCACACCACACTGCCACTAAGTCCAGTTTTTTGTTTTTTTGTTTTTTTTTTAATCAAAGGAAACTCTGATTTTAAAATAACAATGCGTATACACGAAATGTCACTCTCAGGATGTGTGTTTGATTCCTGGAGAAAACACTGTTTTCCCCTGAATACTCATGAATCTCAGATACGTGCCAGGGCATTTCAAATTGTTCTTACCTGTGCCCTCTTAAGATTTATATTGTTGACATTCCTTAAATAGTTAGCTTAGTTACTGTATCACAACTTTCTTGTTTTCTTGACAACAGGTATTATTTCATGCCCTTAAAAGAAAAAAGAGACCAGGCTGGGCATGTTGGCTCACGCCTGTAATCCCAGCACTTTGGGAGGCCGACACGGGCAGATCACGAGGTCAGGAGATCGAGACCATCCTGGCCAACATGGTGAAATCCTGTCTCTACTACAAATACAAAAAAATTAGCTGGGTGTGGTGGCGGGCACCTGTAGTCCCAGCTACTCGGGAGGCTGAGGCAGGAGAATGGCGTGAACCTGGGAGGCAGAGCTTGCAGTGAGCCGAGATTGTGTCACTGCCCTCCAGCCTGGCGAAAGAGCGAGACTCTGTCTCAAAAAAAAAAAAAGAAAAAAGAGACCAAAAATATTATTGACCCCCATATGCTAATATGTTGCAAATTCTTGGTACCCTTTTAGTATTAGGATATTTGCCTAAGAACCAAACTGTTATTCTGGAACTTTCCCCAACCATATTTTTCATAATTCTATGTTATACTTATATATTGAATTGTCTATTTTCCAATTAAAAGCTACTCTACTTATGGAGTTTACTCTGGTTCCTACTCACAAATTAGGCCTTAATTCTTTTTAATAAATTGCTTTAATCAACACAATAGTGATGCTATACTGTACACTTGTGTGTAGACATATACACAAATGGTTATTATAATAAAAAGTTTTGGAAGTTACTCAATGCTTTTCTGGAAAATTTCAGCCAACTAGGGCTAGGACAAAGTGATATTTTACACTTGAGCTGGGAAAGAAGCTGAGTTGTTTATTTGGTTTTTAAACCAGAAACTCATGAAATATGACATCTAATTCTGGCTGTGTTCTTATCTATTGCTGTGACTGCTCGCAGCTTATTGGTCCCCAGTTGAGGACATTTATTTCCTCATCTATTAAAAAGGATGGTAAACAGTTGCCTAATTCTAAAGTTTGGAAACAAAAGGAATTCTGTAGCTTCACTAATTTAGTGACAGATTTAATTCCTTTACAACTCCTGCCATCTCCAAACCTTTTAATTTTCCCCAAAAGCAAATTTACATTTTATTGCTGATAAAGAACATGATGGAGACTTGCCTAATTACCACTTGACCAGGATAACCAGATAAACAGTGTCAGGAATTAAAAATATGGCACAAAACTATGGCCTTCCATTTATGTGTTAATAACTCACATGGTATTCTCATGGTATATATAAATCCCATATACTACTCACCAGGTCTTGGAATATTCTGCTAGTAAACCATGTGTTATAGCAGAGTAATACTTTTTTCTCAAATTATGATTACTCAATTTCATACATAGCATTTCTAAAACTTAATAGTCACCTATAATGAATAGTATAGTACCTACTATTTTTCCTAGATATATTAATTTATTTGAAAAACTAGTGGCATCACTAATGACTAGTACTTTATGTTATTTAAAGTATTTTCATATACATGATTATTTGGTTCTCATACAAACCAAATGTTGCATTTGGATACATGAGTTCCCATTTTACAGATGAGGAAACTGAATGAGAATCTGACCTGTTCATAGTCATACAGCAACTTTTGACTCAGATCTTCTGATCATTAATCCTATGATTTCTCAAACTTCAGCAGTCATCATTAACTCCAAGTCAGGTCAATGAATCTTCCACTAGTTAGTTCCACTGGCAAACTCGATATAGAGAAATTTCAGTTTGTAGAAAGTCAATGAATATGAATTTAAGAAACAAATTTAATAAAGGTGTTAACATGTAATTATAAAAGGGAAAAGAAATCTTCTAACCAACTATAAACCTGGTCTCAAGCTCACTTGGGACAAAGACATACTAACCTCGTCATACTGATTACTTCTGAGGAGGGAGGGAAAACAAAAGAGATACAGGCTTTAGTTTGATCGTAATGTATTGTGTGCGTTATGTGCATGTGTTGGGGACCTGAGAGAGGCCACTGAATGGGTGTCTGGCACATTGTTTACATAGATGGGCTAATGGGTGATTGTGGTTTTGGGAATGCAGAGAAGGACAACCTTTTATTTTGCTTCCAAATCCAATCGAGTCCTACAGGGCAGACCCACATATAGTGACCAAAATCAGCTTCATTTCTTTTTTTAAAAATTTTATTATTATTATACTTCTTTAAGTAAGTTTTAGGGTACATGTGCACAACGTGCAGGCTTGTTACATATGTATACATGTGCCATGTTGGTGTGCTGCACCCATTAACTCACCATTTAGCATTAGGTATATCTCCTAATGCTATCCCTCCCCACTCCCCCCACCCCACAACAGTCCCCAGAGTGTGATGTTCCCCTTCCTGTGTCCATGTGTTCTCATTGTTCAGTTCCCACCTAATCAGCTTCATTTCTGACAAGGTTTGGGTAGGTACACAAGCCTGAAATGTGCAGCCACAATGGCCTTTCTAACGTCTACCTCTTAATTAGACAGATTTGCTTGGCCAAGTGCAGGCGTATTTGAACAATCACAGGTTCCCACACAGGGGCCAACTGGCCCCTGCAGGATTAAGCAAGGAAGGGCAGAAAACACAAGCAAATGCCTATTAAAATATAAAGACGCTAAAAGGCGGTAGATTGAACATGTTCAGTTCTTTCTCCAGACCCGCCAATCAGATAAGTGATGCCTTCTCTCCCCAGGAGACACTGGAAGTGTTCCCATACTTTCCTTTTCTGAGGAGCAGACTTTAACATTTGTTCCATGGAGACAGGGAGAAATGGTAGAGGTAAAGTGTGTCTCACTGACATTAATCAAGATCTGAAGACAGGTAAATAGTATCCCTTACAGGTGGCTCCCCCTAGCTTAGTACTATTTGAAGGTGCCTCACTTCATTTGGGAGGCATGGTGACATGTCTTTTTTGACAGCTCATAAACTATTTGTTCTTTTCCTTTTCTTTGACCAAGTCCAAGATAAATGCGACAATATTAAACCTTGCCCTCTTCCCAGTTTGCTTACATGAAATAGTCTGTGTTTTCCTTTCATCACTCTTACTACACATGGTAAATAATAATACAGACTTCAAGCAGTGGAAGGAAATATTGCTTTCATATTTATACATACTATTTTTTTCAATACATGTACATATCCCTCTGGCAATATGACAAAATGTCAGGGATGGCTATCATTATCCTAGGAACCTGACAGTAAAAGCCATGAGGGGATCTCCTTGGTCTCCTGGACTCAGTTCTTCTGGCTTAGCCACAGGCCACACCTTTCATATGCTATTCAGAGTGTTTAGCCACATGAGTGGCTGTTAATGACATGGCTCTCAGGTAAAAAGGATAACTGAGAATTCTACCAAATGAACTTCCTTTGACCAAATGACACCAATTATACCTTTTCAACATTCAATTAAGAAACATGACATTCTCAATTTGATGTTGCCAACAATCATTCAGAATTTAGAGAAACCTCCAGAGTCACATAAAGGTAATTAACCTAACATTTACTGAGTAACCCTTAGGTGCCAGGAATCATAGATAAAAGGGGGAATAACAGGCTCCTACATTTAAGGAACTCAGAGTCTAGATAGAGAACTGTGAAAGTGAGTAATTATGATACAGAATGGGAGATGAGGAAAGGAAATTAAGTTTGTGCAAGAAGTAAAGTGCCTTCTATGCTGCACCAGAAGTTTAGACTTGATCCTTTGGCCAGAGGCTGTTAAGTATAAAAATGACTATTCAGATCTGTTTTTTGGAACTCTATCTCTCAGGTTGTGGAGGACCATTAACAGAGGAGAGAGGACAGAGCACCATCTGGAGGAAAGATGATAGGAGCCCAAACACAGGCAGTGAAAAGATGAAATTATCACTTCTCTTCTTTTAAAATCCTGTTATAGGAAACATTAAGTTCAGTACTGGAGATTATAAGTGTCGTGAAGAAATGATGTAAGGAGCTAACCAGAAATTATTTTGTCAAAATTCTTCTCCCAGAATATCTTGCATATGAAGCCAGAACCAATTTCAACCTGCCATAGAATTAGAGGTTTTTGTAATTTTAACAGATCATGGTGGTTGCTGAAAATATCAGTGGAATTTTAAAGTATATTTACATTTAAAATGACTTAAAACACCAGAAATGATAGTAAATCTTCATACATTCAACAGGAAACTAATTCCAATAAGTCTGGGAAGGCAGTTTAACACACCAGCATTGCTTATGGTTATCTTCAATCCAAAAATTCTTATATTTAGCTTTGTATTATAATTTATACATACAAGTCTGATTAGCCCATTAGACTCTAAGCTCCTTTCCTGAGGGCTTAATTTTTTGTACCCCTCCTCGCAAACTGCCTGTCACAAGGACTAGCTTTATGTAGAGAATCAATATTCATATTTTCAACAATTTTTTTTACTGAGTACCAATCATGTGCCAGATACAAGGAACCCATTAGTGCTGGAGAAAACTCTGTGAACAACATATAATAACCCCCGTTTTCACTGAGCTGACAGTCCACAGGGGACATGGGAAATTTCCATACCGTGTTAGGCAGCTTACTCCAGGGGAGGAATGGAGGATGCCAGGGATGCCCATGGCATAACACATAACTTAAGGGACAAAGAAACCTTCTCAAAGAAGGAAGATTCAAAGGCCAGTAGGAGTTAACAAGATGAGGAGAGAGCAAAGAGTTCTCCAGGTGGAGGGAATAGCATCTGCAAAGACCAGGAAGACAGAAGAGAGCAAGGTGCGTTTGCTCATAGGAAAGAGGTTCCTGATGGCTGGGGTTCAGACAGCCAGATGAGATGTAGAGTGGGAGGGCATGATAAACCAAGCCTGGTCATAAAGTTTCCTGTGTAACTTCAGCACAGGGCCTGGCACAAAGTGAACACTCAAAATTATTGAATAAGTCAATGTACGTCAGCCTGCTTAAACATTTTATCTATCTACCAAAATTAATCTATGAATTCAATGCAATCCAATGGAAATCTCAACATGATTTTCCAAATAATTTGGAAAGATAATCTGAAAATTTATACAGAAAGGAAAAGGAAGCATACTAGCCAAAACAATTACGAAGGAGAACAAGGTTGGGGGACATGTGATATCTGAAATCAAAACTTATTGTTGAGCCATTATAATTTATGTTTTTATATTTTTTTATTATACTTTAAGTTCTAGGGTACACGTGCACAACGTGCAGGTTTGTTACATATGTATACATGTGCCATGTTGGTGTGCTGCACCCATTAACTCATCATCTACATTAGGTACATCTCCTAATGCTATCCCCCTGGCCCCACCCACCCTACAACAGGCCCTGGTGTGTGATGTTCCCCTTCCTGTGTCCAAGTGTTCTCATTGTTCGATTCCCACCTATGAGTGAGAACATGAGGTGTTTGGTTTTTAGTCCTTGCGATAGTTTGCTGAGAATGATGGTTTCCAGCTTCATCCATGTCCCTACAAAGGAAATGAAATCACCATTTTTTATGGCTGCATAGTAGTCCATGGTGTATATGTGTCACATTTTCTTAATCCAGTCTATCATTGTTGGGCATTTGGGTTGGTTCCAAGTCTTTGCTATTGTGAATAGTGCCGCAATAAACATACGTGTGCATGTCTTTATAGCAGTATGATTTATAATCCTTTGGGTATATACCCAGTAATGGGATGGCTGGGTCAAATGGTATTTCTAGTTCTAGATCCCTGAGGAATCGCCACACTGACTTCTACAATGGTTGAACTAGTGTACAATCCCACCAACAGTGTAAAAGTGTTCCTATTTCTCCACATCCTCTCCAGCACCTGTTGTTCCCTGACTTTTTAGTGATTGCCATTCTAACTGGTGTGAGATGGTATCTCATTGTGGTTTTGATTTGCATTTCTCTGATGGCCAGTGATGATGAGCATTTTTTCATGTGTCTTTTGGCTGCATAAATGTCTTATTTGAGAAGTGTCTGTTCATATCCTTTGCCCACTTTTGGATGGGATTGTTTTATTTCTTGTAAATTTGTTTGAGTTCTTTGTAGATTCTGAATATTAGCCCTTTGTCAGATGAGTAGATTGCAAAAGTTTTCTCCCATTCTGTAGGTTGCCTGTTCACTCTGATGGTAGTTTCTTTTGCTGTGCAGAAGCTCTTTAGTTTAATTAGATCCCATTTGTCAATTTTGGCTTTTGTTGCCATTGCTTTTGGTGTTTTAGACAGGAAGTCCTTGCCCATGCCTATGTCCTAAATGGTATTGCCTAGGTTTTCTCCTAAGGTTTTTATGGTTTTAGGTCTAACATTTAAGTCTTTAATCCTTCTTGAATTAATTTTTGTATAAGGTATAAGGAAGGGATCCAGTTTCAGCTTTCTACATATGGCTAGCCAGTTTTCCCAGCACCATTTGTTGAATAGGGAATCCTCTCCCCATTTCTTGTTTTTCTCAGGTTTGTCAAAGACCAGATAGTTGTAGACGTGTGGTATTATTTCTGAGGGTTCTGTTCTGTTCCATTGGTCTATACCTCTATTTTGGTACCAGTACCATGCTGTTTTTGTTACTGTAGCCTTGTAACATAGTTTGAAGTCAGGTAGCGTGATGCCCCCAGCTTTGTTTTTTGGCTTAGCATTCTCCTGGCAATGCGGGCTCTTCTTTGGTTCCATATGAACTTTAAAATAGTTTTTTTCCAATTCTGTGAACAAAGTCATTGGTAGCTTGATGAGGATGGCATTGAATCTATAAATTACCTTGGGCAGTGTGGCCATTTTCACGATATTGATTCTTCCTACCCATGAGCATGGAATGTTCTTCCATTTGTTTGTATCCTCTTTTATTTCGTTGAGCAGTAGTTTGTAGTTTTCCTTGAAGAGGTCCTTCACATCCCTTGTAAGTTGAATTCCTAGGTATTTTATTCTCTTTGAAGCAATTGTGAATGGGAGTTCACTCATGATTTGGCATTCTGTTTGTCTGTTATTGGTGTATAAGAATGCTTGTGATTTTTGCACATTGATTTTGTATCCTGAGACTTTGCTGAAGTTGCTTATCTCTTAAGGAGATTTTGCGCTGAGTCGATGGGGTTTTCTAAATATACAATCATGTCATCTGCAAACAGGGACAATTTGACTTCCTCTTTTCCTAATTGAATGTCCTTTATTTCCTTCTCCTGCCTGATTGCCCTGGCCAGAACTTCCAGCACTAGGTTGAATAGGAGTGGTGAGAGAGGGCATCCCTGTCTTGTGCCAGTTTTCAAAGGGAATGCTTCCAGTTTTTGCCCTTTCAGTATGATATTGGCTGTGGGTTTGTCATAAGTAGCTCTTATTATTTTGAGATACATCCCATCAATACCTAACTTATTGAGAGTTTTTAGCATGAAGGGTTGTTGAATTTTGTCAAAGGCCTTTTCTGCATCTATTGAGATAATCATGTGGTTTTTGTCATTGGTTCTGTTTATATGCTGGATTACGTTTATTGATTTTGGTATGTTGAACCAGCCTTGCATCCCAGGGATGAAGCCCACTTGATCATAGTGGATAAGCTTTTTGATGTCCTGCTGGATTCGGTTTGCCAGTATTTTATTGAGGATTTTTGCATCGATATTCATCAGGGATATTGGTCTAAAATTCTCTTTTTTTGTTGTGTCTCTGCCAGGCTTTGGTATCAGGATGATGCTGGCCTCATAAAATGAGTTAGGGAGGACTCCCTCTTTTTCTATTGATTGGAATAATTTCAGAAGGAATGGTACCAGCTCCTCCTTGTACCTCTGGTAGAATTCGGCTGTGAATCCGTCTGGTCCTGGACTTTTTTGGTCGGTAAGCTATTAATTATTGCCTCAATTTCGGAGCCTGTTATTGGTCTAATCAGAGATTCAACTTCTTCTTGGTTTAGTCTTGGGAGGGTGTATGTGTCGAGGAATTTATCCATTTCCTCTAGATTTTCTAGTTTATTTGCGTAGAGATGTTTATAGTATTCTCTGACAGTAGTTTGTATTTCTGTGGGATCAGTGGTGATATCCCCTTTGTCATTTTTTATTGTGTCTATTTGATTCTTCTCTCTTTTCTTCTTTATTTGTCTTGCTAGTGGTCTATAAATTTTGTTGATCTTTTCAAAAAACCAGCTCCTGGATTCATTGATTTTTTGAAGGGTTTTTTGGTGTCTCTATTTCCTTCAGTTCTGCTCTGATCTTAGTTATTTCTTGCCTTCTGCTAGCTTTTGAATGTGTTTGCTCTTGCTTCTCTAGTTCTTTTAATTGTGATGTTAGGGTGTCAATTTTAGATCTTTCTTGCTTTCTCTTGTGGGCACTTAGTGCTGTAAATTTCCCGCTACACACTGCTCTAAATATGTTCCAGAGATTCTGGTATGTTGTGTCTTTGTTTTTGTTGGTTTCAAAGAACATCTTTATTTCTGCCTTCATTTTGTTATGTACCCAGTAGTCATTCAGGAGAAGATTGTTCAGTTTCCATGTAGTTGAGCGGTTTTGAGTGAGTTTCTTAATCCTGAGTTCTAGTTTGATTGCACTGTGGTCTGAGAGACAGTTTGTTATAATTTCTGTTCTTTTACATTTGCTGAGGAGTGCTTTACTTCCAACTATGTGGTCGATTTTGGAATAAGTGCAGTGTGGTGCTAAGAAGAATGTATATTCTGTTGATTTGGGGTGGAGAGTTCTGTAGATGTCTGTTAGGTCCACTTGGTGCAGAGCTGAGTTCAATTCCTGGATATCCTTGTTAACTTTCTGTCTTGTTGATCTGTCTAATGTTGACAGTGGGGTGTTAAAGTCTCCCATTATTATTGTGTGGGAGTCTAAGTCTCTTTGTAGGTCTCTAAGGACTTGCTTTATGAACCTTGGTGCTCCTGTATTGGGTGCATATATATTTAGGATAGTTAGCTCTTCTTGTTGAATTGATCCCTTTACCATTATGTAATGGCCTTCTTTGTCTCTTTTGATCTTTGTTGGTTTAAAGTCCCTTTTATCAGAGACTAGGATTGCAACCCCTGCCTTTTTTTGTTTTCCATTTGCTTGGTAGATCTTCCTCCATCCTTTATTTTGAGACTATGTGTGTCTCTGCATGTGAGATAGGTTTCCTGAATAGAGCACACTGATGGATCTTGACTCTTTATCCAATTTGCCAGTATGTGTCTTTTAATTGGAGCATTTAGCCCATTTGAATTTAAGGTTAGTATTGTTATGTGTGAATTTGATCCTGTCATTATGATGTTAGCTGGTTATTTTGCTCGTTAGTTGATGCAGTTTCTTCCTAGCCTTGATGGTCTTTACAATTTGGCATGTTTTTGCAGTGGCTGGTACTGGTTGTTCCTTTCCACGTTTAGTACTTCCTTCAGGAGCTCTTTTAGGGCAGGCCTGGTGGTGACAAAATCACTCAGCATTTGCTTGTCTGTAAAGTATTTTATTTCTCCTTCACTTGTGAAACTTAGTTTGGCTGGATATGAAATTCTGGGTTGAAACTTCTTTTCTTTAAGAATGTTGACTATTGTTCCCCACTCTCTTCTGGCTTGTAGAGTTTCTGCTGAGAGATCCTCTGTTAGTCTGATGGGCTTCCCTTTGTGGGTAACCCGACCTTTCTCTCTG
The DNA here is from genome assembly GCF_000001405.40 of Homo sapiens. Lineage (NCBI taxonomy): Eukaryota > Metazoa > Chordata > Mammalia > Primates > Hominidae > Homo > Homo sapiens. Next base: position 159,509,888 of record NC_000003.12, read on the forward strand.
GCTGCCCTTAACATTTTTTCCTTCATTTCAACTTTGGTGAATCTGACAATTATGTGTCTTGGAGTTGCTCTTCTCAAGGAGTATCTTTGTGGCATTCTCTGTATTTCCTGAATTTTAATGTTGGCCTGCCTTGCTAGGTTGGGGAAGTTCTCCTGGATAATATCCTGCAGAGTGTTTTCCAACTTGGTTCCATTCTCGCCATCACTTGCAGGTACACCAATCAGACGTAGATTTGGTCTTTTCACATAGTCCCATATTTCTTGGAGGCTATGTTCATTTCTTTTTATTCTTTTTTCTCTAAACTTCTCTTCTCATTTCATTTCATTTATTTGATCTTCCTTCACTGATACCCTTTCTTCCAGTTGATTGAATCGGCTACTGAAGCTTGTGCTTTCATCACATAGTTCTCGTGCCATGGTTTTCAGCTCCATCAAGTCCTTTAAGGACTTCTCTGCATTGGTTATTCTAGTTACCCATTCGTCTAATCTTTTTTCAAGGTTTTTAACTTATTTGCCATGGGTTCGAACTTCCTCCTTTAGCTCGGGGAAGTTTGATAGTCTGAAGCCTTCTTCTCTCAACTCGTCAAAGTCATTCTTTGTCCAGCTTTGTTCCGTTGCTGGTAAGGAGCTGCGTTCCTTTGGAGGAGGAGAGGCGCTCTGATTTTTAGAGTTTCCGGTTTTTCTGCTCTGTTTTTTCCCCATCTTTGTGGTTTTATCTACCTTTGGTCTTTGATGATGGTGACATACAGATGGGGTTTTGGTGTGGATGTCCTTTCTGTTTGTTAGTTTTCCTTCTAACAGTCAGGACCCTCAGCTGCAGGTCTGTTGGAGTTTACTGGAGGTCCACTCCAGACCCTGTTTGCCTGGGTATCAGCAGCAGAGGCTGCAGAACAGTGAATATTGCTGAACAGCTAATGTTGCTGGCTGATCGTTCCTCTGGAAGTTTCATCTCAGAGGGGTACCCAGCTGTGTGATGTGTCAGTCTGCCCCTACTTGGGGGTGCCTCCCAGTTAGGCTACTCAGGGGTCAGTGACCCACTTGAGGAGGCAGTCTGTCCGTTCTCAGATCTCAAACTCCGTGCTGGGAGAACCACTACTCTCTTCAAAGCTGTCAAACAGGGACATTTAAGTCTGCAGAGGTTTCTGCTGCCTTTTGTTTGGCTATGCCCTGCCCCCAGAGGTGGAGTCTACAGAGGCCCACAGGCCTCCTTGAGCTGTGGTGGGCTCCACCCAGTTTGAGCTTCCCTGCTGCTTTGTTTACCTACTCAAGCCTCAGCAATGGTGGGCACCCCTCGCCCAGCCTCGCTGCCGCCTTGCAGTTCAATCTCAGGCTGCTGTGCTAGCAATGAGCGAGGCTCCATGGGCGTTGGACCCTCTCAGTCAAGTGCAGGATATAGTCTCCTGGTGTGCTGTTTGCTAAGACCATTGGAAAAGCACAGTATTAGGGTGGGAGTGACCGGATTTTCCAGGTGCTTTCTGTCACCGCTTTGCTTGGCTAGGAAAGGGAACTCCCTGACCCCTTGCGCTTCCCGGGTGAAGCAATGCCTCGCCCTGCTTCAGCTCACACTCGGTGCACTGCATCCACTGTCCTGCCCCCACTGTTCAATGAGCCCCAGTGAGATGAACTCGGTACCTCAGCTGGAAATGCAGAAATCACCCATCTTCTGTGTCACTCACTCTTGGAGCTGTAGACTGGAGCTGTTCCTATTCGGCCATCTTGGAACCGCACCCTGAGCCATTATAATTTTAACAGCGTGGTTTCAGTACAAGGATAGACAGATCAACTGAACAAAATAGAAAATCCCAACGCAGAAGTATGCTTGTATGTGGACATAGCATTTGACAAAACCTGCTTTGCAGATCAGAAGAAAGGATATTCTAATAAATTTTTAAGACTATTGATTTTCTAGAAAGAAACAAAAATGGAACTTTATCTCTTACCATAAACACAAAATCAATTATACATGAATTAAAAACCAAAACATGAAAAACAAAACTTTAAATCTTTTATTAGGAAAGTGTAGTTGAATATATTTATGAATTAGGGCTAGAGAGGAATTTCTTAACACACCAAAATAACACAAACTCAAAGGAAAAAAATGATAAATTTGACCGCGTTGAATTTGATAATTCTGGGCTTCAAAAGCATCACTAGAAAGATGAAAATGTAAGCAACATATCTGACAAATAATTAGTGTCCAGAACATAAAAAGAACTCTTACAAATCAACAACAACAAAATATATAGAAAAATAATGGGAGACAGAGAGGGAAAGAAGGAAAGTGAGAGGGAGAACTAGAGGGAAGGAGAGAGGGGAAATGACAAGAATAGAAATTCTAAATAGAAAATAAGCATTTTAAAATGCTAACTTCGTTCATCGGGGATGTGTGAATTGAAAACCTCAATGAGATAGCACTTTATACCCATTAGACTGGCAGTAATTTAGAATTGCTATAGGTAATATAAAGTCTTACAGCCACTTTGGAGGACAATTTGACAGTAAAAAGCAAACTTCTTAATATGAGTATTTCATAGCCCAGCAATTTGGTCACTGCCTAAGTGCCTCAAGAGAACCTATCCCACATGAACAAGTTTGTGGATGAAGCATTGTTTGTCATAGAAAGAATAGAATATATAAATTGTGGTTTAGTCATACAGTGGAATTCAGCACTTCTTAATTTTTAATTTCTGTGGGTACATAGTAGGTGTATATATTTATGAGGTACATGAGATGTTTTGATACAGACATACAAGGTGAAACACGAACATCATGGAGAATGGGACATACCCTCAAGCATTTATCATTTGAGTGACAAACAATCCAATCATATTGTTAAAGTTATTTGAAACTGTACAGTTAAGTTATTATCGACTATAGTCACCCTGCTGTGCTATCAAATAGTAGGTCTTACTTATTCTATTTTTTGTGCTCATTAACCATCCTCAACTCCCCACCACTGCCTCCCACTACACTTCCCAGCCTCTGGTAACCATCCTTCTACTCTCTATGAGTTCAATTGTTTTGATTCTTAGATCTCACAAATCAGCGAGAACATGTGATGCTTATCTTTCTGTGCCTGGTTTATTTAACTTAAAATACAGCAGGTGAATGGATTTAATACTCACAGGTATCAAATTGGATAACTCTCAAAAATATATTATTGAACAAAGTTTCAGAATCATACAATAAGGTGTTTGTTTTAAAGTATGCAAAATTATTGTATTTTATTGATGCTATTTAGAAGTACTTACATACATAATTACATTTTTTAAATATTCATTGAATGGATAAACTCTAAATTCACAATTGTGGTTACTCTTATCCAGGGTACAGAGAGGGGAGATTTGATGTGGGGGGTACAAAGACAGCTTCTACTATAAATTTATTATTTTGTTGTCAAGCTGTGGTACACAGATGTTTGTTATATTATTCTTATACCTTTCTATATGCCTCAAATACCTTGTTACTTTTGTTTAAGAACCTGGATAAGCTTGATTCAGGTATTCTTCTGTTTGAAGCATAGGTTACTTAACCATAATTATTCATATTTTATATAAGAAGGAATTTCACATTTCTTGTTTTCTTTTGCCTTTTTAGTAGCATTATTTTAAGGAGACAAAGCTGAGACTTAGATTAAGTGTCTTTCCTGAGCCAACTTAATTGAATGACAGAACCAAGACTGAAACCAGCTGGTTGGCCCTCACATGACTTCCTCCAGCCCGGCTGCCACTCAGTGTCAGGGAAAAAATCGGTGCCATGGAGACGGTCTGAAATGGCTTGATTGAAGGGAGAAAGGGGCTCCAAATTGCTCCAAATAGCACTCTCCAGACAACGGCACAGAAAGCCTGTTTCCACAGCTGATGCTGAGGGTCAGTGGGATGAGATTGCATGCCGCCCAATCAAGCGACTGCAGAAATGCATTGATAAGGGGGCAGGAGCCTGATCAGCCTCCCTCTTTTCACATTTCAAGGCACTAATTGTAACTGTCCTTGCCACTAGTGCAATGTTCCAAATCCCCACTCAGAGCATGATTAAAGATTGGTCTTTCTAGGTGTAAAATATTGTGTCTGTTGGACAATAGCATCCTATAAAAACAAATTAGGCTATCTTGATAGTAATTCAGGTGCAAGACGTGAAATGAACCTGGCATTAGGCAGAAAGACACAATAATTGTTTTAAACTGGAATTAACTTACGCACATCTGGAAAGCAGCCCTTTTTTCCAGCCCAAGCACTTTCCACAGGCAAACTGGCTTCCCTCACAGGCAGGTCCAGAACACAAAGAAATGGAAAACCACCACCGTCATGGAAAACTATGAATGTGCGTCGGAAAGGCCTGTCCATTTTTGTTTGGCAAAGAAACATGCAAAAAAAATCAACTGATGATACACTAAAATTCTTCTTTGCTGATACATTTTCACAACTATTAGGCTTGTGGAATTAGTCACTATAGTACATTCAGCTGGTTCAAATAAATTCCTGAAAGAAATTACCTATTTGTTTATAAAGTACTTTATAATGAATTACTAACAAGCTTCAGTTCCATGCATACATGGTTTATTAACAAATTGAGTTCGTCCTTCATGAACACAGTCAACATGGCTATACCCGACTGTCCTACCATATTGAATGAATGAATGCGTCAGCTTCATTGCCGATGAAGAAGTGCAGTCAAGCTGTGGCTCACTTTTCTTATTTGATTTCTCTGAGTTTCTTTAGTCACCAACCTTCTATTGTGAGTAAAAATGAGTGTAGCCAGAATGTTTTACATTAAACACTATTTTTATTGAAAACTAAACTATTTCTTCATTGTTTCTAAATGTAATTGGAATCTCAACCCACTCTATCACTTCAAATACAATCAATATGTTGGGCCTCTCCCTGAACTGCAGACTTGGTATCCAGCTGCTTCCTAGCATCTCCACTAAGATGTGCAATTGGTGTCTCAACCTTACTATTTCCAAAACAGATCTGCCCACTCTTACCCCAAAACTGCTTCTTTAGTGATCTTCACCCTAGTAGTAATGACAGCCTTAACCTTTCATTGCTTAGGCCAAACTTCAGAGCTACCCTAGACTCCTTTTTTCCCTCACATCACAGCCACGTATCCTTATATCCAGTGTATCAGGAAATCCTCTCATATCTATTTTCAAAACACATCAAGAAAATGATCACATCTCAGCACATTCAACACTGTGACCCTGTTTTAATCCACCATAACCCCTGGCTGGGATTATTTTAGTCTCAAAACTTCTGTCTCTCCTTCTGTCTTGCTCCCCTTTAGTTTGTTCTCAACACAGCAAAGTGGTTATTAAAAAAAAAAAAAACTAAGACAGATCCAGAACTCCTCTGCTCACAATCCTTTAATAATTTTTCATCCCATTCAGCACACAAACAGATCTGGACCCTCAATACCTACTTAACCTCATCTATTTCCGTTTGTCCTTTTGCCAGCATCCTTGAATAAATCCATGAATAAAGGAAGAAAGGAGTCATGTGCTGTATTTTTGGGTCTCAAAGTCAGCATGGTCCTGTTGGAAGAGCACAGCTTCTGGTTTAAAATCTAGCTCAGTCACTTCATAGTTTATTTAGCCAAATTATTTAATTTCTTGATTTCTTCATTTGTAAAATGGAAATAATGCATAAAATGATTATAAAATAAAATATATAGATTGCTTGCCATACATTTTGTGATCAACGGAGCTGCTTTTATTAGTGCCCGTTTTAATGAAAAAATTCTTGTTTATCATAGCATGGTTCTAAGGCATATATAGTGCAATAACTACTTGAAAATCTTTAAACAGCAGCAGGGAAACTGTTGAACATTTCACTCCTCATAAAGCTCTTGGGTTTTGGGATACAATACACTTTGTTAGTTCACTGATTTCTTTATTCTTTATTGGAAAGCATTTATTGAACACATACTGTGTAGCAGGCACAGGAGATATGGTAGCGAATAAAATAGACAAAAACTCCTGGTCTCACAAAGCTTGAATGTTAGTGCAAAGCAACAGAAAATAAATAAGATAAATGAGAAAAATACATAGTATTTGTAGATAAGTGCCAAGTGAAAAATACATAGCAAGCAAGGGGGAGATAAAGAATTGGGGGGGAATTTTTGGATAGGGGAGTGAGGAATGACCACATCTTCTACCTCTCAGATCATTTCTGGGTCCCTTTGGTGACTCCTCTTCTCCTTCTTCCTGGATCTTAAACATCAGCAGCCCTCTTCTCCTGTTCCCTGAACTCTCAGTGGGTGATTTCAGGCTATACTTTGATGGCTTCATTTATTTCTTATAAGTGATAAGCTCCCAAATCTTCACCTGACCAGGGCAGACTCCCACTCCCTTTGCTCCTGAATCTGTCTATATGGACATCAAAAGTCCATGTGTCTGGAATGAACTCCTTCCTCCACTCCCTTTGGCCAAGTCTCTTCCTGACTCTGCCCCATTAGTGGGACACCGTCATCCACAAGGCCTCTGAAGATTGATACCTCAGTGTACTTTGACTCCTCGCTCTGCCTCTCCAGCCTTGGAGAATCAGACATACAGCCTGTCAGACTCGTGTTCATAAAAATTCCTCAAATCCTTCTCCTCCTTTCATCATTTCTCATGTCCACTAACTCAATATGAAACTGCCCTCTAAAAACATTTTTCTCTCTTCTCCCCTCTCCAACCCCTCCTTCCATTCTGCAGCTAGATGGATTTCTTAAAAGTGGAGCTTTGATGATATCTCTCATCTATCCCAAGATCTCCTCCTTTGGCCCTTAACATAATTCCTAATCCTGGCAATAAACACCCTCTACAGTCTGACACGAATCTTTTTTTCCATCTTGATCTCACCAGTGCACACTCCTACCCACTGCTTAGACTCCTCCTGTTGTCGTCCCTGCTGCATGTATCATTCATTCCAGCCTGAGCTTCTGCTCACAATTGCTCCCACTAGAAAAGCCCTCACCCCTGCCTTTAGTCTATCCAAAATCCACTCATCATTTTAGCCACTGATCCTCAAGGTAAGGTGTATGCACTACAGGAACTGCACGAGATAATCCATTTAGGGGCAGAAGTAGATTAGAAAATTCTATTTTTGTTTATTTTTTTTACTGAGCTTTACGAATATGTAATATGCAAACTGATGCTGACATGAATACCAGTGTGTGAAATGCCTTTCTCAGGTGGCGTATCAGCCAGCAGGTATTCTGAAGGTGAGAAGACGTTCCCCAGAACAATGAGTATTGGGCTACTCTCACCCCTTCATGGTTCCAGCACACTGTGGCAAATTTTACTCTAAAGTGCTGGTTAAGTGTTTTATGGATTATATTATCAGAAAAAATATTATTATACTGAGACGAGCAATAATCACAAACTCTTTTTGTCAGACAAAAGTTTGGTAAAAAGAGTTGGCAAACTTAAAGCTGAGTTGGCAGTTTTTTCTTTCAAGAAAGATAAGTGTTTCCAAATCTCTGGCCTTTTCTGTGAGGAAAAATGACTACTGGGACCCTGCTACCCAGTACATATTTTAAGATATAAATACATGCCTTCAAAATAAGGTGATATTTGGATCATGGATGAAAAATTAACTGTTTTTTCAAAAAAATTTTGTGATAAAGCATTTTAAGAAAGTAAGTGTAGAAATGCTTTCATTGTTAAGGTGTTATTACTGATATGATGTGTGTCACCTATTAAAATGCCCAAGCTATATGCTTAAATAACTTGGAATTAAATTTTCTAATCTGCTTAAAAATTTTCTTAAAAACTATTTTTCATTGTTTTTAAAATCTGTGTGTATGTGTGTACATAATATATATATATAGTATATATCTACCTATTTCTTTATGTATTTATATTGACAGTACACCCTAAAACCTTCTTAATGGTTTCCAAAACCAACTGATTAACATTCAGTGAAGCTACATATTCAGGGAAAGGAAACTAATATTTTTAAAAGACAGAAAAAACAGCTTTAGCATAACTAGTGGAAGAGATTTTAAAAAGACTTAGTAAGTGTAGCTATCAATGCACTTTTTCCATTTGGAACTATGCAGATTTAAGCAAATATTCAATGGGGTATTATTGATAATAACACAAAAGGAGAATTAACCTAAATATCCATCACTATGGAAATGGCAAAAAATATGGTCTATTCATATAATGTAATTGTATACAACTGCAAAAATGAGAAACCAGAGCTACATGCAATAATATAATTTTCAAAAACATTTTTGGGCAAAAAAAGAAGAAATAAGTTGCAGACGGATATATAAAGGTTGAGACTATTTGTCATTTTGGAACATATGAAACAATATCAAATCTTGAGTTTATTGTTTTAAATACATCCATATGTAATAAAAATAAAAACACACCTATGAAAGTGAGACACAGTGAATTTAGAAAATGATTGCATTTGGAAGAGAGGAGGAAGAATGGGGTTTGGGGAGGCCATTGAAAGGATTTTAATGGTTATTTTTATGTTTGATTACTTACACTGGATGGTGGCTACATAGGTTTTTATTTTATTATCTTCTTGTGCACCTGAATTATTTCATAATAAAATATATTTTTCACTATTGAATATGTTTTTTTAAATCCCTTTGAAGAAATTACAACAATGGAAAACTCGTAGACTTATGTCCATGGCAAAAACATTCTGAGATGCTCTATTAATTTTAGAAAGCTGGCATGGAGTGACTGTGGATTTCTGAAAGTGTGTGCTGTGTTTTTCTACTCATTAAGGACACTTTCTCAGAGTGTTAAACATAAAATACTGAATGGCTGAACAACCTAGAGAGATATAATCTCTAGAATCTAAAAGCAGATAGAAATGTAGGGGTCAGAGGTGGAAGCAGGTCAGTACTGTATTCTCATCTTTAGACTTTAGGCATCTTTCCATATTCCTCCAACAATTTCTAGTATGAAAATATCTTTCTATGCATAAGAAAATCAAACAAAAATGCATTAAGAAAGATAAAATAATTTATTCTCATTAAATTGTGTCAAGGATGATTTCAAATTAGATTTTTCCTAGAGACCCAAATAAAAATTAGGTAGAAAATTTACACGTCAAAGCCAAAATAATATTTACATGTATTTAACTTGAGGAAATATTTCTTAATTTATTTAATAGATGACTTCCATTTAAGAAACCAAGCTCTATAATACTAATAATGTATGTCTTAGAACTCAAACAAAGCAATAGTTAATAAAACAAAGCATTACCAACTTACCAGAGGTGGTCCAAGTTTAAAGGCTTATAACTGAATCTCCAACCAAATGATCAGGTTAAAAAAAAATTTTAACATAGATTTAAAGTATATTGAAGTAGCCAAGTTAGTCCCTTTTAAATAAAAGAGAAGAAGCAATTAAAGAAAGCTTTAGGATATGTTGTTAAGGAGAAGATTTGTGGTCAGAAGAATCCAACTACAGGCTTGATTTGGCCAAGTCATTATAACTTTTTATAGCTTTACTTTACTCATTTGTGAAATGAAAATAAGATTACTTCGAGGATCTAGTGAAAGAAGAAAATATGTGACTTCATTATTATATACTAGTACTTGATTTTTTAAAAAAGCCAGCTTACTCTAAATGTCTAAAAGATTCCAATGTAAGAATTTCACAAGATCCCAACAAGAACTCATTGTAATTTTACAAACTGCTGCACTCATTTCCAAATTATTTAGGATAAAGATTGCAGAAGATTCACTTTCAATACATAAAAACTTTTAAAAAAAATTATTTTTGTGGTAAACAACAGTGCATTTCCATTAATGGCTCCCCTTTTCTTTTTTTAAAGTAAAATTATGAAAGCATTGAATGTTTCAGGTTTAAGGAAATTATAAAAATGTGTTAATAATATGAGTCTTAAGATTGTACAAAACAATATCTTGAGCACTAGCTGTTGGGGGTTAGGAGGAGGGTAGTGGATATTTACTCTCTGTAAAGACAGACAGCAGGCCCTCAAGGCATTATCAGTCATGAAGAAAAAAAAAATATATATATATATATGTATGTATGCATGTACGTGGAACTGAAAGCCCTTGGGATCCAGGGCCACCACGTATAGTCGTACAACTGGGGCACAGCACAACCCTCCATGGCAAAGTTCACAGAGACCATGACAGGGTGAGTACAGAGTTATTCACTTGTATTGGGTTCCAGACACTATGCTATTGCCAGCATATAAATACCAGGAAGACACAATCTCCCTCATCAAATAAAAAAAAAAAAAAAAAAACTCCCAGCTCAGTGGAGAAGGCAGAAACATAAACAGGTAAAATTATAACAAGGTGAGAATGCAAAGACGGAGGTAGGCACAGAAGATAGAACCTGACACTGCATGGAGAAAGAGACTCAGCTAAGGATTTATGAGGAGGTGAAGCCTGAGTTGGACCCAAAAGTGTGAGTAGCAGCTAATGGAGAAAAGGCAGGACCGGAGCTTCCCGGGCAGATGAGCAGCAATGACTAAGGTACTGACAAGAAACGGCCTAGCGTATCCATAAAGCTGTGAGCAGTCTTGGGGGTACAGGACCCTACAAAGCAAGGTATTGGGGAACAAATATGTGACTGCTCAAAAAGCCAGATCTGACTTGTGTGAAGTCTAGCATTACACGCGCAGATATGACCATCTGCTTTGGAAGAGCCCAAATCTATAAAGTTCTGCCTTCCATATGTACCCTACAAGATTAAACTACAGCCTGATGACCTGCATACAATCATTTTTGTCTTCTAGTGTGCATTCCATTAGACACATTTGTTCTACTGATTGCTTTCTTTGTCTCTGTTTACCTGTATTTCCCCGCATCAAGTGCCACTGACAACTTTCAACTAATTCTCCATCCTAATGAATTAGAACTAGGGCCTCCTTATGTTTTAAAACATGCCATCAATCTACAACTTATTTTTTTCATCTAAAATAATATTTGTGTTTACGTAATTACAGAAATTATTACATCATACAGAAGTGATTTCATCATAATTTGGTTTACCAATTTGCTGTCATTAGACATTTTGGTTATTTCAATATTTACTACCATGGGTAATACTGAGATGACAAACCTTATATGAACTGTGATTTTAAACCCATGTGATGTAACGTCTGTAATTTTCTAAGAATAAATTTATAGAAGTGTAAATGTCAAGTCAAAGAGAGCATATTAAAATAAAATCTTTTGAAAATATTGCCAACTTGCTTTCTGTAAAAGTTATTCCCATTTACTATCCTGTGAGGAGAGTGCCTGTTTCCCCACCTTCTTAGTTATTTTCAGTCCATAATGCTGAGCTGAATCTACAAAGTGACCTCATGTCTTCCTTGGACATGTATAGTCAGCATACAGAGATGGTTAATGGATAAATACTCTTATCCTGATCAGAAGAAATAAATGCAAGTATTGAACAGGTAAGCCAGTTGTAGAAATTCTACAGTAGCAAGCCAAGTAGTCAGAGGCAAAATCCTTCTACTGCTGTTTTTCCTGGATTACTATTTGTTCCATGCAAATAACAGGTATAATGTCTTTGGCTCACATTTTAAAATCAGAAGAAAAAATCTGGATTTATGGCTTCTTTAGAAATATTGGAACATCTGGAAACACTATGCACGAAAGGTACTACTGACTGGAGCTGAGAGGGGTTGCCCCTTTAGACAGGGAGTTACCTCCAGGTGATCATATGTTTCACCCAGGTGCCTTCACTCATTTGTATTACCTGCCTGGCCATTGTCAGCATTTGAGTTCGACAGTTTGAATACTCCAAGTACTGCTTCTTCGCTGGAATAACAGTAAAATTATACTGGAGCAGAATTGTAACACAAATTTATATATAGTGAAAATCAAACCTTAACCTCTGAAATATAACAGTATGTTGTGCCCCTGAGTTGGTGAGTCATATCCAGTTCTACATTATAAAGATATTTTACCATAATATGTTTACATATATCTATACATAATTCATGTGTGAAATACGCATAGCCAAAAATAATATAATTGCTAGTCTATTATTAGAAATATGTGCAACAATAGATTGCAAATATTAAAATACAAGGATTTTGTTCACATGTACTTTCCAATTTAATTCAACCTCAAACTGCAATAAGCTTACTTGGAAAAATAATAGCCAATTAAAAATTTTAAATATCTAGCCTGTGATCAGAGGACAAAAATATATTCATTTCATTAAGTTCAAAAGTGTAATTAGACATATATCTGTGCATGGTGTCAGAATTCTGCAGGCAGTTAGTTATGCAAGACCAAATAGAAATTAAAGCCTGTGAAATAGGTGTTATGAAGTTTTTTCAATTGCAACAAAAATACAGTCATGCAGAATAAAGATGGCAAAGCCCTCAGGAGAAAATGGAACAAATGATAGAGTATAAACACATACCTTTGTCAGAAGAAATGGGCCTAAGGTTGTATTTTAGTAAATCTTAGTTAAACATATCAAGAGGATTTATGCTAAGGTTTGCAAGTAATAGAGTTCTTGTAAAGCATAGGGCGTGTGTCTCAAGATGTCCTATATAAAGTGATTTACATGACAAGTAAGAAAGAGAAGGTTTCCAAGGTTTGTTTTATTTAAATGACTTGCAAGATAAAAATAAATGCTTTCTTCACCAAGGCATCTATTGCTCTATGAATATGCATGTACAGTAGCAATAGATTAGATGAATAAAGAATTTAGAAGCCTGTCTACTGTGGTTAACATAAAACAGCACTGTGGGCCAGGCACAGTGGCTTACACCTGTAATCCCAGCACTTTAGGAGGCGGAGGCGGGCAGATCACATGGTCAAGAGATTGAGACCATCCTGGCCAACATGGTGAAACTGTGTCTCTATTAAAAATACAAAAATTAGCCGGGCGTGGTGGCGCAAGCCTGTAGTCCCAGCTGCACGGGAAGCTGAGGCAGGAGAATCCCTTGAACCTGGGAGGCGGAGCTTGCAGTGAGCCAAGATCCTGCCACTGCACTCCAGCCCGGCGACAGAGCGAGACTCTGTCTCAAAAGACAAAAACAAAACAAAACAAAAACCACTGTGTCTGCTATATCAGTTTTCTATATCTTAATACCCACTTTAGTTTTTATTTATCAAAGAGAATTTCAAACATACGCAAAAATAGGCCGAGTAATAAAGGAACTTCCATATACCCATTATCTGGCCTCAACAACTATCACATATTGGCCAGTACTCCTATATCCATACTCTCAACCACCTTCACCCCTTCTGTATTAACTTGAAGCAAATCTCAGATATCATAATATTTCATCCATACATGTTACAGAATGTATCCCTAAAAAATAAAATAAAATCTATTTTTCTTAAACATAACCATACTCCCATTATCACACTGGAAAAAACTAATTTCTCAATATTTTCAGATATCCTGTTAGTGTTCAAACTTCCAGTTGTCTTATAAATGTTATAGTTTTAATAGCTTGTTTTTAAAAATCAAGTTTCAAATAAGGTACATTATAATTGTTACTTTTTCATTTATGTTGCATTAATGGGATAGATTCCTCCTCCATCATCTTTTCTTTTTCTTGAAGTTTATTTCTTAAAGAATATTGGGTTTTAAATTATTTAAACCGATTGGAAATAAAGTTCAAAGTAGGTTTTTGTCTTTTAAAAAGTAAGTATCTGATTAAAATAGGGAAAGAGGAATCGATGTCTGATAGTGTATGTCTGTAAATGTGTATATAAGTGTGTGCGTGTGTGTGTGTGATATAGTATCACTTTTAGGAACATTTAGCAACAGTGTGATTACTCGTTCATGCATGCATTCATTTATTTACGCATCCATCCATCTATCCATCCCGTCATCCACCCATCCATTCACTAACACTTTGAGAACTCTACTTGCCAGTAATCCTCCAACCAGTAGGGCCTACCAAGTAAAATAAGACACTGATCTCTGCCCTCTAGTTGCTTGCGCACTTAGGAGTCAGATCTAGAAACAAACACAATGTAACACACACTCCAATTATTCCTACAGCTCAATCACACAGGAAAGAAAGAATTGCCTCCTCAAATTCAGAACTGCATTTCTGAATCAGCTTAATTGCTGAATCCCCCAATAATCTGAGTCAACACAGGCATTCTAGGCCTTGGTGATTATTTCCAGCCCCCACTCAGCATTTCCTGATGCAGAAATATCAGCATCCTCTTATTACAAAACTTTTGATTCCTGAAGGCACAGATCCTGGTCTCAGTGTGCACCTGCATACATGATCACCCTCATCAATTAACTCTTATGTTCGTCAAGGATTCATTGAAATCCGGTTCACTATGCACCACGTAGAAATGTCCAGCTGCCACATGAGGTGGGCATGGGTTGGCATGTACTTGTCCATGCTCTTGGCAGATATTCTGCCATCCTCTTAGGACAAAAGACTGGTTTCACAGTGAGTGCTTATTTCTTCATTAAAAAATGAAAAGTCTCTTCTCTCTCCCTTGGTCTATCCTAGAACTGTGTGTAATCCTTTTCTACAGCTCACACCTAATTTTGATGCATTCTTATCAAGCCAAGAATGCCTTGTAGCCAAGTCCCCTCTCAAACTTGCTCAGACTTCATCTTGCCCAGATTCCTGTATTGCTCCAATCAAGGGAATCTGCAGTCAGTGAAAATTCTTTCTTCAGCCTCTGCTTAAACATTCAAACCTATCTCAGTAGATCCAAAGACCTGCAGCATTGTCCTCCAGAAGCCCTATAAATTGCTGCCTTCCTTGAGCATTTTACCCCATAGACATATAAGCCAGGCTTCTGTAAGGGATAGTAGGAGTCTGGAATAAGCCTCCGAAACACGTGATGTTAGGGATTGTGTAAATAAGAGACTACTGTGCCCAAGAAAATTGTTAAGTCTCAGATGACCCAAAGAGGAAAGGGCAGATGTGAGCAGTGAAGAGACGTGCAGAATCCAGGGAAGCTCAGTAAGCTCATTAGCCATTCTGCACAGAGCTATTCCTCCTTTCACAGTCTGTATCAATTACAACTCCTGCATGCCCCTCCTTCAGAGCATTTCCAGAATCTGAGCACTCCTCATGACCCCTACTGTACACCCCACCCCTAGCCACCATCATATCTCCTGTAGATGAGTGACATGGCCTCCTGGCTGGTCTCCCTGCTTCCATACCAGAAACCTTCCCACCTCCAGGCCTTTGCATGTGCAGTTTCTTTTCTCTACTGGGAAGTTCTTCCCCTTGGAACTTCCCAAGGAAATTGCATCCTCGGTGTTCACTCCCCATCTTCTTCAGGTGCATGTTCAAATGTCACATTATTAGTGAAACTTTCCCTGACCCCCTACTTAAAATTATAACACGCATACAGTAATACCAGTTGTTCCAATGCCATTTCCTTAGTTTATTTTTCTCCAATTTCTAATACACGATATTTCTCATTTGTTTCTCATTCCCTCACTAGAATGTGAGTTGTACAAGGACAAAGATTTTGTCGATTTTGTTCACTGCTGTACCTTTAGTGCCTAAAACAGAACCTAGCACATATGTGTTTCATAAATATTTGCTGAATGAATGAATGAATGAGTGAATTCTCCCAAAATATTAGGGAGCCCTTTGTGTGACACCAAGTTAGACATAACTGTTACCCTTGAGGTGCTGAAGCACACAATACTTGAATGGTCATAGCAAACACATATCTAATATAGTTATTGAACTCAATTGGAAATGCTAGTGTGTGGGAAGGTTCTTGGTGCATTGAGAGAGCACCATTCAGCTAAAATTCTTAATGTGCTAAGGGTGCCCAGACACAGCGTGATGAGGAGAAGATGCTGGAGAGAAAGGCTGCATCATTATATACCATTTGCATTTTCCTTTGATTTAAAATATTCATGGACTGAAGTAGATCTAGGACCTCAGGGCAGCAACAGTCATTAAAGTCAGTCCAGATTTCCTAATGGGCAGGCCGAGGGGGAGGCAGAACAATTGGACAGCCTGGACAGGCTAGTGAGTTGACTCTCCTTAAATGCTTATTTTACACATATTCATTCACCATTCATTTAATAAGCACATGGAAAAAATGTTCTATTAATAAAATTGCAAACTTTTTGTTTGAATTCAATGTGAGGTATTTATTTAATTCCTTGTAGTAACACCATATTTTAATGTATTTGGAATCCTTCACTTCACAGTTTTTCTGTCACTCATAACTAGAGTTAGTCATAAAACTCACTGAAAACAAACTTCACTTACATTAGTATGTTCAATATATTTGTCTTTTCTTCTGTCCTTCATGTTGGCAAAATACTTCCCACTTTTCTCTCTTTGATGTTTACATGTTTTTCCTCAAATGACACAACCTTTTATTTTATTTTATTGAGACAGAGTTTTGCTTTATTGCCCAGGCTGAATTGCCTGATGGCTCACTGCAGCCTTGACCTCCTGGGCTCAAGCGATCATCCCACCTCAGCCTCACAAGTAGCTGGGACTATAGGGGTGCACCACTGTGCCCGGCTAATTTTTTTATTTTTTGTAGAGACAGGTTTCAGTCTATGTTGCCCAGGCTGGTCTCGAACTCTGGGCTCAAGTGATCCTCCCACCTCAGCCTCCTAAAGTGTTGGGATTACAGGAATGAGCCACCATACCTGGCCTGAGATAACTTATTGAACTATGTATTAAAGGGTTTAAAGTTGAGTGGGTAGCATAAATCATTTGTTCCTAGGTCTTTATTTGGTTTCTGCTTCTGCTGACTCCAACGCTGACTTGTGCCCATCAAATGATAGGTTATAAAATTAGAGATGCAGGCCTAGGTCTCTAACATGCACAGGAGATATAGGTTCCTGCGGAAGGAAAGTAGCTCCTGTTTGTTTTTGTTGTTGTTTTTTAATAGAGTTATTCAACTGATGCTGGACCAGTCAACATCTTGCCATATCTGAAGGTGAAGCTTGTGGCAATCTGCATTAGCTGGCACTACAGTCAATCACCTTGTGGAGAAAAGTGGACATTCTGCAGCCTGGTCTCTTTCCCTGCTGACACTGCTGCAAGCACTGCTGCTCAGTGTAGACTGGTGGTCCAGGACCATCTGATACTGTCCCGCCTAGTGTTTGTCAGGGCAGAAAAGGGAACAAAAGGTCGCTTTTCCAGTCTTAAACTATCTTAATCATCTCATGTCACCATGCTTCTGGGTCCCACCTATTATGACATACACACAGTCATATCTTCCTAGTGCTAGGTTTCTAGTTCTGCCTGGAAAATGTGGTCACAACCAGCCCTTTGGTTCAGATGCCCTCATCCTTAGGGAAAATTCCCTTTCACAACTTTCTGAGATGTTCTCTTGACAGTTGATCTCTGTCAGGGCCATCTTCATGTAAGACAAATGATCAACCTCATAACAGTGTATCAAAATCTTAATCCTTCTCCTTCAAAAGGATCCCTTATACTCATGCAAATATCCCCTGTTCTCTTCTCATCAAAGTTTTATTTTCACAACCAAGGAGAATGGAAAAACAGGGCCTCTGTCAGGACAACAAATGTGTAGTTATTCCCTTCCCAAGAAAGCAACACTTGCTTTATATATCCAGAGCTAAGAGGGACCACTGAAAGGATTCCTTCAGCAGAGAAGATCTCTGCGCCACGGTGACACTAAGAAACAATTGACTAAACAACAAAACTCTCTTAGTTGTAAGCATTGATGGATTTAGAACTGGAAATTCCCACTGGATTAAATTGTTCATTACTGCATGCTCTTTGGTGTACCTATTTTATAAGACTATTAGAAGCTTTGTTTTTTGACTTAAGGTGTTATCTATTAATAAAGAATTTTTGATAGAATAAGAAGTGCTTGAGTTTATATATGGCCAATTGTTGCCCATCTTAAATGGATCTGAAAATCTATTATGCTAATTTGCATTTGGAGTAGTTTTTTTGTTTGCAAATTAAGTGGGTTTTAATTGAGGAGGGTAAGTGATGTCCAATGTGATTAATCTTATTAAAAGGATAAATCTTTCATGCATGAAGCCTTAATATTTCAGCCGTGAGGTTAGCAGTGTTATGTTGCAAATCCTCATTTAAATTGTTTGCCAAAGGCTTGAATTAAAAACAATTTATAATATAAAGTTAGTGTGGCCAAAAAGTGATGACAGATAACTTTTAGTGAATTTCAAAATAATTGTTCATCCAAAAAAATGGTTTCCAAGTCAAATTTTATATGTCTATTATAGAAAATGCCTAATGATGTGCTAATTACCTCCAGTCTTTTATTACTTTAAAAAATGTTAAAATTAGTTACAGCTAGAGAAGGATCTCCAATTCCTTTGTTGCAATGAATAATGCAAAGGTTTGTTTAAATTCATGCAGTCCTATTTATAAAAGAACACCTGGGTAACTTTATTTTGAGCTTAGAACAAAACATAAAATTGTTGAGAACAGGATATTTAAATGTACTCATTTACATTCTTAGGCAGAGCAGCAGTGGTAAAATAGCCTTGCTGAGAATATATAAATCTGGATCAGTGAAGCTGTAACAGCCAGTAGCCTTCCATGAAGGGAAAAGAGGAGAATGACACCACCATCAAGATGCTACTCCTGATCCCTTCCCTTCGTGAAGGAAAAAGGGCCAGCTGCTGCCTCGCTGCTAGTGATGGAGAGAGACCCGCTGGCAGTGGCGACTCTACTTGCACTCCATTCTTTCTCTGCCTCTCTCATGTAGTCACTCCTGGCTTAATTGTGTCGCTTCCTGCACCTTCTTCTCCCCACCACACACATAGCCCAGACCTCTCTCTCTTGAAATCTCCCCCTCAAAGTTTCCTCGCCACGTTTTGGAGAACAGTTCGTTTTTTGGGCCATATCAGCCTCAGAATGCCCCATACCCTGAGCTGAGTCAAGCACAAGGGTTTGGGCAGCTGCCTGCATCCCCGAAACATAATGGCAAAAGGATGGATCACTGCAGAAAAACATCTGACACATTTTCACACACAACTCTGTAATCTGCAAAATCTAATTTGGTTCTGCTAATTTGGTTGGCAGAAGAAGAAAGAAATGAAAAGTAGAACCTGCAATAAAAATCCTCACCAGAACACTCCAATCTCTGTTAAATAATTTTTTTCTATGTGCACATGACAATGTATACATTTGGGGTAGATCACCAACTTGAGACCAGCTACCTGACAGCCTCTGATGTCATCCATCAAAGTCAATTAAAATTCACACACTGAATATTGCTGTTTGCCAGTAATAAGTCTTAGATAATATATATAGATAATGTATATAATAACCATATATATATACATTTCTGCAGTTATTTTAGAGTGTGATGCCAGACACTATTCAGGCATGTGTGATGGCAAAACCATAGAAGTAAAGGGATATCTAAATGGGTAAAAACAGTGGTAACTTCAGGGCACATAATAAATCCTTCACTGCATATATGCTAGTTCTATTGATAGAAAATAACTTCTTCGCCTAGTTAACTAAACAAATTTTGAACAAATATTGAAAAAATGTTAAGTCAAAGGAAAACCAAATTACTAGCCAGGGGAGAGTCCCAAGGCATAAATTAAAAGCCAAGTTGCAAGTCAGGATGTGGTATCTGAGCTATTCAAAAAACTACTCACCTTTGCTGGCTCCTACATGTTCCCTTTTTTTTATTTTTATTTTTTAAGTTATGGATACATAATAGTCATACATATTTATGGCTTACATGTGATACTTTGATGCAAGCATACAATGTGTAATAATCAAATCTGGGTAACTGGGATTCCCAGGAGCTCAAACATTTATTATGTCTTTGTATTGGGAACATTCCACATCTTCTCTTCTAGCTATTTTGAAATATAGAATAAATTATTGTTAACTATAGTCACTCTATTTTGCCATCAAACACTAGAATTTACTCCTTCTGACTGTATTTTTGTGCCCATTAGCCAACCTCTGTTCACCTCCACCTTCCCACCTTCCCAGCCTCTGGTAACCACCATTCTATTCCCTCCTTCCATGAGATCAACTGTTTTAGATCCTACATATGAGTGAGAGCATGAAATATTTGTCTTTCTGTGCCTGACTTGTTTCACTTAACATAACGTCCTCCAGTTATATCCATATTGCTGCAAATGACAAGATTTCATTCTCTTTGAGGCTGAATAGTATTCTATTCTGAATATATACCATGTTTTTAAAAATCCACTGATAGACACTTAGGTCAATTCCATATCTTGGCTATCGTGAAGAGTGCTGCATTAAACATGGTAATGCAGATACTTCTTCAATATACTGATTTCCTTTCTTTTGAATAAATACCCAGCAGTGGGGTTGCTGGATCATATGGTAGTTCTATTTTCAGTTTTTTGAGGAACCTCCATACTGTTTTCCATAGTGGCTCTTCTAGTTTACATTCCCACCAACAGGGAAGCACTCATCCACCTACTCTCTTGGTCTTCCAGTCTGGAAGTTGCTCCCAGTCATCTGATGACCCAGTATCCTTAGATCCTTCCCTTCCCAGCTCTCTCTTCACAATACCTGGACCAATATCCTCAAGTTCAGTCCTGAGGAAGAGCTGCTGAAAGAGCTCTTGCTTGCTTGACCACCATATGGCACCAACAGCCTTCTCCCTACCCTCATTCAAGGTTGAGTGTCAGCCCCTCTTTCCCTTCCCTATACTCCAGCAGATGGCTGGCCTTTTCCTTACTTCTATAATTTCTTCCACTAGCAGCCCTTCTGATTCCTGGAAATATCCATCTCCTTTGCTCATTCAGGCTCCCTCTTCACCATGGTATGTACTGAGCAGATTTGCTCTTGGATTTCACTTTGACCTTCGCTCTACCCTGTGTCCTTGGAGTGCTCCACGGAAATAAGAGTAACGAGTTGGCAGAAGATGTTAACAGACAACCCATTTCCTGCACTCTCAAACACATCCAGCCTGCACAGAATCTCCTGCTGCCCTTTCATGTGTATGCCCTGACAAGGAGGCCTTATTGTCTCTGTCCCTGTCCCCTGTAGGCACTGCCCTGCTCAGAATATTATCAGGTTCTGCTTATAAAATACACATGACCAGGAGGTTGAAATCCAAATGCAAAGAGTCAAGAGTACCCTTCTGTGTTGCCCAGTGATGATTTTTAATGTGATAGCATCAGCCACATTTCTGCCTATAAAAATCCCCAGAAGTAAAACTCTCTTCTGACAGTTCACTGCCATCATCCAGAGCCTCATCACAATTGAACCTATCTGTTTGTTTGTGGACATATGGCACTTGCATTCACCTCAAGAGACCCTAAAAGATTTCAAAACTTTATGATAATGGAGGTTGGATATTTTTTAATTGATAAAACCTTTATGGAATAATTTTAACTGACACTCATGAGAATCAGACACTACTTATAATCACAGATTATCATTTAAAATACAGTGTGCAGACATACTAGGGGATAACCATATTAATTACTCACTGCAGCCATTCAAATGATTCCTAGAGATGTTTCCTGCATTCTCCAACACCTGGGATGCCTGTCTGCTTTCTCCCTGATAATGTAAGTCCATCATTCCTTGCAAGACTCAAGTCTCACCTTTTACAAGGAATCCTTTCCTTCCAGTCCCACTATCAAACACTTGCACAGAGGTTGCTTTGTAACTGTTAATTTCTTTTTAAGTTAACGCTATCTCTTTTCTCCTTTGTTTTCTTCATGAAACTTAGTAAGATAGCTTACATACAAAAGACCAAACTCTCTGCAGAATACAAGATACCGTACCTACAAAAACTGATGGGCCAGTGACTAAATGATCAAGAAAATTAATCTATCAATTAATCAATCAATGCAAAAGTATGTAAGTCTAGAAACCTGATCCAGAAAGTCATGCCCTGAGCTTAAGTTTACCAAACAGTATTATCCTTGCCTAAGAGCAAAGATTCAGATTTGGAGTAATGCTATATGAGTTCAAGCTCTGTTTGGCTATTTAACCAAACGTTAGATAAGTTATTTTACAGGTCTTAGAAATTGTTTGCCCCATTTTTTAAGCATAATACCAAACCAAAGAGAGAATTAATGAGCAAAAGCCTCATAAATGATGTAAATGTTAGAAATTACCACTATTATTTCAATGAAATGGGGGAAAATCAGGCCCAGGAAAAATTTGTGCAGTAAACTGGGTCAATCTGGAGATTCTGAAGTATGCACTTAGAAACAGAACATGTCAACAAAACAGAAGTATTGTTTTTCCTTAATATTCAGCCTGTTTATATTCTCTAGCTTATTATTTTATAATTGATAGCAAAGCTATAAATGGCTTTGGGGATTGTTGCATATCTCATATGATTGTCTTGCTGTGGAGTAACAATCAAGTGGAAATGGAAAAATTTTTTGTCAAAGATTTCTTTCTGTAGGCAAGATGCCGCTTTTTTTCTAAGTATCTTTTAGCTGTTGAGTATTTTATAATCATTGACATAAATATAAAAATGGTAAACAATGTTTATTGTTTGCATACAAGTGAGTCTGAATTGGGGCCTTTTACTGCCAGTCATTCCCAATGCAATCTCAAGAATGTAATAGGCAATCAGATGGTGATTTATCTGACCCATTACCGAGAAAGAACCAAGAAAAATCTAAACATCATTTGGTTCACTCATGTGTGCACTGCAAATGCAAAACAGTGAATTATCTGAGCTTTGTCATGATTTTCTATGCTATAAGCATATTTAGTATTCAAAAATTTGTTTTTATCTTTATCCTTAATTTTTTTTGTTCAATTGCAGGAAAAAATACAGAAACAAAGTAAATGTAATGGAGTTTCATAAAGGAAAAAAATGTCTAAAACACAAAGCAACAGATACACCAGAAAAATAATACTCTAGGCTTTCTTGGGGTGAGGTGTGTTGTTCCAATGTCATGACCAAATTCCAGCTACAGTGCTTACTTCAGTCTACACTGCCTATAGGAAATGCCCCCTGTGGTCTGAACAGGATACCAGACTTTGTTGATGACATCACTAGAACTGATGGGAGGGCTCTGCTAAGCAGCTGCCATGTGCTTACACTTCAAGTGAAGATGAAGCAGAGTTGTGTATTGAGTGAGCTGTAAGTCCCAAAACAAACTCTAAGTCACAAAAGGTACTTTTAATTATTTATGAGTATGACCAACAAGTATGTTATAAAATTAACTTGAAAAGACAATACAAAGTGTTACACCATATAAAAAATAAGCCACACATTAACTACATTACTAGTTAGTTTAGTAGTTGATTATGCCTGTCTTATGGAGTCACAGTCTACTGGGTAAAATGTACATTTTCCAAATAATGGCACAGATGAGTATGCAAACTACAAACTGAGAGAAGTGGTGTAAAGGAAAAAGAGCACATGGCAAAGGAAGCTGACCAAGGCTGGTGGGTCAGAGGAAGTCTGAGTTGAGACTTGGGGTGACAGTAGGTGGGGTCAAGGCAAGGGGTTGGGGAAGGGGACAGGGCACAGCAGGCGTGCAATCTCCCCGTGAGAGAAAACAGAGGGAAGCAAAGGAAGGTTGATGTAGCCAGAACACATAGGTGAAGGGGAGCAATGGACAAAGTGAGGAAGGCAGTAGGCAAAAGCACACCATCCCAACCCTGCAGGGTTGGCAGTGTTCCTAGAAGGTGTTGCCTCTGAGTTTTAATTGGAAAGGTGCTTTAATACATTATTTTGGGTTTTTTTCTCACAGCAACCAATGAGGCTTTTTTCCATTCTAGGTATTAAGGGAAGCTTTTCAAATTCATAACTAATATGTGGCAGAGAAATAACTCATAACTTAGATGGACTGACTCCTTCACAAGCCATCTCACTGCTCTGTCTGCCCCCCCACATCTCTGTTCTCTGTTCTTTAATACAGAGGCAGTGAGTGGATTGATTTGGTCATAGTTCCAAGGAAACATCCAAGACTCTTCCTTCAGGTCAGCAATGGATTCTTAACCCTGCAGTTCTAATCACGTGGTTTTCAGTAAGCATAGTCAAGGCCAATTAAAATGTATCCCTAATTCTGGGGTTTTATAGCTAAAAGAGAAGAAAGCAGGGAACTTTTAATTTTTAGGATCTAAGTCAAGAATTGGCCAGAGAAGGTACACTGGAATACTTTTTTAAACAAAACTTTGTGATTAGCAATAGTGCTAAGCCTGGACTTGGAAAGTCCAACCACAGCTTCATGTGAAGAAGCTAACCCTGCCTCCTTGTTATTGCAAATGGTTTGGTCATCTTCATTCTTTGCAGATCACAGTCAATTGCAAGTTCCATGGGGGTAAAAGACAACTGGACAACAATCTAAAATATTGTTTTTAATAATGTACATTCTGTTTATTTCATTTACTCTATCCTTTTAATACTTGACCTTTTCTAGACATCTCTGGATTACAGTAGAATTCAAGCAAGGGTCAGCCTCTTGCCAAGATAAAATTCTCTACTTCTACTTTTTACCCTTTTCCAAATGAAAGAGCTATATTTATTCATACCAATAGATGAACTAGGCAAATGTTTATGGTGTTGATATTGAAGTAGACTGGGTGAAGGCTGGGGTGGATGAGTGGCTTTCGTAAGACAATATTGATTGCTATCGCAGATAAAACCTGAAATCTCAATAAAATAGAGTTTTGACTCAATAGAAGTTAACTTCTTGCTCTCAAAATCCTGGTAGTGGCAGGAGGTGGAGCTGATGATTCCATGCATCATTCAGAGACCCAGGATGATGGAGCCTCTGCCATCTTCAGTATGTGCTTCTCAAGTTGCCTTGGGTGTTAACATCCAACAAGCAGGTGGGGAAAGAGAGAAAACAGAAGGATGTGTGGGTCCTGTGGCCAGGCCCCAGAGTGGTGTATATGACTTCCTGACACGTTCCACTGACCAGAATTCAGAAACAGTCACACCTAACTGTGGTCACGTGGTTTCACTGTAAGCCACAAAGGAGAGGGAAACAGATTGGGAATGAAGTAGTCAGTTTCTGTATAAGACGGATTTAGGAGAATTCTGCTTTCTTTTCTAAACCTTGTATTCAGTGGATAATTTGGGATATGAAGAAAATGTAATCCACAGTTTGACATTACATCCAAGTTTATGTATCTATGAAGGCTTCTCTATTTATCCACTCCCCAACCCAAAATCTGACAAACATTTCGCAGTTCTCCCAATTCTCCCTTTCGTAAGAAGTTTAGTAACAACACATCCTTTCAGATACAAGCAGAAGAAAAGGCAATTTCTGTCTGCTGTTCTGAGTCCCTGTTCCCTCAACTGTGAAATGAGTACAATATTTAATTTAACACGTTGAGCACCCTTGATGTACCAGGATTCATAGCTGAAACAGGCACCCTATTGAGAGTCAGATAATGACAGCATAGTATTATGACTGAGGTAAACAAAATTGCATAATATTTTTGCAAACACCCATGACAGTGTTTAGCATACATTATGATATCCAATGACTCTTGGTGATTTCTCCTCTTTCATCTCTCATTTTCTCCACTCATTCACCAGCCCATCATTCTTCTACAGGTATATGGAGGGTTTTGTTACTATTCAAAAGATCTCTCAGGTCACTATCCTAATCCTGGAAACTGGGTCAGCTTGACTCCTGCCTGTGAACTCAGCCTAGCAGCAATTCTGGCCCAAAGTGACCCTGAGCATCAGCCTTGAGGGCTGGTCCTCAGGTCCTGCTTCCTCCTGGTTCTGCTCAAATGTGCCTCTCTGGTCCCCAGCCATTTACCTTCTGTCTTGTACCTTGCTTCTCCCTGCTTAGTTCCTGCCTTGTATTACCAACACCAGGACTCCTCTAAGTTAGCTTTGGCCTTCTCAGGGACCTGTGGGTAATAGAGTAAAGACATAGACTAGTTGGATTGTAGACTCTTAGGAAAATTTATTGACCTCATCATAACCACTGTCATTACAGAAGTAGTTAATTACAATGTTTAGAAGAAGGGTCAGCAAACATTGTCTACCAAAGGCCACATAGTAAACATTTTAGGCTTTGCAGGTCACATCCAGTTGCTTTCTCATATTATTTGTGTGTGTGTCTGTGTGTGTGTATTCTCCAACTGTTTATAAATGTAAAATCCATTCTTAGCTCATGGGCTATAGAAAAACAGATGACAGGCTGCATGTGACCTGTGAGCCATGCTTTGCAGACTCCCGGTCTAGAGCTGGCTATGCAGCATGGTAGCTATTAGCCACATGTGACTATTTAAATTTAAAATTAAATCATTTAAAGTTATATAAAATTTGATTCCTCAGTTGTGCTAGCTCAATAGCCATATTTCAATTGCTCAATAGTCACATGGAGCTATTGGCTACTATGTTGAACAGCAAAGACATGGAACATTTCCAACATCACAGAAAATTCAATTATACAACACAGTTCTAGAGCCTGGCTCAAACTAGCAAGTTTTTCACAGAGTTTTCTTTAGATTAATTCCCTGTTCACACTGCAATCCCCTCCCCCATATCTATTCCATTTTCCTCCGAGTTAAATCACCTCCCATCACTATAACAATCCATGCCATGTCCCTATATGTAGTGGGGACTGTGATCAAGAGAAATGAATTAGTGAGCTTGCAAACTTGACTTTCATCCCAAGTTATTTGTTTCCTAATGGAAATTAGCCAGTCAGCTTTTGAAAGTCTTCTTCTAGGGCAGAGTCTTACATTTCTTGGTCCTATTTATGTTCTTACCAACTTCTAAATCAATGGGTAAGGGAAAAACCAAGATACCCTCTGTCTCCCACAGCAAATAGAAGAATGTGAGGAACCCCAGCTCTGACTATCTACCAACATCCTAATCCACCCAACCCCAAAAGAGACTGTGAAAGTTCTAAGGAGAAGGGAAAGCAGAATGTTAGAGAAGACTCCATCCCTCTAGAGGTATCACCTAAGGAGCAAGGGGAGAAGGGAAAGAAGACAAAATAGGAAGGTCAGTTCAGGGTGAGCTGGTGCCAGCCCCTACTGGCTCATGAGAACTAATTGTTACATTTTCAGGAATCCTTTAAATTATATAAATACACAGCTAAGTAAATTATATCAAAAACAAAGGTGATAAATGCATAAAACTCATCTCTTCCTAATTATTTCACTACATTTTACTATCATCTAGCTCTTGAGGTTATTTATGCCTATGGTACATGTGTGGTAGAAATATTATATTGCGGTTTATTGCTACACATCTCCTCCCAACTCCATGTTTAATAATGTCATGTTGGTAGTTTAAAACTGGCCATGGTGGTTTGTTTTGTTTTGCTTTTACCCAGACAGCCAGTTGTTAAACATTTACCAGAATACCACTGCTCCTGTACAAGCCAGAAAAAAAGAAATGCAGGATATTAGGCAGCTATAAACCCTCATCACAGAAGGGCAAGAGAAAGGAATTCAGACCAAGGAGGGATGAAATTTCTGCTGACTCTGGACCTCTGCTTCTGAAGCTGAGTGCTGATTGCAGTTCACCCCAGTTCTGAAGGAACATCACCCCAAGTAGAATTGCCCCAACACCTTGAACCATCCTGGCTCTGTGGGTTTTCTACCAGATACCTGTTGCCAGGCTTCTTGAATACCAAACACCTGTCTCAGGGCCTCTGAGGATTACTCGCCCTCTCGACTTCCCTTGATTTCCTGTCCCATCATTGGTTTGATATCATGGATGATGAACCTGTTTCAATCACAGCTAACAATGTTTGTCTCCCTCCAGTCTTCCCTCTCCTGGATTAATCTCCTTCCAGAGTTTCTTTCTTATTATAAATTTTTGCTATTCCTATACTAATCATCACCTTGCTATGCTGTACCCCACCTTGCCTGAGAGATCGGTCCTCTGACCCTAAACTTTCTGGTCTGAATAACCCTGCTGATGCCCTTTTTTAATCTACTACATGAGTACAGCTACCCAACCATAGAGCCATAAACATGGCTTCCATGGAAGGGAAGGGCGAGCACAAGATTAACTTTTATGGCTACATTTACATTTGTTAAAAAGTATTTTTATAAAAAATAGAATGGCATTTTCAAGGGGCTTGGAAGAAATTAACAGTTAGAAGTTTTAAACAACCTAATCTAAATATACTTATAAACAGTAGAAAAAAATATACATAGTGTATTAAAGGCAAGTCACAGAAGATCAAATTAAAATGATACATAGTACAGAAGCCAATAGGCACAAACTCATTTAACTCTTGACACAAATTAGTTAAACATCATCATTTTTTGTGGCCTGATCTGTACACTGTGGTGGATCAAAGGAGATTAGCCATGTTGCCAGAGTGAGGAAAGAAACCACGAAAGCAGAGCACATCACTTACGTGTAATTATAATGATTACAATGGGAGCCCTTGGACTTAAGAAAAAACATGTAGTGCAAGGAGTTGCTATTTTAAAGAAAGTAATCTAAGCATTACCAAAATTGCTAAGAAAAGTGGGGGAGAAGTTTTAGGATACAGCCACAAATAACTCAAGTAGTAAAAAAACAACTGCCATAATAATTTGATGGTGAGAAAGCAATATTTGACTAAAAATTATATGGTTTTTGTCCACTTGTGACTTGAGGAATTGACTTTTATTCCCCTTGTTATTTTCCTTACTTATTAAGTGTTTTAAAAATATTCATTAGCTAAATGAAAAGATATTTTAATGCTCCCTTTCAAATCCTTTGTGTAGAACTGGGACTTGGGAACTTTAAGGGATATGATTTTTCTTTTCCTAAACACTTACCATCTCCTCTTGTGTGACAGTAGCAATAATTTACTGTGCATAATACCTTGCATTAGCCAAGAAGCTACAGAAATATTTCATAGCTTCAACCTTGACATAGTGAAAGCACAACCATAAAAAGATAAAAGGAGCATGACAGTAGCCTGAGGTAGTTAAGTTTTAGGAAGCATTGGTTTTGTTTGCCTGTACCTGCGAAGCCACTGTCTTTAAAGGTTGGGTTTGGTCATCACACTGAAAGCAAACATTTTATATAACTGCCCACAGTTTCATTCATTGACCAGATTATTAAGTAAAAAGTCAACATTATGTTTGCTTTTCTTGGGTTCTCTTTGTCTAACTTGGAATGGCTTATTGGATGCTTCATATTATATTTGTCTTTCTTTTAAAATAATCCTTTCATATATGCTATCTATGCCTCTATAAGAACATGCTATATCCAAACAAAGTAATCTTACAGATAAGAGCCTCTGCCTGCCTTCCCCCTCTCATCCATGGATGGTTATATAAGTGGATGTACCCTCCCTCCAAACAGTATCTATCCCTACAAATGGCTAATAGTAAGAATAGCCTTGGGTTCAGGCTTTAGGATAAAAATCTTTATCTTATAATGCAATATGAACCCATAAAGATGGCATATTAGAGAACGCAGTGCCCATTGAAAGTTAAAATTTATGTGAGTCTGTCTACACTCTAAAGAGATCTTTTTTTGTAACTTTTTGGTAGTCAATAATATGGATCAATTTTCAAAGAACTTAGGGTTATAATTTTTTATTTATAACAATCTTTGATTCAAATGGGATTTAGATTCACACAAAGATGCATGCAAGAGAGCATAAATATTGGAACAAAAGTAAATCTGAAAAACAAGGAAAAAAGAAGAGAAAACAATATGTATGTCATAATTAATTTAGTATATCAAAGTTTAATAACCTCGAATGGACTTGAGATGGAGTTAAGGAATAGGTGGGGAGTGAGGCAAGGGATGAGCAAGGAACCGCTGGATGTTAGTGCAAAATGCTGTGGGTATGCTTGACCCACATATTTCTGTCCCTTCCCCCTTCATGAATCTTCACCACAATGGCAGATCCTTGAGGCTAGATATACAGTCCTCGTGTATCTGTGGAATATCTATACTATGTCCTGGACCACGTGAGCATGACTCAGTAATGATCTCACAATAGGACGTCACTCTCCATTTTGACGGTATCTACTGTATCTACCTCCTTTGTACATTATTTTCTCCTCTGAGTGCTTTCCCCCCATTTTAAGCTAATAAAACAAACATGCACACTATTACAGCACTTATACTGCACCAGATAGGAAAACAAATATGTATCTATTTTGGCTAAAAATCTTACATTGAGAACTATGGACACTAAAGAAATAAAGAGATGATTCCTCTTTAGGAAATATAGTCATTTCATGTTATTTTAGAGACATGAGAATTTCTTTAAAGTTAGGAAAGACATGTTGTTCTCTGCTCTCCCTCCCTGAAGTTCAAAAGTCTAATTTTTTTATAGATACAGGTATAATCTTTCTTGTCCCTGCTTTTCCTTTTCTCCCATTACCTCTCCCTTACTCCTTCTCTCCCTTCGTCTCTTCTGCCTTCCCTTCCTCTTCCCCACTTCCCTTTTATATCTCCTTGACCATCCCGTTGCATTATATCATATCCTTCATCAAAGAGGGAAAGAGGCCCACCTTTTGTACAATATGTAGGCCTGATGTTTTTTAAAAAAGAGTTATTTATCTCAAACAGGCTCAGTCACTGCTAAGAGTGTAGAAAGGTACTTTCTTTCCTTGAATCTGTACATTTTCACTATAGGAAGGGCTATTTAGTGCACTTCTCCAGCAATGTAGCCAAAAAGGGCTAATGCATTTTAAACATTTAACCATGACCAAAATTTGGAGCTGAAAACTAGTGATGTGATAAAAATATTTTCAACATATTTACAGTATTTTTAACCCCATATGAATCTTTGTCCCGAGGGGAGCAAATCTGCCTCCAAGGGAAGGCACTTTTTAAATTATCTATCTTATTTTCAGAAACACAGATAGCCTTCAAGTAACTTACCAAGACCACCACGGCACCTTTTGGCCTCACCTATATCGCCTATGCAGAAGAGATAAAACTTTCCTTTAGTTCCTGGCAACATGACCCATAGAGGGTTAAAAGAGAATTTTTGCACTAACCTTTTATTTATATATAAGGTGCAGGTGTAGACAACTGAATGGAAATAAAGGGGAAGTATAGTTTGGGTAAACATTTACGTTTTAATTTTCTCTTAATTTCTTGAGGCCCATTATGTGTTTATCAAGGCATGCAACAGCTTTAAGTTAACAATGCAACAATGCATCATTAAATGTATACCAGATGTTCCTGTTCTGGCACCTATTACTGAGAGCCCTCAACTTGCCTGTCAAGGGAAAGAAAAAAAATGTGTGTTCTCCTTTAATAACTAACACTAACCCATCAAAACAAGGAGCAATAACAAAAAGACTCTGACACATTGCTTTGATAAAATACTGCATGGAAACTCATTAGTGTAATAGGCTACGGATGAACCAGCATACCCACTCCTCAGCCATATTCTTGAGGAGCTGAGTAATAAAGACACTCAACAGAAGGTTAAGCCTAAGGATTGAACTGCTGATGCAGTTGGAAATGATGGGCACATAGATTGCCCTTGTGAATCACAAATACAGAGGACTTGGGAGTTAGATGAAATTGACAGCAAAGAGTATCAGCAAGCCCATTCAGAAAACGGGCAATATGTGTTTTGGAGGCTCATAAACTAAAATGATACAAAGAAAGTTAGAGCAGATGGCTACAGGGGCATAAACATTCTAAAATGGTTTTTAAAAAGGGAGCTTTTTATGGGAGATGTGCAGTTGGATCTGGGAAAGGATTAAAAGTAGGGAAGTTATAACTAGCTCTTCCTTTTTTCTTCTGATTAATTTACCTCCCAGAGAGCAGTTACTTAAATAAGATTTCATAGATCCACTGTAGCAAATCCTGTGAAAAGGTGACCTATTTCCCTTGTGGCTGATAGATTTATGGATATCTTTCCATATCAAATCTCAGCATGGAAAAGTGGCAGGCAGTGGGGAGGAAGAGGAGGGAGACTGGATGAGAATAACTGTACATGTAAAATTTTTGTTGTTCCTTAATTGAACAAAATTAATTGAGACAAGTCTGCATTCCTGTTTTGTAGGCAATTTTAATGATTTTTGGATCACAAATGTATTAGAACTAGAATGAAAACCTTTTCAAATGTTAAAATAGTCCATGCAGTTTGCCTTGTATGAGGGAATATGTTCTCTTTTACCTAAACTGATAAACTCAAGGTTTACCCAGGGAGAAAAAATCAGAAATAATAAAGTTTAAGGGAGCTGTAAAATTGCTTTGAAATATGTCGCACACATTTTCAAGGCTGCAGCTTTGCCCAGCTACAATTTATGGATGAAGTTCAGATCTCTATGATGCTCTAGCATGAAAGTGGCTTCCAGGAACCTTTGGGGATGGGATATTTGGGATTTAGTTTATCTTATTTAATTCTACTTTCTTTGTATTTTCTCTTATAAATGAAAACACGGTGTATCAAAGCTTTGTTAATATTGTATTAGTAAATTGAAGCTCCAAACACAGCAATGAAATGCAGAAATCCTCTGTTAGATCATTTAAATAGCCTTTCTTATTTCACAGTGTCGTTATTTTTAAACAGCATTGTCGAGGTGTAATTGACATACAACAATGTATATAAGATGTACAATTGGATACTTTTGACATATGTATACAGTGTGAACCATCATCACAATCAAGATAATGAACATTCTCATTGCCACCAAAAATCTGCACATGCTTGTTGAATATCTCCCCCAATCCCCAGTAATGACTGATATGCGTTTCATCACTACATATTAACTTGCATTTTCTATTAATAGAGTTTTATATAAGTGGGATTCTACAGTATGTGCTCTGGTGGGTCTGGCCCTTTCACTGAGCATAATCACTCAGAGATTCACCCTTGCGGTTTCACATACCCGTATTCATTCCTTTTTATTGCTGAGCGGTATTCCATTGTATGGATATACAAAGTGCTAGGTGATGCTGGGCCCTCTGTTGAAAGGAGTCTAGGAACTGAGTTGGTGATAACAGGAATCCTGCCACCTCCAGGTCCATTCAGCATGAGGCATGATGGGATGCTTAATAAGTTATATCCTCTCACAAAGGAATTTCTGAACCTGCCATTTGAGAGCATGCCATTGAGTTATGATTCCTATAATTGAGGGAATGGAGCTATGCCTCCCACTGAATGATCTGTTGGGCCTTTCGGAACTGAGACCAAAATAAAGAAATTAACATAAATAGTGCACATTGCAAATTAGTTGTTTCTGCATCAAAATTAATAAAAGCAATGGACCCAGGTGTCTGGGGATCTTTTCCAAATTCTTTTGGTTTGAATGTACTTAAAGGATTACTATTCCAAGCGCCAGGAACTAGGATACTTAAAAAATGACATTAAGTGTGTATGTGTATATATATATACACACATGCATATGTACACACACATATATATACACATGTTTGTGTATAAATACAGACATATATACATGTGTGTATATATATATATATATATAGATATAAAAGTCATTCTATTTAATGTCATTGAATAGAATGGCACTTTTATTTTTTGTTTTGTTTTGTTTTTTTATTTTATTATTATTATACTTTAAGTTTTAGGGTACATGTGCACAATGTGCAAGTTAGTTACATATGTATACATGTGCCATGCTGGTGTGCTGCACCCATTAACTCGTCATTTAGCATTAGGTATATCTCCTAATGCTATCCCTCCCCCCTCCCCCCTCCCCCCACCCCACAACATCACCCCAGAGTGTGATGTCCCCCTTCCTGTGTCCATGTGTTCTCATTGTTCAATTCCCACCTATGAGTGAGAACAAGCGGTGTTTGGTTTTTTGTCCTTACGATAGTTTACTGAGAATTA
Organism: Homo sapiens; assembly: GCF_000001405.40. Classification (NCBI taxonomy): domain Eukaryota; kingdom Metazoa; phylum Chordata; class Mammalia; order Primates; family Hominidae; genus Homo; species Homo sapiens. Next base: position 159,543,506 of record NC_000003.12, read on the forward strand.
TGATTTCCAATTTCATCCATGTCCCTACAAAGGACATGAACTCATCCTTTTTTATGGCTGCATAGTATTCCATGGTGTATATGTGCCACATTTTCTTAATCCAGTCTATCATTGTTGGACATTTGGGTTGGTTCCAAGTCTTCGCTATTGTGAATAGTGCCGCAATAAACATACGTGTGCATGTGTCTTTATAGCAGCATGATTTATAATCCTTTGGGTATACACCCAGTAATGGGATGGCTAGGTCAAATGGTATTTCTAGTTCTAGATCCCTGATGAATCGCCACACTGACTTCCACAATGGTTGAACTAGTTTACAGTCCCACCAACAGTGTAAAAGTGTTCCTATTTCTCCACATCCTCTCCAGCACCTGTTGTTTCCTGACTTTTTAATGATTGCCATAGAACGGCACTTTTAAAACAAATCATACACAAACTCATAAATCACAAGCAAATAGCTTGATGGATAAAATGAACACAACCATGCAACCACCAATTAGATCTAGAAATAGAACCCTACTGGTATTTAAGAAGCTCTACCAGGTCACTTCCCAGTCATTATCCTCACCTTCATCCACAAAGGTAAACACTAGCCTGACTTCTATCACAATAGATTAGTTTTGTTTTTGAGTTTTATATACGTACCATCATGCATTATATATACATACATATATATAAAATACGTGTGTATGTGTATATATATATGAACTATTTTAGTCCACATTAATGAGATTACTCCATGTAATCTTTTTAAAATTTTTATGTTAAATTTCATTGAATGAGTATTCTACAATTTATGTATGTTACCAGTGTTAGGGTATCATGAACAATGCTTCAAGAGCATTCTTACACATATTGGACATATACCTAGGAGTGGAGAAGTGGAACTGCTGAGTGGTAGGGTATGCATATGTTCAGCTTTAGTAGATAAAGCCAGTTTTCCAACATGAGTTGTACCAACTCACAGTTCTATCAGCATACTATCAGCATATGAATTCCTGTTGCTTAATATCATTGTACAATCAGGTTGTTTAAGTTTGACCATTCTGGTAGGTCTGTAATAATATCTCATCCATTTATTTTCCCTGAAGACTGATGAAGTTAAGCATCGTTTCATGTTTTCTTAAAATTTGAATATTCTCTTTTATGTAGTCCCTGGTTAAATTCCTTGCCAATATTTCTTAATTGCATTTTCTTTTTCTTATTGATATGTAGGAATTCATTATATATTCTGTATATGTGCCCTTTGTTAGCTATATGTATTGCAGATACCTTCTCCCATAATGTAGATTGCCTTTTCACTTGTTAAATGTGTCTTTAATGAAGAGAAATTTTAAAACTTTTAATGTAGTCAATGCTTCTATCTTTTCATATATGGTATCTTTTGTTTCCTTTTTAAGAAATCTTTGCCTACTTCAAGATCATAAAAATGTTCTATGTTACATTCTAGAAGCTTTAACATTTCACTTTCACATTTAAACAAGTAATCCACCTGAAATTGGTATTTGTAGGTGATATTTGTAGATGATCAAGAGCCATGTTTCCCAATTGAATATGGATATATAGTTGACCCAACACCATGAAGAGATTGTTTTACATAGTGCCAGGCAATGCCTCCTCTGTCATAAATGTCCAAACATGTGTAGATCTGTTGGGTTATCAGAATTGCTCTAAGTCTTGTGATGGTTAATACTGAGTGTCAACTTGATTAGATTGAAGGATACAAAGTATTGATCATTGGTGTGTCTGTGAGGGTGTTGCCAGAGGAGATTAACATTTGAGTCAGTGGGCTGGGAAAGGCCGACCCAACTTTAATTTGAGTGGGCACAATCTAATCAGCTGCCATAGAGGCTAGAATATAAGCAGGCAGAAAAATGTGAAAAAAGAGACTGGCCTAGCCTCCCAGCCTACATCTTTCTCTAGTGCTGGATGCTTCCTGCCCTCAAACATCAGACTCCATGTTCTTCAGTTTTGGAACCTGGACTGGCTCTCTTTGCTCCTTAGTTTGCAGATGGCCTACTGTAGGGCCTTGTGACCATGTGAGTTAATGCTTAATAAACTCCCCTTCATATATATATATGTCTGTGTGTGTGTGTGTGTATATACATATACACAATATATATACAATATATACAATATACATATATACAAGATATATATGTATATAATATATAGTATTATATAATAAAATTGTACATCTTTTGTACAATATATTATATATTATATATATATGTATATATACACACACACATATGTATAATACATATATTAGTCCTGTCCCTCTGTTGGTTCTGCACTTCCATTTGTTCTGTCCCTCTAGAGAACTGACACAAGTCTATACATCAGTTTAAAAACAGTTAATATCTTGACAATATTAAAATTTCCAGTCTGGGGACTGAGCATGTTCCTCCACTTCAAGTCTTTTAAACATTTTTTCAAAAATATTTTGAATTTTTTTGTGTAGAGGTGTTACATATTTTATAAGATGTATTTATAGGTATTTATTGTTTGTATGCTATTGTGAAAGATATTTTTGTTTACTTGTTTTATCTTGTGTTCATTGCATATATGTTTGTTTACATGGTAACCTTGATAAAATCACTTTTTAATTCTAATGGTTAATCAGTTATTTGTATTTTCTTCTTATACAACCATATTATCTGTGAATAATCATAGTTTTATTTCTTCCTTGCCAAACCTTGTTTTATTTTTATTGTCTCATTCTACCTCCAGCAAAATATTGAATCGAGTGGCAATGGTAGGCATAATTTTCTTAATCCAATTTCTGGGGGAAAGGAGTAGTTAAAAGAGAACAGACATAATATTTTAGCATTAACTGTAGTATTTTCTGTACATTTTTATAGATAACTTTTATTAGGCTAAGAAAATACCTTTTATTCCTAGTTTGCTAAGTTTTTTTTAAGTTCAAGGATACATGTACAGAACATGCAGGTGTATGGCACAGGCATACATGTGCCATGGTGGTTTGCTGCACCTCTCAACCCATCATCTAGGTTTTAAGCCCTGCATGCATTAGGTTATTTGTCCTAAAGCTATCCTTCCTCTCCCCACCTACCTGCTGACAGGCCCTGGTGTGTGATGTTCCCCTCCCTGTGTCCACGTGTTCTCATTGTTCAACTTCCACTTATGAGTGAGAACATGTGGTGTTTAGTTTTCTGTTCCTGTGTTAATTTGCTGAGAGTGATGGTTTCCAGCTTCATCCATGTTCCTTCAAACGACATGAACTCATTCTTTTTTTGGCTGCATAGTATTCCATGGTATATATGTGCCACATTTTCTTTATCCAGTCTATCATTGATGGATATTTGGGTTGGTTCCAAGTCTTTGCTATTGTAAACAGTGCTGCAATAAACATACATGTGCATGTGTCTTTATAGTAAAACAATTTATAATCCTTTGGGTATATACCCAGTAATGGGATTGCTGGGTCAAATGGTATTGCTGATTCTAGATCCTTGAGGAATCACCACACTGTCTTCCACAATGGCTCAACTAATTTACATTCCCACCAAAAGTGTAAAAGCACTCCTATTTCTCCACATCCTCACCAGCATCTGTTGTTTCCTGACTTTTGAATGGTTGCCGTTCTAACTGGCATGAGATGGTATCTCATTGTGGTTTTGATTTGCATTTCTCTAATGACCAGTGATGAGCTTTTTTTCATATGTTTGTTGACCGCATTAATGCCTTCTTTTGCAAAGTGTCTGTTCATATCCTTTGTTGCCCACTTGTTGATGGGGCTGTTTTCTTCTTGTAAATTTAAGTTCCTTGTAGACTCTGAATATTAGAACTTTGTCAGATAGAGAGATTGCAAAAATTTTCTCCCATTCTGTAGGTTTTCTGTTCACTCTGATGATAGTTTCTTTTGCTGTGCAGAAGCTCTTTAGTTTAATTAGATCCCATTTGTCTATTTTGGCTTTTGTTGTACTTGCTTTTGGTGTTTTAGTTATGAAGCCTTTGCCCATGCCTATGTCCTGAATGGTATTGCATAGGTTTTCTTCTAGGGTTTTTATAGTTTTAGGTTTTACATTTAAGTCTTTAAGCCATTTTGAGTTAATTTTTGTATATGGTGTAAGGAAGGGGTCCAGTTTCAGTTTTCTGCATATGGCTAGCCAGTTTTCCCAGCACCATTTATTAAGTAGGGAATCCTTTCCCCATTGCTGGGGAAGGTTTGTCGAAGATCAGATGGTTGTAGATGTGTGGTGTTATTTCTGAGGCCTCAGTTCTGTTCCACTGGTCTATATATCTGTTTTGGTACAAGTACTATGCTGTTTTGGTTACTGTACTCTTGTAGTATAGTTTGAAGTCAGGTAGCATGATGCCTCCAGCTTTGTTCTTTTTGCTTAGGATTGTCTTGGCTATACAGATGTAGAATTTAACAAATGCTTCTCATTTATCTATTAAAATAATCATATGATTTTCTGTAGTATTCTATTAAAGTGAGGAATTACATCCATTTTTTAATGTTGAACCAATCTTGTATTTCTTAAATAAATTTATCTTTGCTATTTTATATCATTATCCCTTTTATAAATCACTCTGTAATTTTCTAATATTTTGTTTGGGATTTTTAGATTTATGTTTATGAGTAAGTTTGGCCAGAAATTACATTTTTTTGTTGTAATATTCTTGTAAGGTGTTAGTATTACAACTATCTTGAATGTTTGTGAGAATGTTAGAGAAGCCATTTTAGCCTGAAGTTTTCTAAAGATTTTTATTTACATATTTATTTATGCATTTAATTTCTATAGTAGTTAGAATTTTATGTAGTATTATATACATTTGTTATTTCTTCTTGAGTTAGTTTTGGTAAGTTATTTTTAGGAATTTGCCTTTTTTCAAAATTATTGTTATGAGTGTCTTATAACATCAGCTCATTCTTTTTCTAAGAGCTACAGAATCTATATTAATAAACTACTTTCTTGGTCATATCGGCTCTCTCTCTCATTCTCCCCTACCAAAAATCATTTTTTTCTTTACCTCAATCTCTATCTTCTTTTAGAACTCCAATGATATATATCTTAACCTTTTGATACTGTCTCACAGATCTCTGAAGCTCTGTTTATATTTAATTTTTTTCTAGTTCTTTCTATTGGATTATTTCTATTGCTCTCTCTTAAGTTTACTTACGCTTTCACCTGTCATTTCCCTTCTACTAAATATATCTAGTTTTTAAATTAAAATTTTTTTTAGTTCTGGAAGTCCATTAAATTATTTAGTTTCTATTTCTCTACTAAAATTTCTTATCTCTTTAGTCATTATGAATATGTTTCCTTTTCATCTTTGAACATAGATATCATGGCTGCTTTGAAATTAGATGCTGCTAATTTCGACATCTGAGTTATCTCAGGTTTAGTCACCATTGATTTTCTTTTCTGTTGAAAATGGATCGTATTCTCCTGTCTCTTCATATACTGAAGAAATTTGAGTTATATCCTGGACATTGTGATTGTTATGCTGTAAGACCCTGGAATCTGCTATGCTCCTCAGAAGAATATTAATGTTTTTGTTTTAGCAGACCTTTAGCTTAGTTGAACTGAAATTGCAAACTCTATCTCTTGAGTGGCAGATCAAAGCTTAGTTTAATTCTTTTATCATTAGCTGTAGTCTGACTCATGCAATGCATGACCCAGTAGTCAGCTAGAAATTTGGACCAAGATTATACATAGAATTTGAGACTTCCCCATTCAGGCATTCTCCTTTCTGGGATTTCCCATTTAATTTCTAGTAACTCTGGTTGTCCTTAACTCCGTTCTCTGATTCTTCAGGCAAAGGGCTGTGAGTTTTCTATTAGAATTATAGCTACCCCATTGTTATGGTCTAAATGTTTGTGTCCCCCCACAAAATTTATATGCTGAAGACCTAACCTCCTCGTGTGGCTTTAATTGGAGATGGGACCTCTAAGGAAGTAATTAAGGTTAAATGAGTTCATAAGGGTGAGGCCCTTTCTGATAGGATTAGTGTCCTTTTAAGAAGAAATACCACAGAACTTGCTCTTCCCTCACACACGCACAAAGAAGAGGTCATAGGAGCACACAGTGAGATAACAGTCATCTCCAATTTAAGGAGAAAGTTTCACCAGATGCCAACCCTTCTTACACTTTGACACTGGACTTCCAGTCTCCAGAACTGTGAGAAAATTAATTTCTGTTGTATAAGCCACCCAATCTATGGTATTTTGTTATGGCAGCCTGAGAAGACTAATACAACCATGGAGTCCTGATTTGGCCTATTCTCAGGTTAAAAGCCATAAAACCAGGCAACTCACACTGCATCATTCCTTTTCCTGATGTCACTTCCTTCCAGAATCTGCTTGTTTTTGTTCACTCTCCAACTTCAGGTTGTTGCTTTTGTATTTTGTCCAAAGTTTATACTTATTATCTGGGGAAGAGTCATGTCTGGTAGGAGCTTACCTGGTGATAGAAGTAGAATACATGTTTATCAATTTTATTTGTATTTTCAATAAACCATCTCTTTGTTTATTCTCTCCACTGTATATTTGTTTTCTGTTCCATTAATTTCTGTTTTTCTCTTATCTTAAGATATCTTAAGAAAATTAATTATCTTAAGATATCTTAAGAAAATTAATTATCTTAATTATCTTTCTTTTTATATGTGTGTGGGAGGCTTCATTTACTAAGTTTGTATTCCCAACCTGCTGAAATGTACTTAGATCATTGACTTGTTAGCCTTCTTTTTAACATTATTAAATGAATAATATTATTAGTTATGCTTTTCAAATCCTTTGTATTAAATTTTTTGACTGTTTATTCTATTATTTACTGAATGAAGTTATTAAGATATCACACTACGCTTATAAAAATGCCTTTCTCCTTTTAGTTCTGATTTTTTGCTATATATATTTTAAGTGTATGTTATTAGATTTAATTGTTCTATAGTCCAAAGAATAGTTCTTTTAATGGTATAAAATACTCCTCTTTATCTCTACTAAGACTTTTTGCTTTAAAGACTATATTGTTTAACAGTATTGTCGAGTAGCCCAGCTTTCTTTTGCTTAGTGTTTGCATGGCATTAATTTCATTTCCATATAGAAAGTAAAAGTGTTCTGTTTCCTTATATTTAAGTCTTTTTAAAATAACATAGAGTTATATTTTTATATTTTTATCCAAATTTGTATCCAACCTGTTTTTATCTCATAATTGATTGGCATACTAAGGCAAAATTATGGCAAAATCAATGGAACTCAATTCTGTATTTAGGGTGAACTATAAATAATCACAGTTGTAGAGGCAGACTTAACTATTGCCAGAAAAACTGCTACAACAAAATGGCACCCTAGACCAGACCAGTAAATAATGAGAAATTAATGTCAGCCTCAATGAGAAATTAATGTCAGCCTCACTATGTAATATTTTTATTTATTGTAACTAATTATTGTGAGTTAACTTTATATTATTTTATTTCATAAATTTATTCTCAATGAGATCTTTTTATTATGTTATTTAAAATCCTAAAATAAGGAACCACTATAAGTTATCTAATACACCAAGGATATTAACGTGAAGTCTAGTCTACAGATCCTGCTTTGGTAGCCATGGGTGAGTACCAAATTCTGTACAGATGGATGGCTAAACATTTTTCTGGGGAGAGGTTCTAAAGCTTTGATCTATTTCTTGAAAAAGTCTATGATTCCCTCCAGATTTAAGAACACCTGGTATCCCATCAGTATCTGAATTCAGGTCCCCAGAGTAAATAAAACAGGGGAAGCAATTCCTTTACAGAATCCTGCTTTGACGAGGTTTACTTTTAAAAGAGTATGCCAAACTATATAATAGAATATAATAATATGCACCACACCAAATCCCATCTGAACTGTTATCTCAAACAAACTGCCTAAAATGGCCTGCTGCGTAGCAGTTTTCTATAAACTTGGGTTCTTTTCCTCCCCCTTTATCACTAGCTTTAGTGCACTGAGAAAAAACATCAAGATTGGGAGATTGTGATTATAAAGGAAAAACAGATTTCTTCCAGTAGAATCAATATCTATAAAATTGTTATTTCACTGGTAACATTTGAAATAATAATGAACTGTATAATACTTTCATTTTAAGGCCTATGGGTTGCTCAATAAAAATGTTTAAAGCTTATATATTTTTCAAATATGGCAAATGTTAAGTTTTACCACCATGGAGATTTGGTCTTTATACTGCTATATTAAAGTGTTGTTTGTGCTTTTCTAATTCTTTTTCATTAAAAAAAAGATTTAGCAAATTTGAATAAAATTGGCTAAAAAGTAATTATGAGATCAAATTGATCTGCATTATGTTGGAACATGAAACCACATTAGGGATGCCAGAATTCAGATTGGAGGTAAGTTATCCCCAGTTGATGTTACTAGAATATGGGATTAAGATTTACAAAATCAACTGTTGACTAAATGTTTTGTGATACTTACAAAAGGAGAAATGTGAAATTACCTAATTTGCACTTGCTTGTGGTATGGTAATTTCATGTGAACAGATATTCCTTTAAGCTGCCACATTGCTTTTTTTTTTTTTTTTTTTTTTTTGAAACAGAGTCTCACTCTGTTGCCCAGGCTGGAGTGCACTGGCATGATCTCAGCTCACTGCAGCCTCCGCCTCCCAAGTTCAAGAGATTCTCCTGCCTCAGCCCTCAGCCTCCCAAGTAGCTGGGATTACAGGTGCACGCCACCACGTCTAGCTGGTTTTTGTATTTTTAGTAGAGATAGGGTTTCACTATGTTGGCCAGACTGGTCTCCAACTCCCAACCCCAGGTGATCCACCAGCCTCAGCCTCCTGAAGTGCTGGGATTATAGACATGAGCCACTGCACCCGGCCCACATTGCATTTTAATTAGAGTCCTTTATTTTTGGACAATGACCACAGAATAACTACTCTGACCTTCAGTTTCTTAATTACTCTCTGGAAATGAATGAATCGACAAAAAAAAATAGTTTTTAAGTTTCCAAGCCTGAATCTAAAGGTGACATTACTTCCATGTTCAACTGCAGTACATTCAGCTTTAAAAGACTATTTTACAGAATAAGGAATTTGAATAGAAGAAATTTCTAGAAACATTCTTTACATATAGCCACCGTGTCCCTGAAAAGAAATGCTAGGACACAGGATTTTGTGATTAGTGTTTTTAAAAACACTTAATCCATCTTTCTTGCTTTTCAATTACTTTTTTCAAGGAAAATTACTTTTCTAAACATAAGCAGACACAGGTCTAGAAATATTTGACATGAAATTATAAAGTAGTGTTAAAATTATATCTACAATCAAAGCCGAGCTCCTTATGTAACCTTACCATTGATTTGAAGAACTTCCTTTATTACCTGACAAGCTTGCTCATTCTGTACATTTATTTTGATTTTGTTGGACTTTCAGCCATGCCTATAATGTTGCTGAGGAGTAAAGTATCTTTTATAACCAGAATCATAAATCTTTCTTATAACCAAGAGACTATATCTGTATGGCTATAGATATTAGTTACTGTCAAAAAGTGCCATCTTATCATATTACGAATTAGAAAACTGAAAGACGGTGCATGGCTGACAATACCTATTAAGTTTGGTATTGTCAAACCAAATAATTTTCCTTTCTAATCAGGCAATATTTCTAATTACAAATATTTTTAGATAAATATAAATTATTTGGATATGTATTTAGCCAGATTTTGAAAGCACAACTAGATTAATGTGAGCAAACAAAATGGATATATTTATGAAAAAGTACTCATTCAAATGGAAAAGGTTAAAAAAAAAAAAGACATGGAAAAGAAAAAAAACTGACCCATTTGTTTTATGAGGGGTGAGAGAAAAGTGTTATTTTTATTTCAATTTTTCAAGCAAAGGTTTTACACAGATTCAGTAATGGGATAACTTTCCAGTTTCTTCTTGCCAAGAACAGATGTTATTGTCTAGATGTTCAATGTATGGCCTTTATTGATAGTTTGAATGTCTGCTCATTATTAAGTTACTCTAGAAGAAAAACAAATAGAAATGCTGATAAATAGAACTTTAATAACAGGATGTTTAACCTTTTGTGTTTTACTTAAACTCTTTTCCTGCTCTCAACGTTATGTAATAGTAATTTTATATATATTTATCTCATAAATAGAAACAGGGTCTTGCTCTGTTGCCCAAGCTGGAGGGCAGTGGCATGGTCATAGCTCACTGCAACCACAAATTTGGGCTCAAGAGATCCTCCCACTTTGGTCTTTCCCACTGTATTGGGATTACAGGTGTGAGCCACTGCGCCCAGCCAGTAATTTTATAGATATTTTTGTTTGTTGGTTTTTTGTTTTTTGAGACGGAGTCTCACTCTGTCGCCCAGGCTGGAGTGCAGTGGTGCAATCTCAGCTCACTGCAACCTCAGCCTCCTGGGTTCACGCCATTCTTCTGCCTCAGCCTCCTGAGTAGCTGGGACTACAGGCTCCTGACACCACGCCCAGCTACGTGTGTGTGTGTGTGTGTGTGTGTGTGTGTGTGTGTGTGTGTGTGTGTGTGTTTGTGTATGTGTGTGTGTGTGTGTGTATTTTTAGTAGAGACGGGGTGCCACCGTGTTAGCCGGGGTGGTCTCGGACTCCTGACCTCGTGATCCGCCCGCCTTGGCTTCCCAAAGTGCTGGGATTACAGGCGTGAGCCACCTCGCCCGGTCAGTATTTTTAAAGCAATTGGTTTCTTAGAATTCATCACATCTACTGTATCCTGATTGTGCTGTTCTGAATGAAAACTGGATGCCATAGAAATGCAGAAAGTTAGCCATGAAATTTCATGTACTCTGCCTGTCTCCCTAATATATGTATGCATGGAAGAGTTTTATATAAACTGGGGCTTTAAGTGAGGGCAGTGGAAAGAGAAAAGGGACTCACCAGCACTTTTGTGCTATTTGTCTTTTTGGCCTTAGATACATTCCTACCTTCCCCTGCTTTGCTAGGGTGCCGAGGCTTAAAAATCGTATTAACAAGGCTCCTTTGCCAACTGGCTTCTAGCTAGGTTTAGTCAATGGGAGATACTAGAAGGAGATAGGATGCAAAAGGAAGTAAGAAGCCATGGTATTTCTCCCCCTCTCACCATGCTTTGATAGCTTTTCTATCAACAGCTTCTTCCCTCCGTGGCTCCAGCTTTCTCCAGGTAGATTCACTATGGTTCTAGCTTCTTCTGAGTGGTCCCTGCTCCAGGCTTTGATGCCCCTTCTTTCCTTTGTATCTCTAACCCTAAGATAGTGGCTCTGGCTTCCTGGAGTTGCTCATCTCTGGGCTGCCTTGTGTTTCCTGCTTGCTCTTTTAGTTCCTCTAACACCTTTGTAGCTAGGGCATATCCAGTTATTTCCCAAGTTGCTGTGGCAAATACTACTAAGCCCACTTTCTCCTATATGCTTCCACCTCCAGTTTGTTTATTAAGCCACAAGGAGACTGCAGTCTTAGGATGGGAGAGGAAAAGGAAGACACCCAAAATGACATGGATACATTGTCTAATGAAAAGGGAGAATAAAAGTAAAACTGATACCAGCACCACACACACATATTAATTTTTTAAAAATTGGCATTTAATCTCTGCATAATTGGTCTTTCCTTACACTTGCTTTAAGTCAAAAGCTCAAATAGATGGATTCCAGATTGTATTATATTACCATCTTTCTATCTAGGTTCATGAGTAGGGCTAATTCCCCTCTCTGACTACCAAAAGATACAAGGAGGATCCAGTATTAATAGTGACTCTGGCCCTGGTTGTGGTAGGAGGTTAATGAAACTTAGAATATGTGCTTGGAGAGCCTGAAACTCCCACTGAGAATTAATTTTGTTTGCTCATTTCCTAATGGTCTTTGTGGTCATTAGACTTACTGTTATTTGGCCCTAGATACATTTTCTTTTTACTTTTGGCTTTTGTTACACAGGGTTCAGAGCTGAAAGCATCTACTTCTTAAAACTACTGAGTGGTTTTCTAATGGTCACAGTATGTGGGAACTGAGCATTCTGCAAAGCTAAATGTCATTTGGTACAAATTATATTGGGTAATTTGTAACCCATCTAACTGCTCTTTCTTGATGAGCAAATTCTCTCTCTCTCTTGTGTGTGTGTGTTTTGCATGTATGAATATACTGGGAGTGGGAGTCAGGTATGATTTTTTAAATTTGACTTTCATTCTCTATTAAAGGGCATGAATTCACCAGACATTCATAACCATCTTTATAATAAGAAATAAGTGTACTAAAAACTTTGTTGTGTTTCAAATTAGAAAACTAAGAGCATGTTGCTGTAATCTTGGACACATGTTTCTATCTCTATGGTGACTGTGTTTTCCAAACCAAAATTTAGGACATGTGTTATGGCAAAGAATTTCCTTTAAAATTGTTCTTAACACATGGACACAGGGAGGGGAACATCACACACTGGGGCCTGTTGAGGGGTGGAGGGCTAGGGGAGGGATAGCATTAGGAGAAATACCTAATGTAGATGACAGGTTGATGGGTGCAGCAAACCACAATGGCACGTGTATACCTATGTAACAAACTTACATGTTCTGCACATGTATCCCAGAATTTAAACAAATTTACAAGAAAAAAACAAACAACCACATCAAAAAGTGGGCAAAGGACATGAACAGACACTTCTCAAAAGAAGACATTTATGCAGCCAAAAAACACATGAAAAAATGCTCACCATCACTGGCCATCAGAGAAATGCAAGTCAAAACCACAATGAGATACCATCTCACACCAGTTAGAATGGCAATCATTAAAAAGTCAGGAAACAACAGGTGCTGGAGAGGATGTGGAGAAATAGGAACACTTTTACACTGTTAGTGGGACTGTAAACTAGTTCAACCATTGTGGAAGTCAGTGTGGCGATTCCTCAGGGATCTAGAACTAGAAATACCATTTGACCCAGCCATCCCATTACTGGGTATATACCCAAAGGATTATAAATCATGCTGCTATAAAGACACATGCACACATATGTTTATTGTGGCACCATTCACAATAGCAAAGACTTGGAACCAACCCAAATGTCCAACAATGATAGACTGGATTAAGAAAATGTGGCACATATACACCATGGAACACTATGCAGCCATAAAAAAGGATGAGTTCATGTCCTTTGTAGGGACATGGATGAAATTGGAAATCATAATTCTCAGTAAACTATCGCAAGGACAAAAAACCAAACACCGCTTGTTCTCACTCATAGGTGGGAATTGAACAATGAGAACACATGGACACAGGAAGGGGAACATCACACTCTGGGGACTGTTGTGGGGTGGGGGGAGGGGGGAGGGATAGCATTAGGAGATATACCTAATGCTAAATGACGAGTTAATGGTGCAGCACACCAGCATGGCACATGTATACATATGTAACAAACCTGCACATTGTGCACATGCACCCTAAAACTTGAAGTATAATAATAATAAAATAAAATAAAAAATAAAAAAATTTAAAAAAAAAAGATTTTTTTTTTTTGGAGATAGAGTCTTGCTCTGCCGCCCAGACTAGAGTGCAGTGGCACGATCTCGGCTCACCACAAGCTCCGCCTCCCGGGTTCACGCCATTCTCCTGCCTCAGCCTCCCAAGTAGCTGGGACTGCATGCATCCGCCACCACGCCCGGCTAATTTTTTGTATTTTTAGTAGAGACGAGGTTTCACCATGTTAGCCAGGATGGTCTCGATCTCCTGACCTCATGATCTGCCTGCCTCAGCCTCCCAAAAAAAAGATTCTTAAATTGTACTTATGTAATCACTCTTATAAGGGTATAAAAATTCAACTACATTTCATGCTCATTTTATAATTGTATTTTTAAAGAGAAAAATGTTTGTAAATAAGAATTAGTCTTAGAAAACCCATGATATTGACTCCTACTATGTCTTTTCATTCTTCTAAGAAATGATCCTATTTGTTGGCCTTATTTCATAATCCATAGAAGGACTAGGAAAAAATGGAATAGTCATTGGCTCATTCGGAAAACAATAATGTTACTTAGTTATAATACTGGAATAGCGGGTATTTAAGAATCAAAATTTTGGCTGGGCATGCTGGCTCGCACTTGTAATCCCATCGTGTTGGGAGGCCAAGGTGGGAGGACTGCTTGAGCCCAAGAGTTCAAGATAAGCCTGGGCAACATAGTGAGACACTATCTTTAAAAAGTTTTCTTTTAAAAAATAATCAAAATTCACATGCAGATTAAACTGGAAGCTGAAAATTCGATCCCTTAAAATAGCCCCCTTAATATATCCCCTTTGTTCTGAGCTGCAGTAATATGCTTCTAAGAGTTAAGAAGAAAAATAAATCATAGCAAATAGTCTCTTCTCTAGGAAAAAGGTATAAACTAAACTTTCCTCAAAACAAGATTAAAATCAGTTAGAAAAATAAGGCAAATCCCATCCAGGTCTTTCGTGCAAACGAGTTTTCCAAGTGAAAAAGTATAAGGACGCAGTTCCTGGGTAAGATACGAAGGCTGTTATGAAGGGAATCACTGGCCAGAGAAGGATCCGCAAGATATAAATTCCCCGCCCCATTCAAGAACAATGTTGAGCCTAAATGGGATGCTCATTGTAAGCTCTGAATCTTCATCTGGGATGCTCATGTAGGAAGGTGCCTGTGGAACCAGGTATCAAGAGTCAGAAGACAAGCATCAAAAGCCATAAGGGGGTTTGAGGAACTCTTTCAAGAATAAAACTGGAAGGTATATCTCCATGGTTCCTAAATACCAGCTAGAGAGAAAAACGGGAAGTATGCATCAGGAACTTTGGCCTAAAGAAGATGTGTGACTTCTTAAACTTTTGTAGCTTTTTCATGCTTATTACCTATTTTTATTTGCATTTCTGGCAATAGATAAGATATTCTCTTGCTTATTGTCCTGGAAACAAGAAGAAGCAGGGAAACAAGAAGCAGCAACCTGCTTCTTCTAGGACAATAAGAGACAATAAGAGAATCCAGGAGAGATTTCTACTGGGTTTTCCAGGACAATAAGAGAATCTGGGGAGAGCACATCTAACTTGGTGTCCTAGTTGGTGAAAGAAGAATTCGAGGATTACGGAGGAAAGAAAAATAATAAATCCATGGAGCTGGAGGAAAAGTGCCAAGAAGGGGAGTTATGGACTAAGGACTTGGGAAAGAGAAGGAGCCCAGAAGTTAATCTGGAAGTGGGCACCTTTGCTCACACCAGAGTCTCATCGGTAGCCCCTTACTAGCTCACTTTCCAAGCTCCTTGACTCCACAAATGCTATAATAGCAGCAGAGTGTATATGAGAAAGCATTTTCTATCAGCTAGTTGGTTATTAGGTCATTCAGTCTTATTTGCTACCCCACCTCCCCTGTCTCCATTGTAATCCCATTAAGAGCAGAAACTACCCCATTCCTTTCCTTATGACTCTGTATTATCTATAACTATGACACCCACACACTTTTTATAAATATAGTAATGAGCCCAGGAGTTCAAGATGAGCCTGGGCAACATATGAGACCCTATCTTTAAAAAGTTTTCTTTTAAAAAAGAATCAAAATCCAATGTCTTATGTTGCCCCTTCAGCTCAGTGCCATTCCCAGAAGGAATGAACAAAGGAATGTCCCAAAAGAACAGAAGAATGGAATGGGGACAAGATGGATTGGGATAGCCAAGTGCTCAGTACATTTTTTAAAAAGAAGTTTCTCTCTCAGAACAGAAGTGACTTCTCAAGAGTTAGAGACCCAACTCTGCACAGATAGAGAAAGGCTGCTTGGGTCTCTAATTTGCATTCAAAGCCCAGGTCTTAGCTCAAATTTCTTTCCCATTAGTATACAGAGTTATCTTCAGTACAGTCATTTTCAAGGTGAGCTATTTTTCCATATTTTTATCCCAACATTTTATTATGAAAAATTTTAAACATACAACATGTATCCACCATCTGAATTATATAATCAGTATATTACTATGCTTGCTTTGCCACAAATCTGTCTAGCCATCAAGTCATTGTTGTATGCATTTCAAAATCCAAACATCATAACTTCCCCCGAAATACTTTAGTATGTATATTAGCTAGAACATTTGCTTATAGATTTTAATGCAAAATTTACATGTAATATACAAATCTTAAGTGTATATCTGCTAAGTTTCTTTCATCTGCTGAGTTCTGAGAAATACATAATCAGTGTGATCCTAACTCCTATTAAAATACAGTATTATATATTACATTAGATTCTCTCTAGCATTATCATATTCCCAGAGAGTTCCCTCATGCCCTTTTGCAGTCAATTCCCACCCTTCAATCTCTGCCAGAGTCATCAGCTCTGATTTTTTTTCCTAGATGAGAGTATTTTCATGCTTGACAGAGTTGTGCAAATAATGGCTTTAGTGATGAACCTTTGTAGTTGGCCAAATTTTAGGGACATTTGGCTTCAACCCAACAAAAAGTTAACATTCTTAAATGACTGATTATTGTAGATAAATAAGAATTATTCTATTGCATAAGTCATCTTCCTCTCCTGCTTATTCATACCTAATAGCCTAGATAAGAAATAAAGTACACATTGTCTCTGCCTGATAAATCAGCAATTTCATTTGTCTCATAATGAAGGGTCAAGGAAGTTCTTCAATTTCTGAATATAGTCATGTGATTACTGGTCTCAGAACACAGAACAAAAAGAGAACAGATTTTGTTACTACTAACAAGCTCTTTTCGGCCAATTATTCTTCCTTATCAATAATATTAATATCCTAGAAAAAATGTAAATACGATAACTACATCTTGCCACTCCTGTGTGTAAGTTAAGAATTATGGAAGGCTTATGATTCTTCTTGTAAGTCAGTGGGAAGCTGAGTAGGGAGTTACTATTGAATTGTGCTCAGGAATGGTACCTAATGGCTTACGAGAGTGAATCTGACTGCTAAAATGGCAACTGCCTGCAGGATGTGGCTTTCCGACCCATTGTTTTGCAAATTAAATGGAAAGTTTTTGACCCCTGTGGCATCTTTATGTCCAACACGTGATCTTTGCAGTGGTCTTTGTTTGGGTTTTCTAATAGCTGGTATCATTCTTCCTCCTTATCCCACTGAGTTAAGTTTCTTTCTGGATTCTCTTTGCTAAGTCCCCTACAGCCCCTCCCCATGTCTCTTTTTCCACGCATCATTTCATGTTTTATTCCCATCATTGGACTTGCCATTTCTTCATGTAAATTCCCACCCCTTCCATTCTCCCCCATCACTCTCAAGTTGCCCCCCTTCACTTATTACCCTTTTTGTTTCTCTTTCCTGCTGCTTAATGATTTTTCCTGCTGATGAGCTGTGCTCACAATACTGAGAGGCCTGCAGCACCACTGGGCTTGTTGCTTGCTCATGGGGTGCTCCGAGCAGATGGAAGTAGAATTCAGTCATGCTCATCACAGGACAGCTCTGCGATGGTGTGTGAATCTTGTAACATTCCATCAGCTTTTTCGTTAATGAACCTATGGGCTTCCCTTTTTTAATTATTAAATTGGAGTTTGATACTCTGGAAAGCATTTTTCTGTTGAAGACTTATTTTTGGTGCTGTATTTCAGAAACAGAAATAATCCTGACGTTTATACACACAGCACACCAGATTCAGTGTTTTTTATGATATTTGTATAGCTCTATTCTTTGTAAAGTGTATTCTTACACAGTGTCTAATTGAGTCTAGTATTAATGATTATCAGACTAGGGTCATTATTTTTATGATTGTCACTTTTAAGTGAAGAATGTCCACAAGGATTACAGTGAGGGAGAATCTCAGAATAACTATGCTTAGCCAGTCAGTACAGAAGCTAATCAGGAGAATACCTCTTTTATAAGAGGCTAATGAAAAATTTACTTTTCCCCCACCCCACTGGGTTTTCCTCCACTGAATCAACAGGTAAAATAAAAGCTGTCCCATGAGACTGGGATCTTTCTTAAACACCTTGCAGTGGTCAGGAAGTTGCTATTCCAATAATTCATCAGATGCCAATATATAATGTGCTGGGACATTTAGCCATATCAGTTAACTGTCATGAATATACAGACATTCTGCTCTTGACCTTAAAGATATGCTCCTAGAAAAATTGCACGTAGATCAAATTATTGTACATGAAATTGTGTTGTAAAACACACCAGGGTAATTTGCTATTTAAAGAAATCTTGTAGTTTTTCTCGGTGTAAAGAATTCTTTCATGATGCAAATAATCCACATTTTATTTGTAAATGTAGGGCTCTAGGCATGAGTTTGTGTGAAGGACACATCAATTTTAATGGACTTAAGTAGATGGTGGTTTAAGACACACTTTTCTGAACCACCCAGGGGATCCCAGCAACTGTTCAGTCAAACAAAGGGACAAATTAACCCCTCTGGAGCAATAGAATTCTGCCATTATTTAATGAGTTGATATGAGAATAGCAGGTCCTTTCCCTTCTCCTGCAGTGGTTTTACCTTTCCCAGTAATTGTTTCCTTAGAGTAAACTTGAGCTTTATATTTGTGAAAAGCAGAAGGAATTATTTTCAACAAACCACATGTGCATCAAATACCCTTGAACTAAGCATACAAGGATATACAAGTGCTTTCCTTGCATTTCCTGAGGTAGAGTTCAGAATGTTACCTTTAAGCCTCTGAATGCTCCTTAAGCAGGCTTTGTAATTCCTAGTTTATGCCCTTTGAACCAACCCTAAATTCTCTCAATCCTTTGCTCGTTTTCAGTTCACGGACTAACCACCACTATGCCCTTGGATTATTTACTTCCTCTGTTTTCATCAACATATGCCAAATTCCACTTTCATTAAAGAATTTAAATCTAACTAATAAACAATTATCCTTGATGAGCAAGGTATTTCTAAGATACTCACTGCTGAGGAAAGTATAGTTTGTAACCAAGTTATGTTCCAGAAGATTGTCCCACCTCCACTGTGGGTTAATGTCCTTTCCAAGGAGGCAGCCTCGAGAACTTTAGAGCTAATGTTCTTCAGGGAGGGAGGTACCAACTGGCTACCTATCAGCTGAGTGTAGAAACAACTGAGGGTGAAGTAAATTTGCCTCAGCTACCAGGATCCTTTGACACTACGCCTTCTGGTTTCTGTGGCACAATCGATCAAGACAGAGACCTTTAAGTGTCCAGATTTTGTTGGCTACATTTAGCTGTATCCCAAGCTACAAGAGTTAAGTAATGCCCTAGTCCGTGCCCAGGAGGGACTTCCATAAAGTTTTTGTAAGTTGCCAACTCTCAGTGACTTCACAAGTCTTTTCCCAATTCATCCTCTCCCAGAAGCAACCACATGGGAGACAAGTATGAAAATTATACTTAAGGAGATAAAATTAATGAACTGGGTGCCACAATTGGTGCAATTTTTACTTTTTTTTTCCTAGGAGGTCTCTTATCTTGTTCTGTGACCTCAACCCAATCTTTGATATTTCAGCTAAATTGTGGCCAAAATCCTTTGCTCTCCATGACAAACTTCTAAAATCCTAAATTCTAGATTTGACAAAACATATAGGAAAGGACAAATATTCTTTACCTTTCTCATGGAAACTTATTTTGAAAGGGTGGGGGTTATAACTGTGTTTGACATCTTTAGATATGTCTGTTTTAGTAGAGATATTACAACTCAGTCAGGAGAGAGGAAAAAGAAAAAGAGGACTGCATCTGCAGATGCCATTCTTCAGAGAACGTCAGCTCCCTGGCAGCAAGTTGGAGTTGGGAAGCATACAAAGCTTGAAGATCAGACCCCTATGAATGTAATACTTACATTTCTTTAATATTATCCCTCCATGTGATTAATATTAATCCTCAATTATGTCTCCACAATTCTCAATATAGACACTTGGAGGCTGCCACAATGTTACGTAAGAGGAATGGAGTTAAAAGTCATTTTCTTTTTATATACTTTACTATTTTAAAAAATTTTCCATGATGAGAGAACAGATACCATCTATATAACCTATAGTTATATTTATGTACAAATATAATAAATACCTAGATATACCTAGATTTATATGTTTTATAAATTTATGTATAAATACAGGTAATATATGCTACATATATAATTATTTTTTTAAATTAAAAATTACTAAAGGAGGCCAGGTGTGGTGGCCCATGCCTGTAATCCCAGCACTTTGGAAGGCCAAGGCAGGAGGATCATGTGAGCCCCAGAGTTCAAGACCATCCTGAGCAGCATAGTTAAAACCTGTCTCTACAAAAAATGAAAACAGCCAGGCATGGTGGTGCACACCCGCAGTCCCAGCTACTCTGAGGCTAAGGCAACAGAATCACTTTAGCCAATGACTTCAAGGTTATAGTGAGCTATGATAGCACACTGAACTCCAGCTTGAGGGACAGAGTGAGACCCTGTCTCAAAAAAGAAAAAAAAAGTAGAAGGAAAAACAGCAATCCTCTATTGCATATCAAAATCTAAATGTCCTCTCACATATCTCTTACATGAGAACGTACCTTCTCTTTATGTATCTTCAATGGATTTCTGCTTCAACAAAGCACTTACTGCCTTCTGCCTGCCCCATTCTCCCGTTCCTAACATACAAGACTCTTATTTTTATCTCCTTTATGCCACTCACATTTCTCAGCCAAATCATGCACTTTCCTAATCTCAATGCTCAACTAAAACTTTACTTTCTTCAACAAATTTTCCTTTATCAGTCCCACCCTAAAATTCATTTTGTCAAACTTCTGTACCCTGCACTCACATATACTTGCCTATGTGTTACATTGTGAATGTAAATATTTTATTGGGGGATAATGCACACACAGACAAGTGCATAAGTCCTAAGTGTACAGCTGGAGGAATTTCACAAAGCAAAATCCAGATCAAGAGCATGACCAGCAACGCAGCAGCTCTCCCCATGCTCCATTTTGGGTACTTTCCTCCTACCTCTACCAAGAGGAACCGTTATCTTGATTTTTTTTTTTTTAGACGGAGTTTCACTCTTATTGCCCAGGCTGGAGTGCAATGGCACAATCTCAGCTCACTGCAACCTCTGCCTCCCGAGTTCAAGTGATTCTCCTGCCTCAGCCTCCTGAGTAGCTGGGATTACAGACATGCGCCACCATGCCTGGCTAATTTTGAATTTTCAGTAGAGACAGGGTTTCTCCATGTTGATCAGGCTAGTCTCAAACTCCCAACCTCAGGTGATCCACCCGCCGTGGCCTCCCAAAGTGCTGGGATTACAGTTGTGAGCCACTGTGGCCAGCCCATTATCTTGAATTTTAACACTGTAGATTATTTTTGCCTGTACAGCGTATACTCTTTTATATCTGGCTTTCACTCAACATTATGATTTTAAGATTAATCCATTGTTGTTTCATATGGCAGTACTTTGTTCATTTTTGTTGCTGTGTAATATCCCATTGAATGATTATTCCTGTTCATTTGAATTTTGATGGACATTTGGTTTATTTCCAGTTTGGGGCTATTGTGAATAGTGCTGACATGAATACTCTCACATATGTCTTTTGGAGAACAGAAGAACATTTTCCTCTTCAGTATATATCTAGGAGTAGAATTGCTGGATCATGTATGTGCATGTGCTTAGCTTTAGAAGATCATTTCAAATAGTTTTACAAACATGCAATGTTGTTTTTTTAAAATTATCTCAAGCTAGAGTTCTTTGATGGTCAATCATATGGCAGTCAATGTTGATGCCAAGCCTGGTGGACAGCCATGTCACACCTGACTCCCAGTGCTCAGCTCATAGGTAGGGAGCCATCCACTCCAAATCCTAAAACCTGCTTAGTTAGCATAGCTTACTTTATCTCATTAACCCCATCTAGTGAACACGAAAGTCATTTTTATTTGTCTACATGATGTGCTCATAATCAGCCATAAGTCTCTTGTAAACAAGAACATTATACTAAGTCTTTAGCATTTTCTTCAACTCATCAGCCCCATTTTCCACCTTCCTTGAAGACTACAGCTTTAGATGTTTGTTATGATATGAACACCTGACTCTGGACTTCTGCCTGGGGTTTTGGCGCATCTCCTATGTTTCTATCCATCCCTGTTTCTATTTCCTGCCCTAGTGGCAGCATGTCAATTCTGTTTTTCTCTCCACACTTCTCTCCTTCTCCACAAGGAGAGAGAACAGTTATGGATACAGGATGGACTGTTCTTAAATGTTTTTACACTAAGGAAACTTCTTTGTGTTTACATGTGCTCATAAGTTCCATTAACACTAATAGCCAGATGTTTTTTTGTGGAATATGCAGGCCTCTGCATTTTGTAAGGAAAAGCTGGATTGTATTCTCTTAAATACATTTTTTCTTTCCTTCATTTTAGGCTTTAAACAAAGTAGAATAGAAAGTCCTTTTAGATAAAATGATATTATATTATGTGATTACAGTAAATGCATGTAATGTACAACATTTATATTCCCAGCATTCTTCACATGCCTCATATAATGAACATCTTACTACTTAAATTCTCACTACTAAAATTCACAGTAGGATAATCACTTACTCTATATATGTCAGGGCAAACATGACTGAGAACTTTTGCATTCAATTTGGCTTGAAGTAATTCTTATTTATGAAATAAATGGAAAAATTATCTCCAAAGTAATACATGTTCTAGGAGATTACATAATATTTAAGAGAATAAGCTGATTTTCCATTCTAACATTTTTTTAACTAAAACATTGCAATGTAGAATTTATACAAGTCAGAGACAGGGCTGCCTTATATACTTGACACTCAGCTGGACACCTGTCCTGTGAATTTAGGGAAGTTCCTCACCTCTCTGTGTCTCAGTTTCCTCTCAGTGCACAAATAAGAATGTTATTTGTCCTGCTTTATTTCACAAAGGTGAAAAGATTACAAACAATGCTGTCATAAACATTTTATGCACATTTATTCATATAACAAATATTTAATGAGCAACTACTGTGGACCAGGTATTGTTCTAGGTACCAGGACACTGCAGTAAACAAAAATAAACCAAAACCCTGCCTTTATGAGTGTAAGTTCATTTATCTACATAAATCTACATACATAAATAAGAAAATAAATAGAATGTACATTATGTTAATGATAAGTGCTAATGTAAAAGAAAGTGAAATTGGGAAGGGAATACAGAATAAAGGAGCAAGGAAGACCTCAATGACAGTTGACATTCAAGTAAAAACTGGAAAGGAATAAGAAGATGTCTAGGGTGCACCTTAAGGAAGAGCATTCCAGGCAGAATAAACAGCCAGTGCAAATGCCCAGAGGTAGAAATGTGCCAGGTGTGTCCTAGAAACAAGGAGGCCAGTGTGGCTAAAACAGACGAGGAGGAAAAATGGCAGACAACGGCATCAGGGAGGTAACCAGGAGCAGACCAGAGAGTGCCGTACCTCCCTAAGTACATGTGCTAGTTTCTTCAGGATGTGTACCCAGGAAGTGGCACTGCTGGGTTGTAAGATGGGAACATCTGCAGTTTTGCTAGATATTGCCAAATTGCTCTTAAGTGTACATTTTCACACTTTTATCAGCTTTTGAATTCCTGTTGTTTCACATCTTTCTAATTCTTGACATTTTCAGACTTTTAAATTTTTGGACATCTGATAGATATGAAATGGTATCTATCACAGTTTCAAGGTATTTGTTAAATGCTTTCTATTGCAGTATTTGGGATATTTCCTCAAATGCTAGTGAGTTTAAAGATCTTTTCATCTGCTTATTGGCCATTCCAGATTTCTCCTTTTATAAATTGTGTTTATATTCTAATTTTCTATTACATTGTTTCTTTTTTTCCTGTTGAAGTGAAATTTTTACATGTCCTAAATATTCCTCCTTTGTTAAACACACTATTCTTCAAGCTTGTGACTTGTCTACTTTGTTCCTACAGTGTTTACTGATGTATTGAAGTTTTACATTTTAATGTATCAAATTTGTTTATCTTTTCCTTTACAGTTCATCCTTTTTTTCTTGAGAAATACTTCCTTATATACACAAGATATTCACCATCTCTGTTGTTTCTCCTGATGGCCTAACATTTTAGTTTTTATACTTAGGAATTCTGTCTCCCTGGAATGATGTGAGACAGATTTTTTTTTCTATTGGGTTAACCACCTGTCTCAGTACCTCCTTCCTCTTTAGCAAAACACAGCGCTATAATTTGTTAAGCTCCACATATGTGTTTCCTGGATTCTTTAACCTCTCTTGTTGGTCAAATTTTTTTCTCTACAATAGTACTACATCATCTTAATTGCTATAGCTTTATAATTAGTCTTGATAGCTATGTATACATACACAAATATATATTCCAAACTTGAACAATTTGGACAAGTGGATGATTTCTGCCACCCTGTTCTTCAAAATTGTCTTGGTTATTTCTCAATCCTTTGCTCCCCTATGACTATTTTATAATCCTTGTTTTCAAGTACTATAGGAAAACATTTTGGAATTTTTATTGAAATTGCATTGAATTTAGGAATGTTAATGTCTTTATGATATCGAGTCTACTTATTTACAAATGTGGTATATCTTTTCATTTGTTTAGGTTTTTTAAAAGGTCATTCATTAAAGTTTTGTAATTTTTACCATACACTTCATGTACAGATTTTGTTAGATTTATTTCTAGGAGCCATTTTTGCAGTTGCCACATTGTAAAGGGCACCTCTTTTTATATTTTTATAGATTGTCACTGTTTGTTCCTGATGAATAAGGAATTCAATTTTTTATATTGATCTAATAGCCAGTAAGCTTGCTGAGCTCTTATTAACTCTAATAATTTTACTATAGATGCTCTTGGGTTTTCTATGCTGTAAAACATATCATCTGAGAATAACAATTTCATTTCTTCCTTTGTGATGCATAAACATTATATTTCTTTATCTCATTTTAATCCATTGACTAGGCCCCTCCATACAATCTTAAAGCAGAGGGCATTTTTTGCTCATTTCTAATTTTAAAGGGAATGTCTAACATTTCACCATTATGTATGTACTATAAAAGCTTTTTATCAATATATTTCACAAACTTAATAAAATTCTTTCTATTCCTACTTCACTGAGAATTTTTATCATGGATACTCAATTTTATCAGATGCCTCTTTGCTTTTATTGAGATGCTCATACAGTCTTACTTCCTAAATTTATCAAGATAAATTTAACTGTCTTGATGCACTTTCTAATGGATTGCTGGAATTGGTTTCTTAATACTTTGCAACAATTTTCTTTTCAATATTCCATGTTGTTTGAGAAAAAATATGTATTTTCTAATTGGTGAGTGCAAGTCTGTGTGTGTGCATGCATGTGTATGTGTGTCTCCAATAGATCAAGGCTGTTAATTATGTTGTTGTAATTTTCTATATCCTTAATGAATTTTTGTTTCCTTCGTCTATCAATTACTGACAGTATCGTATTCAGATCTCCCTCAACAATTATGGATTTGTCAATTTCTCATTAGCATGTAAATTTTATCTCTGAATATTTTATTAGACATATACAAGTTAGAAATGTTATCTCTTTCTAGTGAAGTGAGACTTTATTATGGAGGTAGAGAAAGACCATTTTATCTCTTTAACTCTGAAAATCCTTTCTGCCCTAAAAACTATTTTACCTAATAATTTACCAACAAAAGCTTCCTTATGGTTGAAACCTACCCAATGTATTGTTTTGCATTTTTTCCTTTCAACCTTCCTGAGTCCCTGTGTTTTAAATGTGTCCCTCATAAGCAGACTACATTTGGGTTTCCTATAATCCAATTACTGGTTTTTTTTTAAATATACTTTAAGATCTAGGGTACATGTGCACAATGTGCAGGTTTGATACATAGGTACACTTGTGCCATGTTGGTTTGCTGCACCCATCAATTCATCATTTACATTAAGTATGTCTCCTAATGCTATTCCTCCCCTAGCCCCCCACACACCAACAGGCCCCAGTGTGTGATGTTCCCCGCCCTGTGTTCAAGTGATCTCATTATTCAATTCCCACCTATATGTGAGAACATGCAGTGTTTGGTTTTCTGTCCTTGTGATAGTTTGCTGAGAATGATGGTTTCCAGCTTCATCCATGTCCCTGCAAAGGACATGAACTCATCCTTTTTTATGGCTGCATAGTGTTCCATGGTGTATTATGTGCCACATTTTCTGTATCTAGTCTATCACTGATGGACATTTGGGTTCGTTCCAAGTCTTTGCTATTGTGAATAGTACTGCAATAAACATACAGGTGCATGTGTCTTTATGGTAGCATGATTTATAATCCTTTGGGTATATACCCAATAATTGGATTACTGGGTCAAATGGCAATTCTTGTTCTAGATCCTTGAGGAATTGCCACATTGTCTTCCACAATGGTTGAACGAATTTACACTCCCACCAACAATTAAAAGCTTTCCTATTTCTCCATATCCTCTCCAGCATATGTTGTTTCCTGACTTTTTAATGATTGCCATTCTAACTGGCATGAGATGGTATCTCAGTGTGGTTTTGATTTGCATTTCTCTGATGACCAGCGATAATGAGCATTTTTTTCATGTGTCTGTTGGCAGCATAGATGTCTTCTTTTGAGAAGTGTCTGTTCATATCCTTCGCCGACTTTTGGATGGGTTTTGAGTTCTTTGTAGATTCTGGATATTAGCCCTTTGTCAGATGAGTAGATTGCAAAAATTTTCTCCCATTCTGTAGGTTGCCTCTTCACTCTGATGGTAGTTTCTTTTGCTGTGCAGAAGCTCTTTAGTTTAATTAGATCCCATTTGTCTATTTTGGCTTTTGTTGCCATTGCTTTTGGTGTTTTAGTCCTGAAGTCCTTGCCCATGCCTATGTCCTGAATGGTATTGCCTAGGTTTTCTTCTAGGGTTTTTATGGTTTTAGGTCTAACATTTAAGTCTTTAATCCATCTTGAATTAATTTTTTGTATAAGATGTAAGGAAGGGATCCAGTTTCAGCTTTCTACATATGGCTAGCCAGTTTTCCCAGCACCATTTATTAAGTAGAGAATCCTTTCCCCATTGCTTGTTTTTGTTAGGTTTCTCAAAGATCAGATGGTTGTAGATGTGTGGTGTTATTTCTGAGGCCTCTGTTCTGTTCTATTGGTCTATATATCTGTTTTGGTACCAGTGCCATGCCGTTTTGGTTACTGTAGCCTTGTAGTATAGTTTGAAGTCAGGTAGCGTGATGCCTCCAGCTTTGTTCTTTTTGCTTAGGATTGTCTTGGCAATGCAGGCTCTTTTTTGGTTCCACGTGAACTTTAAAGTAGTTTTTTCCAATTCTGTGAAGAAAGTCATTGGTAGCTTGATGGGGATGGCATTGAATCTATGAATTACTTTGGGCAGTATGACCATTTTCCCAACATTGATTCTTCGTATCCATGAGCATGGAATATTCTTCCATTTATTTGTATCCTCTTTTATTTAGTTGAGCAGTGGTTTCTAGTTCTCCTTGAAGAGGTCCTTTACATCCCTTGTAAGTTGGATTCCTAGGTATTTTATTCTCTTTGAAGCAATTGTGAATGGGAGTTCACTCTTGATTTGGCTCTCTGTCTGTTAATGGTGTGTAGGAATGCTAGTGATTTTTGCACATTGATTTTGTATCCTGAGACTTTGCTGAAGTTGTTTATCTCTTAAGGAGATTTTGGGCTGAGACGACGGGGTTTTCTAAATATACAATCATGTCATCTGCAAACAGGGAAAATATGACTTCCTCATTTCCTAACTGAATACCCTTTCTTTCTCTTGCCTGATTTCCCTGGC
Source organism: Homo sapiens (assembly GCF_000001405.40). Lineage (NCBI taxonomy): Eukaryota > Metazoa > Chordata > Mammalia > Primates > Hominidae > Homo > Homo sapiens. Next base: position 159,571,155 of record NC_000003.12, read on the forward strand.
CAGAGCTTCCAACACTATGTTGAATAGGAGTGGTGAGAGAGGGCATCCTTGTCTTGTTCCGGTTTTCAAGGGAATGCTTCCAGTTTTTGCCCATTCAGTATATTGGCTGTGGGTTTGTCACAAATAGCTATTATTTTGAGATACGTCCCATCAATACCTAGTTTATTGAGAGTTTTTAGCATGAAGATCTGTTGAATTTTGTCAAAGGCCTTTTCTGCATCTATTGAGATAATCATGTCGTTTTTATCATTGGTTCTGTTTATATGAAGGATTACATTTATTGATTTGCATATGTTGAACCAGCCTTGCATCCCAGGGATGAAGTCCACTTGATTATGGTGGATAAGCTTTTGATGTGCTGCTGGATTCGGTTTGCCAGTATTTTATTGAGGATTTTCACATCAATGTTCATCAGGGATATTGATCTAAAATTCTTTTTTGTTGTGTCTCTGCCAGGCTTTGGTATCAGGATGATGTTGGCCTCATAAAATGAGTTAGGGAGGATTCCCTCTTTGTCTATTGATTGGAATAGTTTCAGAAGGAATGGTACTAGCTCCTCTTTGTACCTCTGGTAAAATTCGGCTGTGAATCTGTCTGGTCCTGGACTTTTTTTGGTTGGTAGGCTATTAATTATTGCCTCAATTTCAGAGCCTGTTATTGGTCTATTCAGAGATTCAACTTCTTCCTGGTTTAGTCCTGGTAGGGTGTATGTGTCGAGGAATTTATCCATTTCTTCTAGATTTTCTAGTTTATTTGTATAGAGGTGTTTCTGGTATTCTCTGATGGTAGTTTGTATTTCTGTGGGATCGGTGGTGATATCTCCTTTATCATTTTTTATTGCGTCTATTTGATTCTTCTCTCTTTTCTTCTTTATTAGTCTTGCTAGCAGTCTGTCAATTTTGTTGATCTTTTCAAAAAACCAGCTCCTGGATTGATTTTTTTGAAGGGTTTTTTTATGTCTCTGTCTCTTTCAGTTCTGCTCTGATCTTAGTTATTTCTTGCCTTCTGCTAGCTTTTGAATGTGTTTGCTCTTCTCTATTCCTTTTAATTGTGATGTTATGGTGTCAATTTTAGATCTTTCCTGCTTTCTCTTGTGGGCATTTAGTGCTATAAATTTCCCTCTAAACACTGCTTTAGCTGTGTCCCAGAGATTCTGGTATGTTGTGTCTTTGTTCTCATTGGTTTCAAAGAACATCTTTATTTCTGCCTTCATTTCATTATTTACCCAGTCGTCATTCAGGAGCAAGTTGTTAAGTTTCCATGTAGTTGTGTAGTTTTGAGTTTCTTAATCCTGAGTTCTAATTTGATTGCACTGTGGTCTGAGAGACAGTTTGTTGTGATTTCTGTTCTTTTACATTTGCTGAGGAATGCTTTACTTCCTATTATGTGGTCAATTTTAGAATAAGTGTGATGTGGTGCTGAGAAGAATGTATATTCTGTTTATTTGGGATGGAGAGTTCTGTAGGTATCTATTAGGTCTGCTTGTTGCAGAGCTGAGTTCAATTCCTGGATATCCGTGTTAACCTTCTGTCTTGATCTGTCTGATATTGACAGTGGGGTGTTAAAGTCTCCCATTAGTATTGTGTGGGAGTCTTAGCCTCTTTGTAGGTCTCTAAGGGCTTGCTTTATGAATCTGGGTGCTCCTGTATTGGGTGCATATATATTTAGGTTAGCTCTTCTTGTTGAATTGATCCCTTTACCATTATGTAATGGCTTTGTCTCTTTTGATCTTTGTTGGTTTAAAGTGTGTTTTATCACAGACTAGGATTGCAACCTCTGGTTTTTTTTTTTTTTTCTTTCCATTTGCTTGGTAGACCTTCCTCCATCCTTTTATTTTGAGCCTATGTGCATCTTTGCATGTGAGATGGGTCTCCTGCACACAACACACTGATGGTCTTGACTCTTTATCCAATTTGCCAGTCTGTGTCTTTTAATTGGGGCATTTAGCCCATTTACATTTAAGGTTAATATTGTTATATGTGAATTTGATCCTGTCATTATGATGTTAGCTGATTATTTTGCTCATTAATTGATGCAGTTTCTTCATAGCATCAATGGTCTTTACAATTTGGCATGTTTTTGCAGTGGCTGGTACCAGTTGTTTCTTTCCATGTTTAGTGCTTCCTTCAAGGAGCTCTTGTAAGGCAGGCCTGGTGATGGCAAAATCTCTCAGCATTTGCTTGTCTATAAAGGATTCTATTTCTCCTTCACTTATGAAGCTTTGTTTGGCTGGATATTAAATTCTGGGTTGAAAATTCTTTTAAGAATGTTGAATATTGGCCCCCACTCTCTTCTGGCTTGTAGGGTTTCTGCTGAGAGATCCACTGTTAGTCTGATGGGCTTCCTTTTGTGGGTAACTCGATCTTCCTCTCTGGCTGCCCTTAACACTTTTTCCTTCATTTCATCCTTGATGAATCTGAAGATTATGTGTCTTGGGGTTGCTCTTCTCGAGGAATATCTTTGTGGCATTCTCTGTATTTCCTGAATTTGAATATTGGCCTGCCTTGCTAGGTTTGGGAAGTTCTGCTGGATACTATCCTGCAGAGTGTGTTCCATCTTGGTTCCATTCTCCTCATCACTTTCAGATAAACCAATCAAATGTAGATTTGGTCTTTTCATATAGTCCCATATTTCTTGGAGGCTTTGTTCGTTTCTTTTTACTCTTTTTTCTCTAACCTTGTTTTCTCACTTTATTTCATTAATTTGATCTTCAATCATGGATACCCTTTCTTCCACTTGATCAAATCGGCTATTAAAGCTTGTGCATGCATCACAAAGTTCTCGTGCCATGGTTTTCAGCTCCATCAGGTCATTTAAGGTCTTCTCTACACTGTTTATTCTAGTTAGCCATTCATCTAATCTTTTTTCAAGGTTTTTAGCTGCCTTGCGATGGGTTTGAACATCCTCCTTTGGCTCAGAGAAGTTTATTACTAACAACCTTCTGAAGCCTACTTCTGTCAACTTGTCAAAGTCATTCTCCATCCAGCTTTGTTCCGTTGCTGGCGAGGAGCTGCAATCCTTTGGAGGAGAAGAGGCACTCTGGTTTTTAGAATTTTCAGCTTTTCTGCTCTGATTTCTCCCCATCTTTGTGGTTTTATCTACCTTTGGTCTTTGATGTTGGTGACCCACAGATGGGTTTTTGCTGTAGATGACATTTTTGTTGATGTTGATGCTATTCCTTTCTGTTAGTTTTCCTTCTAACAGTCAGGTCCCTCAGCTGCAGGTCTGTTGGAGTTTGTTGGAGGTCCACTCCAGACCTGTTTGCCTAGGTGTCACCAGCAGAGGCTTCAGAACAGCAAATATTGCTGCCTGATCCTTCCTCTGGAAGCTTCGTCCCAGAGGGGGAACTGCCTATATGAGTTGTCTGTCAGCCCCTACTGGGAAGTGTCTCCCAGTTAGGCTACACGGGGGTCAGGGACCCACTTGAGAAGACAGTCTGTCCATTCTCAGAGCTCAAATGCTGTGCTGGGAGAACCACTGCTCTCTTCAGAGCTGTCAGACAGGAATGTTTAAGTCTGCAGACATTGACTGCTACCTTTTGTTCGGCTATGCCCTGTCCACAGAGGTGGAGTCTAGAAGCAATAGGCCTTATTGAGCTGCAGTGGGCTCCACCCAGTTCGAGCTTCCCAGCCACTATGTTTACCTACTAAAGCCCCAGCAATGGCAGACGCCCCTCCCCAACCAGGCTGCTGCCTTGCAGTTTGATCTCAGACTTGCTCAGTGAACAAGGCTCTGTGGGCATGGGACCTGCCAAGACAGGCATAGGAGAACATCTCCTTGTCTGCCAGTTGCTAAAACCTTGGGAAAAGTGCAGTATTTGGGCAGGAGTGTCCCGTTTTTCCAGGTAGTCTGTCACGGCTTCCCTTGGCTAGGAAAAGGATATCCCCCAACCCCTTGTGCTTCCAGGGTGAGGTGATGCCCCGCCCTGCTTTGGCTCGCCCTCCATGGGCTGCACCCACTGTCCAACCAGTCCCAATGAGATGAACCAGGTACCTCAGTTGGAAATGCAGAAATCACCCGTCTTCTTCGTCAATCACGCTGCGATCTGCAGACCGGAGCTGTTCCTATTCAGCCATCTTGCGACTGTCTTTTAACTAGCAAGTTTAGACCATGTATATTTGTTATAATTTTTATTAGAGTACTATCATAATATTTTGTGCTAGTTTCCCTGAAATTTTCTATGCTTTTTTCCCCCACTTCTTTTCTCACCATTTAGATTGAGTTATTTTTATTCTATTTCTTCCTTTTCTCTACTTGCTTACTTGGAAATTGCACACTGTTTCTTTATTATCTTTTTTTGAGATGGGGTCTCACTCTGTCACCCAGGCTGGAGTACAGTGGCACAATCATGGCTCACTGCAGCCTCAATTTCCCAGGCTCAAGCGATCCTCCTAACTCAGCCTCCCAAATAGCTGGGACTACCGGTGTATGTCACCATGCTTGGCTAATTTTTTAAACTTTTTGTACAGACAGGGTCTTGCTGTTTCTCAGACTGATCTGAAACTCTTAGGCTCAAGTGATCCTCCCACCTCAGCCTCCCACAGTTCTGGGATTACAGGCATGAGCCACTGTGCCCAGCCACTGTTTTTTTAATTACCTTTAAAATGTTTACTTTTAAAGTCAAAGTTGATCAGTAATTCTACACTCCTAAAAGCTTTGATCATCCTCCTTCCTTTTCACTTTGATTTCCGATATTTTTCCACTATTTTTCCCCACCACAGATTAGTTAATATCATTTTGTTATTGATTTTTGCAATTAGTATTTGCTTATATTTTACATCATGTATTCTAATTACTCTGTTCATTAGTCTTTCTCATATTTCAATGTGTTCTAGGCTCAATTTAATTTTCAGAAAGAATAGCCTTTGGAAGTTCATTCAGTAATTAACTATGATAAACTCACTGATGTTTTTTGCCATAAAATATATATTTTCAAAAAGCTAGAAAAGAGGATTTTGAATGTTTATAACATAAAGAAATGATAAATGTTTGAGGTGATGGATATGCTAATTATCCTGATTTGATTACACATCATATGCACATTTCAAAATATCACTTCATATCCCATAAACATGTACAATTCTTACATGTCAACTAAAAATTTTAAAAAGACTATTATGCCATTTTTATTGAATAATGGGTTAACAGATATTTTCTCTTAGCACTCTGAACACAGTCTTCTGACTCATGTTTACTGTAGAGAATTCTGCTATCAATCTAATTGTTATTCCTTTGAAATAATCCATCTTTTCTCTGTGGCTGCTCTTTTGATCTTTTGTCTTCTGTGTTATGCAGTTACCCTTTAATGTATCTACCTATGGATTTATTGTTATTTATGTGCTTGGGATTTGTTGTGCTTAATTTTGAGCCTCTAGTCATTTATTAATTCTGCAAAATTGTATCTTTTTGAATAACTCTCCCACATTCTCTTTATTTTCTCCATCTTATATTTCCATTAGCGACTTTGTTACCACCATTTGATTGTAGACAAAAGTTTTAGTCTACCCTTTCATTGAAGTGTGACTCTCCTATGATCCTGGCTTTGTGAAGAGGTCCCAGTTTCAACTCCCCGACTTATGCCCACCTCCTGCATGCATCTGTTGAAACACACACTTAGGTTTACTAACCTTCTGCATGCATCTGTTGAAACACACACTTAGGTTTACTAAGATAGGCAACTAACCTGAGAACAGCTGCCTCTATCCACTTACTATTTATATTTTGGTTCTGCCTCTGTATTTCCCTTATATTCCGGTGATCTCAAATAAACATTGGAGAAGGTGTTTCTTGCATTTTATCAACTTATCTAAGTGCTTTGTAGCTTAAAGGTACACATATAAAATCTAGACTTCTGTATTGCCAAAAGCAGTCTATATTTTTTGTTATAATAGTTAAATGATTCAGGCTTTTCCATTGTCCTGGTTAGATCATTAAAGAACATAATTTTCATTATCCTAAGGTACGTTTCAAGTATTAAAAAAAGTCAGGAACTTGCTCTTCCCTGCTTTTAGCTAAATGTTAGGAACTTGCTCTGCCCTACTTTAGCTAAAGATTCATTTGTCAAATCCTCCCCTGAACCAAAGGAGAAAATAACAAAGCAAAACAAGACAACAAATCACCAAGCAAAGGAGGAAGTGTGGGTCTCATGGAATTTACACTCTGTGCTTTATCTTGCACAGTTGCTGAAGTTCATCTGAGGTTTTAAATGGCATTAATTTTGTCAGGTAACATTTTCTGAGCACCCAAATGTGTTCACTTTGCTGATGAGTGATCCATCTCAAAGTGTGAATATCACAAAATTCCAGAGAAAAGATGCTGGTTATTGTAAGAAAATTAGAGAAAGTACACCTGCCTTAGCCTTCACATCATTGACAACTCCTTTTTATGTGTATGAATGAACAGCAGGGTGGGAGTGATGCAACTGTACCACAGATTTCCCGTGGACTACCTGTCCACACCATTATGGAAAATCATCAGGCAATTTGTTCTCATGCATGACTGCAGGTCTATTCAGTGGGTGGTAGCACTTTTTGAATAGACTCATTCACCATTTTACCTTGAAGGCAGCTAGAAGGGAGACCAAATTTAATCCCTTTGCAGGTGATTATAGCAGTCACAGTTCTTCACTGTGAAGGAGCAGATAAAATGCAGGATTTGCCATAGAAAATCCTGGAGTTTCCCAGCAATGCTTAACATTTTTCAAAGCAATCAACCAGAAAATACTGATCATTTGAGAAAGAGGTGATTGAAACAAAATATTTAAGCAACTTTTCATATGGATAATGCAAGCAAAAACAAAAGTTTTATCCAATATCTAGAGCAGTGCTTCTCAAAGTTTAATGGGCATTTGAATCACTGCCAGCATTCTTGTTAAAATGAAAATTCTACTCATAGATTGAGGGACCCGGTTTTGGGGGGGTGGAAGGGAGTGCTGCAACCTTAACTAATGAACTCACAGGTGACAATGTTGCTGTTGATGAACCTGATTTTGAGTGACAAGGTCATAAAAGACTCAGGCAAAATGGGTTATACTAGAATAATCTGCATTTGAGCTATCCAATACAGTAGCCACCAGTCACACATGGCAATTGTACACTCAAAATGTGGCTAATCCAGATTGCGAGGCACTATAACTGTGAAGTGCACATTGAATTTTGAAGATTTACTTAAGAAAAATATATAAAATAAGCCATCTTTTAATCTGACTACATGTTGAAATATTATGGGCATATTGGGTTAAACAAAATTTATTATTAAATATATGTCACTTTATACTTTAGTGTGTTTAATGTGACTAATAGAAAACTTAAAATTCCATATGTGGCTCAAATTTTGTTTCTCTATTAGTTTCCTATTGCTGCTGTAACAAATTACTACAAAATCAGTGCCTTAAAGCAACATAAATTTACAGTCTTACAATTAGTTCTAGAGATCAGAAATCCTAACATCAAGGTTCAGCAGAAAACTAAGAAAGACTCTTTCCTTACTTTTTCCAACTTTTAGAAACTACCTTTATTCTTTGGCTATGGCCCCTTTTTCCATCTTCAAAGTCAGCAGCAGCATAGTATCTTGAAGTCTCTGTCTCTGTGTCTGTCTGTCTCTCTCTCTCTCTCCTACTTCTATTATAGTATCTCCTTCTCTTATTCTGATTCTCCCTTCCTCTTATAAGAACCCTAGTGATTACCTTGTATCCACCCAAATAATCCAGGATAATCTCCCCATCTCAAGATCCTTAATTTAATCACATCTACAAATTCCCTTTGCCATGTGAAATAGCATATTCACAAGTTTCAGGGATTAGGATTTGGACATCTTGGCGGGGATTTTGTCTACTTCAGTTTCCATTGGACAATACTGATCTACATAATTCATCCATTTTGCATTATGCCATACCTAGCTGTGTACTCTAATCACTATACAAATGGAGTCAGGAATATGAAATAAAGTATTTTATTATTTGAGTATCGCAATGCAAATACAGGGTTAAAAAAGCTAAATGTATTTTTGAATGGAGTCCAATTTCTGAATAGATTCAATGTAATATAAACAGGTTTTGTGGTAAGTATTGAAAATAATGCAGAATACTGGATTCACTTTCTAATGTAAGACATTTTTATGGCCCTCAATTCCTTCTATTAATTGGTAGATGAGGGGTAATGAATTTAAACGATTAATGAATATAAAGGATAAAGTCTGGGCAGAAGAGTCAAAATCTACTTACAGCATAATGTGCCTAAAAGACAGTGTAACTTTCAGAGCTGATTCTCCTAGTAAATTGCTTATAAATTTATTGAAAAATATTTTGGGGTACTCCTATATGAAGACATTCGTGAGAGCTGAAATGTTTCTGGACTCTAGCTGCTCACAACCTAGCAGCGAAATAAGACATGAACACCAATGGCAGATGGCCCAGATAGGAGACAAAAAATATCACCTGGGTGGTGGTGATACTAAGGAGTTGAGAGGAAGGAATAACTGCAGTGTGGCAAGGTCTTAGCTCAAAATGATCTAGGAAGATTGCTTGGAAAAAGCGGACTTTGACCTGCATTTTTGAGAATGGAAATAAATTCAATCTGGATACCTTAAGAATTGAGTTCAACAATTCTGTAAGTCTTCTATTTTGTTTAAGAGGCACATTTTGTAATAAATACTGATGTTGGCAGTATTGAGATTTCCTCTTTTTTTATTTCTTAAACATTAACCTTGGAAGTTAGATCAGTAGAGGAAGCAAAGGACACAGAAACTGAGGGCAAGGGAAAAAAATTTAAAAAATGAAAATTATTGCAGTTTTCTCACCACATACTTCCTATCTTCAACACAAAATAACTTGTGTTCAGATTTCAGAAATATAGCCATAAACCAGCTTGTCAGTAGAATAGAAACCGGCTTATTTTCAGGATACTGTAGGCACATGCTCTAACTTACTATACATTTCAAAACATTTAAGATTCTGTTATGGTGTAAATATACCACCCTTGCAGAAAATTTCCATATTTATAAATTATACATAGACCTACATTATCCTTCTGTCTATGTATTCATCCATCCATCTATTAAATATCAACTTTATCCTGAGGGCTCTACCAGGATTCTGATTTGAGGAATCTGCAGGGAGCAGCCTGAAAATCCAAGGCCCTATTTTGTCATGGTTATTAATTAAGCATGTCTAAGTGCCAGGCATTTCCAGAGCCTGCACAGACACAGGGCCTCACACTTTGGTTACTACTGGAGCTCACATAGGACTGGACAGCAATTTCTTTCAACTGGAGGAAGAAGCAGGTGAGGCCAGTGCATGCGTGAGGCATGATCAAGGCAGACGGAGAGACGTGGCTGCTTCAGACAATCCAGAACAGTAACTACCATCTCTTTACAAGATTGAAATGTCTCATAAAATATTTATTGGATGAAATACAGAATTTCCCACAAATGGTAGCAAATATTTTATAGCAAAAATAAAATGAGGCTAGAAAAAAGATGCCTGCTTTCATGAAAATTCAGTTTGGTCAAGACACAGCCTCAGAAGACAGTACGTACCCTTTTTCATTTTTCTGAGACCAGCAGAATTTGGCCCCCTTTTCAAAGAACTGAGATACAAGTTGTAAGTGTCCAGTGCTCTCACATGGCTTCACCAATGGTTTAGCATTAGTTGGACCTCTCTAAGAGATGGTTATCTTTTCTAGAATCAAAATTAGTGGCAGAAAGAGAATCAAAGCCAGGGTTCCTTCCCATGCACTTTCCATGATCCATGCTAACTTCTCAGGAATGTGGAAAAATTTAGCATTCATAAGGTGGCAGGGCATTCTGAAAAATTGTGTCTCTTTTTAGAACTTCAGTCTACTGCTCTGAAAAACCTGTCTTGGTGTATGCCTCACCCCATCTTTATTACCCCTATTTTACAAGTCACATTGGAAAATAAACAGTGTTGATAGTACTTTCTTGTAGATAAATAATAAAATTTGGGGAAGACGACTTCTGCTTCTGGGAATATGAAATAGACATGTTATCCCTATTCCTCTCTATAAGTGCAACTAAAAATCCTAGGCATTATATATAAAACAGAGAAAATAAGGCAAAATGGCTAGGGACTTCAGGACCCACAGAATGACAGTGTTGAGTTTCCTGGATTTTCTGTTTGTCTCATACATTTCAGACTTGGAGCTGAAGAAGCTGGCAACCAAAAACCACCAATGGGTGTGGGCACAGAAAAGGCTCAACAAAAGCTTGTTCTCTCTAGCTAAAAGAACAGCAAACAGTAGCCTATAAGAGAAAACTTTTAGACAATAACCTTTCTACTTCAGCCTAATACTATGCCCACCCGCGCCAGCAAAGACCAAGTGGGGAGCCAAACGCAAGGGTGGTGTTAGAGGAAGCCAAATAAGATGCAGTAATTCTCACCCTCGCTAAGAGGTAAATAGCCTCCCCCATGATATCAGAGGACACCATGTGAAAAGCCTGACTATCCACCCCTCTACAGAGAAGGGGAGAGCAGTCTAAAATTTATATGGAAAGGGAAAGGAACTCAAATATCTAAAACCATTTTTAAAAGGAAAGTAAAGTCTACCTGATTTCAAGACTACAAGTAAAGTCTACCTGATTTCAAATCTACAGTAATCAGGATATTGTGATATTGGCAGAAGGGTAAACATATAGATCAATGAATGTGAATCTCCAATTATCTCAAAATGAAAGTTTTAATGAAAAAATTATTCTATAAACAGTATAATCACATAGGTCTCATTTTTTCTTTTTATGAAGCTGTGTCTATATAGAAAATATTGCTGAAGAGTTGAGGGGTCTTTTCCCTATACGAAATCTTCACAATTGGAGAAATAATTTTAGTATATAATTAAAACTGAATCATGAGTTATATTTACATAATACTTAGCCTTCTATTTTAAAATACTTTGAGTGTTATTTGTGAAGTCAAAATCCAGATACAAAGCCAAAATTCAGTCTATGATCTAGATAGGTTTTTTTTATGTTGTTGGTTTTTTGTTTGTTGTTGGGTTTTTTTGTTTTTGTTTTGTCTTGTTTTTGAGACAGGGTCTCACTGTTCCCCAGGCTGAAGTGCAGTGGTATGATCATAGCTCACTACAGCCTCAGTCTTCCCGGCTCAAGAAATCTCCCACCTCCTGAGTAGCTGGGACTACAGGCTTGGGCCACCATGTCTGGCTTATTTTTTTTTTATTTTTAATAGAAATGATGTCTTACTATGTTGCCAGGGCTGGTCTTGAATTCCTGGACTCAAGTGATCCTCCTGCCTCGGCCTCCCAAAGTGTTAGGATGGGATGAGCCACCACACCCAGCCATCTGAAGGCTCGGATGATTGTTAGCATTTTTTAGCAATAAAGTATTTTTTTTAATAATTTTACTTTTGCCAGGCAGCCTGAGTATGTTTCTAAGCAATAAGTATTTTGAAATTAAAGTACGTACATTAGGTTTTTTAAGATATAATGCTATTGCACACTTAATAGACTGCAGTATAAACATAACTTTTATATGCACTGGGAAACTAAAAAATATATATAATTAGCTTAATTGTGATATTTCTTTTATTGCAGTGGTCTGGAACCAAACTCAATATCTCTGAGGTATGCCTGTAAATATAAGACACGCAACTGAAATATATATATACACACACACACACACACACACACACACACACATTCAAAAATATCCGTTATTCTTAACTCATGGAAATTAATTCAGGACACCCCACTAAATGCAAATTAGTGTTAATTAATATAGTTGGTAATTGTTCTTTTCTGATACAAGGGCCTATATTCAATTTTAATCAATAAGCACAAAAATTGGTTAACTCAATTTTACTCTTAATACAGTATTTTGTTGATCTGTAAATAGTTCATTTATTTAAAAGCTTTTGTATCCTCCAGCAACATTTCTGAAAAAATGATGTAAATTTCAACCTCAAGTATAGATAATACTAATATCAAACACTTGTACCACATGTTAGGATTTAAAATTAAATTTACACAACCTATCACATTTGACCTTCTAACAACTGCTTAACTGCAATCATTTCACGGATTTTCTAGGGTATGTAAGTGACTTTTCTAAGGCAACACAACCATGAAACCCAACAAAGACTAACTCACATGTCATAGCATTAAGTTTAGCAACTTTTCCCTATCACCAATCTGACTTCCTGTCAGTGAATATTTGAGACCCACAAAGCAGTCCAATTTATTAAATATTGCTTTAACTAGAAAATTATACTCCTATGATTATACTGTTACAAAAGACAATCCTATTTTAAAAGAAACGCTCCACTATTTATTTTGACAAGGAGAATATCCGCTAAACATTATAGACATTTATTTGAGATGTGGGTTTAACTGAAATGGATAGTGTATAGTCACTTTGACTTCAGCTGGAAAAGGTGCACTGTCTCCAAACCCAGAGCATAAGAAAACACAGAAAACTGAAAAGAAACATGTGTCTGAAAATGACATGGTAATTGCTTCAAAATATGAGCCACTGCTTCATAATTTAAGTCCCTCTAAGGCCTGATATGCCTTAGTCATCTTTGGAAATCAGTATCTTTGAGTCAATGAATCTTTTGGCTGCTTAACCTTCTCCATGGTAGGAACAGTAAGTATCATAAGGCAATGATTACGTTAGTTTTGTGCATGTTTTTATTCACTGCCCAGTTGTCCTCTCTTGCTCCTTGGAGCATTTCTGTGTCCTCATCATTTGCATTCTTAACATGCCAATCGGCTCTTTATTCTCTCGCTGAGTACTTATTCTCTGAGGTATCCCAGAAATGCACAATTGCTCTTGTCCAGCCTATAGATCAAACTCCAATCTAATTTGCAAAACCAAGTAAATACAAAGTAGGTTGCACATAATTCAGACCTCATCTTGCACTGATTAAGCTATCTGATTCTAGCTTTCACATTTCCCTCTTTTCACTTAATATTCTCCCCACTATCTCTTCACGACAGGTACTTGCCAGGTCATTTTGGTTCTTTGAGTGCTGCTTCAGCTTCTCTTTAAAAACAGTCAAAAAACCCTTTTGTTATTTAGAAGTCTAGGGGATTTGTTGGCTCCTTCTTAATTTATGGGTACCATCCTGATGAGGATACACTGCGGAACTCCGGGTCTTTAATCTTCCCGTCTTGAGACATGGACAGAGTCACATGCTATTTTAAAAGGTAATATGTCAAGCCAATTATGTGCCCTGTGGAAAGGTTTCTAGTGCTATTTAACGTTATCTTTCAAGAAGCTCAAATTTGTGTTTGTAACAAAGTACTCCACAAATTCTTATTCAATGAAAGTAAAACACACATACAGCAGAGCTAAACAGCCATCATTGTGGTTAAGAAGTTTAATCAGGAACATTATCAGGAATTTTTCTAGCCGGAGTTACAGGTCAAATACCATGCTTTTTACTAGAGGATTCCTAAACTGAAGTCCAGGACAGACTTTAGGGGCCCAGCAATACCATCAAAACATACGTATCATTGTGTAACTATGTATTAGATGAGAGGTTCTCAGTGTGTGGTCCCCTAACCAGCAACATCAATATCACCTGGGAATTTGTTAGAAATGTTAGAAACTCTGGGATGGGACTACCACAGCCTGTGTTTCAGTAAGCCCTGATGCATGCTGAAGTATGGGAATCACTGCTCCAAAGAAACGATGGGTGGCTTTCCTAGGTAGTTTGCTCTCATCCCCTACCACTCCCTGTCTCACTCAGCCCTAACCACACTGACCTCCTTGTAACACCCCAGGCATTCCCTGACTTGGGACCTTTGCACTAACACCTCCCAGACTTCAAACACTTCCCTCAGATATGTGTGCAGCCAATTCCCTTACCTTCTTTATATCCTTGCTCAAATGTTACCTTCTCAATGAGTTCTACCCCGGCCACCCTATTTTAAATTACACCCTGCCCCACCGCATCTACCAGCACTTCTGACCCTCTCTTTCCTGCTTTTTGTTTTTCTAAAACATGTCACCTCCTGTATACTAGATAATTGACTTCTGTATTATGGTTTTTGCTTGTCTAACTCCCTGCCTCTCAGAATATTAACTCCACAAGGGCAACAATCTTTGCTTTGTTCTGAGTGCCTGGAATAACATTTAACACAGAGTAGGTACTCACTAAGTAATTATTAAATCAGTGAATGAATACTCAAAGGAATCCATGACCTTAAAAGGGATAAAAACACTATTCCAGAGACAACTTGGTAATTTTCTTTCACAGGAGATTCGTTTCTTAGAGCCAATTCTCCTACCATTATTTTCCTGTTGTTCCATTTTCATGTTGTTCCATGTGCTACTTGGAAGGATGGAGATAAAAGGTAGAGAAAATGTTCAAGAATGATGTTGGGCAGAAGTTAGAACTGTTTGTGTAAACTCCCTGTTTAATTGTATTTTTGCCTTTCAGGTTGTGATTTCTGAGTTTTTCAAATAAATACATATTAACTAATTTAATTCTCCTAAGAAACTTATTACATAGCACACTTATCCATCTTTTATAAATGAGGAATGGGGGCACAGAAAGATTAATATTTGCCCAGGTTCACACAGAAAGTATATGAAAGAGATAGAACTTGAATTAGCAATCTGACCCTATAGTATAACTCTTAACAGCTATACTATATCTAATAAAACCATTTCAAAATTAATAAGTCTTACCTATGTTTTAGCATTTAGAATGTTTTATCATAATTTTAATAGTTATATCTTCCCTGCTAGGCTGGAAAAAAATTTTTAAAGGGGAATCCTTTCTTGTTCATCATCCCTACCTACCTAGTGCCTAGCATAATATTATTGGATGGATGGATGAATGGATGGATGGATGGATGGAGAAGAATGTAAGTTTCAGGCTGGCTGTTACATTCAGCTCTAAGATAACTAAACAGTCCCTTGAAACTCCAGAAATAAATTAATAAGCTTTGGTTTTTCCTCAACTTAAATCTGCTAGATAAGCCTGAGGATTTGCAATTGGAAAAAAAAAAATGTGTAAGGGATCAGATAAGGGAAACTGAATGATAAGGACATTCGTCCCTAGGTGGTTTTGGCCACAGGGATGTCTATTTCTCCAGCTGTCCTGCTGCCTTCCCCAAAAGATAAAGAGCAGCACCAGCAGGGGAGCAAAGGTTGCTGGGCTATGTCCCCTTCCTCTAGGTTTGAAGCTGGAAGGATGAACCAGCTTTGCCTCAGTGACTGGACCCTTATTTTCATATGCAGTCAGGACCCAACAATAAAAGCAAATTTTTAAAAACGCTATGCTTAGAATTGAAAGAATGCAGAAAGAATGCAAATTGCCTTTACAGCTGCCTGACCATCCTAGTGAATCCTTTAACCCTATTCTTTCCTCCTGCTTCTGTCTCATTGTATTAAATGCTGTATCCAGAAAACATTTTCTTAATATTTAAACGTAGCATCTTACAAATGGATGGCATCACAGCAGATCCCTGAGGATGCTATAAGGCTCAGCCTCCGTGTCACCCAGGATGATTTTAACTTGCTTATCTCATTTCCTGCCTCTGCCCCTGGGTTGGCTAGAAAAAGGAAAGATCCAATTTCCATGCTAGGCCTGAGGATGGTCCAGGGCTTTTCTCTGCAGACCCCATGGCTGCTGCCCTCTGCTGGAATGATGAGGCCTGAAGTCCTTCCATCACAGATTCCAAGTGTTCCTTTTAAAATACTTTAGCAGCTCTTGTCAAAATAAACAAAGCGGCCCAACTAAAGGTTCCATGGCAATTAGGAAATTTACTTGGCAGCAGGTAACTTTAGAAAGGTAGTTATTTATCCTCATTAGGGCTATCATATACGTGTCAGCAGAGAGAGGAAGCTTCTCTCCACACCTGGGAAATCTAAAACTGCACGTGCTGTTTGTTTCTAAGTCTCTGGCTGCTGAATGCCAGTCCAAGGGCAGATGCCACTCAGACTCCATCAGAACCACCTGGGAAGCTTTTCCAAAATACTGACTCCTGGGTCTAGTGATAGACAGTCTGATTCATTAACTAAGAGATAAAACCTGGAAAGCAGTTCGTAATTTTTAAGAGCTCCTCATGTGATTCTGATGCACAATCAAGTTTAAGAGTTACTAGCAAGACTTTTGAATTATGTATCATCTTGAAATACAATTTTCTTTTAAACGAAAGTATCTTTATTATTTATTATGAAATGTTTTATTCTCATGTTAACACTTCAAAAATGTAGAACAAGATGAATAAAAAACTAAACAATTGCTTTAAAAAAAAAAAAGACTTATTACCCAGAGGCAATCACTGCTAACATTTTGGAGAAATTTTTCCAGACATTTGACGTGAATACATAACTTTTTTATTTTTATTATACTTTAAGTTCTAGGGTACACGTGCACAACGTGCAGGTTTGTTACATATGTATACATGTGCCATGTTGGTGTGCTGCACCCCTTAACTCATAATTTACATTAGGTATATCTCCTAATGCTATCCCTCCCCCCTTTCCCCACCCCACAACAGGACCCAGTGTGTAATGTTCCCCTTCCGGTGTCCAAGTGTTCTCATTGTTCAATTCCCACCTGTGAGTGAGAACATGTGGTGTTTGGTTTTTTGTCCCTGTGTTAGTTGCTGAGAATGATGGTTTCCAGCTTCATCCATGTCCCTACAAAGGACATGAACTCATCCTTTTTTATGGCTGCATAGTATTCCATGGTGTATATGTGCCACATTTTCTTAACCCAGTCTATCATTGATGGACATTTGGGTTGGTTCCAAGTCTTTGCTATTGTGAATAGTTCCACAATAAACATACGTGTGCATGTGTCTTTATAGCAGCATGATTTATAATCCTTTGGGTATATACCCAGTAATTGGATGGCTGGGTCAAATGGTATTTCTAGTTCTAGATCCCTGAGAAATCACCACACTGTCTTCCACAATGGTTGAACCAGTTTACAGTACCACCAACAGTGTAGAAGTGTTCCTATTTCTCCACATCCTCTCCAGCACCTGTTGTTTCCTTACTTTTTAATGATCACCATTCTAACTGGTGTAAGATGGTATCTCATTGTGATTTTGATTTGCATTTCTCTGATGGCCAGTGATGATGAGCATTTTTTCATGTGTCTGTTGGCTGCATAAATGTCTTCTTCTGAGAAGTGTATGTTCATATCCTTTGCCCACTTTTGAATGAGGTTGTTTTTTTTCTTGTAAATTTATTTGAGTTCTTTGTAGATTCTGGTATTAGCCCTTTGTCAAATGAGTAGATTGCAAAAATTTTCTCCCATTCTGTAGGTTGCCAGTTCACTCTGATGGTAGTTTCTTTTGCTGTGCAGAAGCTCTTTAGTTTAATTAGATCCCATTTGTCAATTTTGGCTTTGTTGCCATTGCTTTTGCTGTTTTAGACATGAAGTCCTTGCCCATGCCTATGTCCTGAATGGTATTGACTAGGTTTTCTTCTAGGGTTTTTATGGTTTTAGGTCTGACATTTAAGTCTTTAATCCATCTTGAATTAATTTTTGTATAAGGTGTAAGGAAGAGATCCAGTTTCAGCTTTCTACATATGGCTAGCCAGTTTTCCCAGCACCATTTGTTGAATAGGGAATCCTTTCCCCATTTCTTGTTTTTGTCAGGTTTGTCAAAGATCATATAGTTGTAGATGTGTGGCATTATTTCTGAGGGCTCTGTTCTGTTCCATTGGTCTATATCTGTTTTGGTACCAGTACCATGCTGTTTTGGTTACTGTAGCCTTGTAGTAGAGTTTGAAGTCAGGTAGCGTGATGCCTCCAGCTTTGTTCTTTTGGCTTAGGATTGTCTTGGCAATGTGGGCTCTTTTTTGGTTGCATATGAAATTTAAAGTAGTTTTTTTCCAATTCTGTGAAGGAAGTCATTGGTAGCTTGGTGGGGATGGTACTGAATCTATAAATTACCTTGGGCAGTATGGCCATTTTTCACAACATTGATTCTTCCTACCCATGAGCATGGAATGTTCTTCCATTCATTTGTGTCCTGTTTTATTTCGCTGAGCAGTGGTTTGTGGTTTTCCTTGAAGAGGTCCTTCACATCCCTTGTAAGTTGGATTCCTAGGTATTTTATTCTCTTTGAAGCAATTGTGGATGCGAGTTCACTCATGATTTGGCTGTTTGTCTGTTATTGGTGGATAAGAACGCTTGTGATTTTTGCACATTGATTTTGTATCCTGAGACTTTGCTGAAGTTGCTTATCAGCTTAAGGAGATTTTGGGCTGAGACGATGGGGTTTTCTAGATATACAGTCATGTCATTTGCAAACAGGGACAATTTGACTTCCTCTTTTCCTAACTGAATACCCTTTATTTCTTTCTCCTGCCTGATTGCCCTGGCCAGAACTTCCAACACTATGTTGAATAGGGGTGGTGAGAGAGGACATCCCTGTCTTGTGCCAGTTTTCAAAGGGAATGCTTCCAGTTTTTGCCCATTCAGTATGATATTGGCTGTGGTATAATTTTAAATAGATGTCTATTTCCTTAGCTAAACTTTACACATGTGTACTAAGCGTTCTGTTAACCAAGAGTATGGATTCTGAGGACAGGCTTTGGCAGAAATTTCATGACAAAATTAGAAATTGTATAAAAGCCTCCATAGGACCTGATACAAAAGGGACTATACTGTGAAGAAATGTTTATGTTTACTGAGCAATATTCTGTCTCATTAGATGTCAGAATTTTTCAAGTTAGTGCTAGCCCAAATATCAACAAGTGAACCAAAAAACCTTCAAGTATGTATACAAGAGTCTGAGAAAGGAAGAAAATGAAGGCAAGTGTTAGGAAAAAGTATGAGCAAGTGAGAGAGTAGGGTGGCTAGATAAAATACAGATTTCAAATTTAATTTCACATAAATAATTTTTTAATATATGTCCCAATTTATCTGAAATTCAAGTTTAGTTAGGAATCCTGTGCTTTTCTTTGCTAAATCTCGCAGCCCTGGGAGGAGGGGCCCCATGCTTTGCTGAAAAGTGTTGGCTCAGGGTAGAAGAAGAGGGTGGGCAGATACATGACCAGACTGCAGGTCAGGAACAAGGTCAAGGCAAAGGTTCACCAGCTCTGACGTGTCTCAGAATCTGGCACAGCTCTGCCACATTTCAAAGTCAAACCCTAACCCACCCCAGCCCAGCGCATTAAAGAACCAAACCAGTAGAGCTTTTCATTCACCTAAAGCAGTCACAGTCCCAGCACTTTCAGAGGCGAAGGTGGGAGGAACACTTGAGGTCAGGAGTTCGAGACCAGCCTGGCCAACATGGTGAAACCCCATTTCTGCTAAAAATACAAAAATTAGCCGGGCACAGTGGCGCACACCTGTAGTCCCAGCTACTTGGGAAGCTGATGCAGAAGAATCGCTTGAACCCAGGAGACAGGGGTTGCAGTGAGCTGAAATTGTGCCACTGCACTCCAGCCTGGGCAACAAAGCGAGACACCATCTTGAAAAAAATAAATAAAAATAAAGCAGTCCTGGTCCTTACCTGCACTCAACTCCATCTCTATGCATGGTGTGTTAAATCCCTCTCCCTGTGTAGCCTTTTCAGCTGCATATCTCAATCAGCTGAAAAAAGTGTTTAGCTCAGGAAAGTTTCCTGTAATGATGACTTTGATTACTCTTTTATTTCTAACTCTTCCAGTTTACTTGTAAACATAGAGATTTAGGTTGGAGTTCCATTTATTGTCCTCTGTGTTTACAGTTTTCTCAACCTCATTTTTATTTGTCTTTCCTTTCTTCTGCATCCTGGGGAAGCTTCCTAAGTTTGTCCAGGACTTGATTTTATCATTTGAACTCAGATGTTGATGTCTTCAATATGAATTTTTATTCCACCTCCCATTCTTACTTTCCTTGCATACTTGGCTTCTTTTACTCATAGCCCTTTTTAACCCTCATCCTGTTTTCTTTTAAAACAAAGCCTCTCCTTATGGTTTCTGCTCTTGTTTGTTAGAGGATATAACTTTTTGCACCCTAGTAAAGACCCCCAAATGATATTCTGAACTTTCGGATTCCTAGAGCCTGACCTAGTATTTGCCAATAGAAATTGAGCATGTTTTCTAAATATATAGTCATGTCATCTACAAACAGACAATATGACTTCCTCTCTTCCTATTTGAATACCCTTTATTTCTTTCTCTTGCCTGATTGCCCTGGCCAGAACTTCCAACACTATGTTTTTACACTGCTGGTGGGAGTGTAAATTAGTTCAGCCATTGTGGAATACAGTGTGGCGATTCCTCAAGGATCTAGAATCAGAAATACCATTTGACCCAGCAATCCCATTACTGGGTATATAACCAAAGGATTATAAATCATGCTACTATAAAGACACATGCACACATATGCTTATTGCAGCACTATTTACAATAGAAAAGACATGGAAGCAACCCAAATGCCCATCAATGATAGACTGGATACAGAAAATGTGGCACATATATGCCATGGAATACTATGCAGCCATAAAAAAGAATGGGTTTGTGTCCTTTTCCGGGACATGGATGAATCTGAAAGCCATCATTCTCAGCAAACTAGCACAGGAACAGAAAACCAAACACCACATGTTCTCACTCATAAGTGGGAGGTGAACAATGAGAACACATGAACACAGGGAGGGGAACATCACACACCAAGGCCTGTCGGGGGGTTGGGGTCAAGGGGAGGGAGAGCATTAGGACAAATACCTAATGCATACAGGCCTTAAAACATAGATGAAGGGTTGAGAGGTGCAGCAAACCACCATGGCACATGTATACCTGTGTAACAAACTTGCACTTTCTGCACATGTATCCCCGAACTTAAAATAAAAAAAATTAAAATTAAAACTAAAAAATGTGGAGGGCCCTCAAAAAAAGAAGACCCTCAAAAAAAAAAAAAGAAAGAAAGAAAGAAATTGAGTGTGGATTATCTTTGGCCCAGCTTGCTTTTAGTCTGCTTGGGGTCTGGTCAAATCCCTTTCTCACATCTGCAGCAAACACAAGTTGAAGTACTCAGCTGCTATCCCAGAGACCTTAAAACAGAATTGTTGCCTTGTATGGGTTCTACTGAACTGAAATGGGATCTTTTTATCCCTCATTTCCCATTCTTTTTTGACTTGAACAGAAGGGATCCATGAAAATCTGTAATCTCCAAGGTGTTGTGCTGCCAAGGCTCTCCTTCCTTCTCTGCTTTATTGGGGAAAGTACCTCTGAACGTACATTTGCCACAATTTTTCCCCACTTCCTATTCAAATAATAATTCTATCCTGCAGTATAAATTATAGATTGGATAAGCCTTCCAAACTTCTTAACACACCATAAGGCCTTTTCACAGCTGGATTTTTTTCCTTCCTTCCCCATCCTGTCCTTACAATCTCTACCATGTGTCCCCTACCCTGCAGTAACACCAAACCTCTCCTTTCTGTGAACACATCGGGCCCCTTCCTGCCACCTTGTCTTTGCACATGCTCTTCCTCTCTGTGCATGCCCTCTGCTTGCCTGTAGTTGGAGGACTCCTTCACATCTTGCAGTACCCAAGTCCAATGTTTCTTTCTCTGTGAAATCTTTTCCTGCTCCCCCAGCAGTTTATGGCTCCCTCTACTTTGTTCATATAACACTGTGTACAGACAACTCCTCATAACACAAGTCACGGCCTGTTGTCCTTGTGCAATGCACAATACACACTCGATTAAATGAAGAGAAAGGAAACAATAGGCCTGTGCTTGAGGGTGGGATCCTGCTCATCTAAGTAGCAAAAATAGTCTCTACTGGCCCCTCTGCTCTTCCAGAGTGGAAGATCTTGCCTAACCTTATAAAAATAAAAACAGATGACACAAATTAACAGTTATCGAGCATCTGTTATGCAGAAAGCTCTGCCCTGGAGTAGGGAGAGGGAGGTCCAAATTCTATCACTTTTTAATTGTGTGCCCTCCAACAACATTTTTACCTTCTGTGAGTTCCAGTTTCCTCATCTGCAGGATGAGAGTAGAAATCTCCTTACACAATTGTTGTGATAATTTAAAAAGACACTATTTTAGGGCTTGTAGAAGAGATCCTGGCACTTAGTAAATATTTAATAAAAATTAGCCATTAATCAGTTAGAGAAAACAAATTCAATATACAAGAGTAGGTACTTAAGTGGAATCAGAGACAGGCCTTTAGCCCAACTCTGGAGTTGAGGAATGACACACCCGAGGAGCCTCAGAGAAGCACCCCTCCTGAACAGGCTGCCCTCTTTATGGGTACCTCATCCTAACCCAGCCTGACTGGAGGACTCATCTGGTTTAGGCCCCACTTGGAGGAGGTCTGCTGCACCAACCCAGAATATCACAGTCCCTGAGAGCAAGAGTGGGGATTCTGGAAGAAGCTGCCTCCATCATCAAGCAGCCATGTGAACCTAAGAAAGTAGCCCAACCTCTCTGCGCCTCCATGGCCTCATCTGTAATGCCCCTTCTGGTGAGAGATAGTGGAGTGATGAGAAGTCCTCAAGAGGCTGCCCTCTAAAGATCAGCTGACCCAATGTAAAGCAAAGATAAATGAGGTCTCTCCTGGACAGAAGGAACCTGACTCTCCCGCTGCCACCCATTGTAGAAGAAGAGATCTGAAGAAGAAGAAGAAGAAGAAGGGGACCATGTTTGGAATGCTGGGCCCTTCTCAACAAGTGTCCAAATGGAAAAAGCAGACAGGTTGTATTAGAGAATTTGCATAGATCATGCTACTGCAAATGCTGTTTAATTCTTTCTAAAATGTTTCTTTCTGAAGTAGTGTAGGGCAAAAGCCCCCTGGCTGCATCCAGAGCTCCTGGCTCAGCTAGGGAGATGTGATTCTCTCCTGATTGCCTCTGTGATCACCTCTGCTACTGGCCCCATCCCTCACCTGCACAGAGTAGAAAACACCAAGATTATTCACAAATTCACTCTGGAGCTGCTCACAGCATTGCTGTCTGCTAACTCCCGGTTTCCCCTGTGTAGGGAAAGGAACCTTGACACATTTCCAGAAGGCAACAGATGCCCAGGATGCAGCTGCCTTTATCTCTTTGTCAAAGTATGGCTAGATCAATTCACTAGCTTCCTGTGTTTACAAGGCGGAAGAAATGGCAACTTGGTGAAAAAGGAAAGTGGCCAGACAAAAGCTGGAGGCCAGCATTGATGGCTGGGAAATTAATTAACAAGAGAAAATCAGCAAGTAATTTTTCTTGAGCAAATGTGCTTTGTCTTTGAGCTTTTTTTTAAATGTTATGTTAGTTGGTTAATTGCCTTCGGACACTGAGTGACAATAAGACATGTTTGCCTGTTAAGATAAAGTAAAGTCAATTGAAGGAAGTTAGTAATGAAAATATTGGACTCAGTCCATTCCAGGTAACATATGACACTTGAAATTACAGCCACAGTGACTCCTAAATTTGCACATAATGTCTAAAAGCTTGGCTTCCACTAAACCAGCCATCAGTTATCCAGGGTTCTGTACCCATCACAAATGATGCAGGAATCTATAAACCATCAATCTCAAACATCACTGGAATACAGAAAGCGATGGTGCTCATCTCTAGAAAATCCATTAATAACATCTTCAGCATAGAGACAAGCCTATTGTTTCTATATTTAACTATAATTTTATTTCTGAATATAAACTCAGATGGCTGGGTACATTCATTTCTAAAATATATTTACCCCAAATACACAAATTGTTCAGTCTGCTAAGTCCTTCAATGATGGAAACAGTGCCCAAATAAAGCAGGAAGCCTGGTTGTTCACTTAATTGACTATTGTTTTGTTGGATCTGTAGAGATGAAAACTGGGAAGGATGTCAGGTCTCCAACCCTGTGTAGACCCAGAGCCTAATTCTCTTAAAATGCCCCAAATCCCCCAATTTCTAAAGAGCTCTTTGGCCAGAATCTGTCATAAATTCAAGGGAAAGACTGCAATCACCCAGCGAGTGACAAAGCAGATGAGATTCAATTAGTCACTGACTGAGGCATGTTCTGCTAGTGGTGAGAATTGCATGCTGTGAGAACATCTATAAAGACTGGTCCAGGGAGGGCAGACCCCACACTGCTGATTATATGTGCTTCTGCTAGCAAACACAGAGCAACTCTCATGCCTACTGAGCCCCTGCTTCTCCAACTGTCCTCAAAACAGAGGAACAGGTATCTATAGCTATCAAATCAAGGAATTGGAGCAGGAGGGCCTATTTAACTGTCCAGAGATGTTCTCTAATCATTCAGTGAAGGTTATTCCTGCTTCAATGGTGAAGGAGGAGAACCAGCAGCAGCCAGGGAAGGGAAGGGGAGGTGGGGGGTGAAATGACAAGATCAAGGGAGTGGGTGCCATGGAGGCTAGGAAAGGATATAAAAGAGGAGACCCAAGAACATGGGGAAGTAGATGACCAAGGCCTGCCTCTGAAGAGGTCTCTGCCCTTCAGGAGCCATGCAAACCTTGATCCCAAAACACAAGACAATGGTCAGAGTTCCACCATCAGACACATGGTCAACAGTACCCTTGAGATGAAAACTAGATTTTTAAGACTAGATATGATTCCCCTAAATCACCACTATTTAAAAAAAGAATACCAGAACTTAAACATAAAAAGATAAACTGCTTTGCTCCTAGCCTAAAGAGGAATATTTATGAGTACTTTTGTAGTAAGGTTGGCATCTACCATGAAAATGCATGGCTTTCATTTGTTGTTCACTAAACTGAACTCATCTGTCCTCAGAACGAACCAAACAACACAACTGAGAATTCAGGAACCCAGATAGGTTTCATGGCAGAGTAGAAATGAGCCCTAGGCCAAGGACTTCATGACAAAAACACCAAAAGCAATGGCAACAAAAGCCAAAATCGACAAATGGGATCTAATTAAACTAAAGAGCTTCTGCACAGCAAAAGAAACTACCATCAGAATGAACAGGCAACCTACAGAATGGGAGAAATTTTTTACAATCTACCCATCTGACAAAGGGCTAATATCCAGAATCTACAAAGAACTTAAATTTACAAGAAAAAATCAAACAACCCCATCCAAAAGTGGGCAAAGGATATGAACAGACACTTCTCAAAAGAAGACATTTATGCAGCCAACAGACACATGGAAAAATGCTCACCATCACTGGCCATCAGAGAAATGCATATCAAAACCACAATGAGATAACATCTCACACCAGTTAGAATGGTGATCATTAAAAAGTCAGAAAACAACAGGTGCTGGAGAGGATGTGGAGAAATAGGAACACTTTTACATTGTTGGTGGAACTGTAAACTAGTTCAACCATTGTAGAAGAGAGTGTGGCGATTCCTCAAGGTTCTAGAACTAGAAATACCCTTTGACCCAGCCATCCTATTACTAGGCATATACCCAAAGGATTATAAATCATGCTGCTATAAAGACACATGCACACGTATGTTTATTGTGGCACTATTCACAATAGCAAAGACTTGGAACCAACCCAAATGTCCATCAATGATAGACTGGATTAAGAAAATGTGGCAAATATGCACCATGGAATACTATGCAGCCATAAAAAAGGATGAGTTCATGTCCTTTGTAGAGACATGAATGAAGCTGGAAACCATCACTCCGAGCAAACTATCACAAGGACAGAAAACCAAACACTGCAGGTTCTCACTTATAGGTGGGAACTGAACAATGAGAACACTTGGACACAGGATGGGGAACATCACACACTGGGGGTGTCATGGGGTGGGTGGAGGGGGGAGGGATAGCATTAGGAGATATACCTAATGTAAATGACGAGTTAACAGGTGCAACACACCAACATGGCACATGTATACATATGTAACAAACCTGCATGTTGTGCACATGTGCCCTAGAACTTAAAGTATAATAATAAAAATAAATAAAGCAGAACAAAAGCATCTTTAAAAAAAAAAAAAGAAATGAGCCCTAGGCTTGAATTACAGAACTTGAATTTAAATCTTGATAAGTCATTTTCTAAACAACTGTGACTTCTCTTACCACCATCAACTCAGTTTCCTACTCCAGAAAATGGGGGAAACAAACAGCCCAGGGCATGCATACCATATAAATTGATTGTGAAAATCAAATGGCATAAGGTTGTAAAATATGAAATATGGAAACTATAAACTAATTATATAGATATTTTTTATTTGTACAAACTTATGGGGTACATGTGAAATTTTGTAATGTATATATAATATGTAATGATAAATTGAGGCTATTTAGGGTGTCCATCACCTGAGTACAATACATTTTTGTTAAGTATAGTCACCCTACTCTGCTATTAGACACTGAATTTATGTATTCTTTCTTACATAGGTTTGTACCCTTTAACTCATTTCTATTCATGTTCCCCCCACCTCCCAGGCATCCTGTCCACTATCTTTCCACTTTTTACCTACATGTGATCAAGTTTTTAGCTCCCACATGTAAGTGAGAACATGTGATATTTGCATTTTTGGACCTGGCTTATTTCACTTAAGATAATGACCACCAGTTCCTGCATGTTGCTGCAAATGACATGATTTCCTTTTTTTTAAAAAACAGGCTGAATAATATTCCATTGTGTATATATACCACATTTTATCCATTCACGCATTGATGGAAATTTAGGGTGTTTCCATATCTTTGCTTTTGTGAAGAGTACTGCAATAAACACGAAAGTGCAATATCCCTTTGATACATTGATTTCTTTTCCTTTGGGTTGATACTCAGTAATGAGATTGCTGGATTGAATGTGTATTAGCTCGTTTTCACACTGTGAAAGATACTACCCATGACTGGGTAATTTATAAACAAAAGAGGTTTCATGGACTGTTTCTCATGGCTGGAAAGGCCTCAGTAAACTTACAATCATGGTGGAAGGGAAAGCAGGCACCTTCTTCACAGGAGGGCAGAAGAGAGAATAGTGAGCATAGGGGAAACTGCCCTTTATAAAACCACCAGATCTGGTGAGACTCACTCACTATCACAAGAACAGCATGGGGAAAACTGACCCCATGATCCAATCACCTCCCACAAGGTCCCTTCCTCTATGCCTGGGGATTACAATTTGGATTACAATTTAAGATGAGATTTGGGTGGGGACACAGAGTCAAACCATATTCTGCCCCTGGCCTCTCCCAAATCTTATGTCCGTTTCACATTTCAGAAATCAAACATGCCTTCCCAACAGTCCCCCAAAGTCTTAACTCATTCCATTATTAACCCAAAAGTCCAAGTCCAAAGTCTCATCTGAGGCAAGGCAAGTCCCTTCCACCTATGAACCTGTAATATCAAAAGCAAGTTAGTTACCTCCAAGATACAATGGGTGTGCAGGCATTGGATAAATGCTCCTGTTCCAAATGGGAGAAGTTGGCCAAAACAAAGGGGCTATTGGCTCCATGCATATCCACAATCCAGTGGGACAGTCATTAAATCTTAAAGCTCAAAAATGATCTCCTTTGACTCCATGTCTCACATCCAGGACACCTAATGTAAGAAGTGGGCTCCCACAGCCTTGGAGAGCTCTGCTTCTGTGATTTTAGCAGGTACAGCCCCTGCACCTGCCTTCACAGACTGGTGTTGAGTGCCTGCAGCTCTTCCAGGGACAAGGTGCAAGATATCAGTGGATCTACCTGTTAAAAGTTCAGCTGAATTAAATTGAAAGGAGTTTCATTAAGCAATAAATGATTCATGAATCAGGCAGCCCCAGAATCACAGCAGATTCAGAGAGACTCCAGCACTGCCATGTAGTGAAAGATTTACTAGATCTCTTTAGATCTTGTAATATATGCTTTATGAATCTGGATGCTCCAGTGTTGGGTCTTATATATTTAGAATTGTTATATCCTTTTCCTGGATTGCTTTTTCATTATATAATGACATGATTACAGAAGGAAATGACATTCTTTGCTTTTTTTTACTCTTCTTGACTTAAAGTCTATTTTATGTAATGTAAGTATAGCCACTCCTATTTGCTTTTGGTTTCTATTTGAGTAAAATATCTTATCCTATTCCTTTACTTTCAGTCTATAGGTGACTTTATTGAAAAGATGAGGGGTTTTTGTTTCTTAGTCCATTCAGCCATTCTATATCTTTTAAGTGGAGAATTTAATTCTTCTACATTCAAGGTTATTATTGATATGTGAGGCTTTGTTTCTTTAATATTGTTGTTTTCTGGTTGTTTTATATACTCACTTTAAACTTTTATTTCAATAGGTTTTTGGGGAACAAGTGGTTTGGTTACATGAATAAGTTCTTTAGTGGTGATTTCTGAGATTTTGGTGCACCCATCATTCAAGCAGTGTACACTGTACCCAATGTGGTGGTGTTTTATCCCTCACCCACCTCCTGCCCTTTCCCCAAAGTCCCCAAAGTATCATTCTTATGCCTTTGCACCCTCATAGCTTAGCTCCCATTTATGACTGAGAACATGCAATGTTTGGTTTTCCATTCCTGAGTTATATTACTTAGAATAAGGGTCTCCAATTCCATGTACGTTGCTTCAAATGCCATTATTTTGTTCCTTTTTGTGACTGAGAAGTATTCCATGCTATGTATATATACCATATTTTCTTTTTCCACTCATTGGGAAATTTGGGCTGGTTTCGTATTTTTGCAGTGCAAATTGTGCTTCTATCAACATGCATATGTAAGTATCTCTTAATCTTATTGTCATTGCGGTCTGGTGGATTTTAGTACTGGTACTGTTTGAGGCTTTCTCATCCTTCTTTGTGTGATTGTTTCATCAGCGAGTTTTATGCTTTCATGTGTTTTCATGATGGTAGATGTCTCCTTTCACTTCCAGTGTAGGACTCCTTAAGCAGTTCTTGCAGGGTCAGTCTATTGGTAACAAATTTCCTTAGCATTTTCTTGTCTGGAAGACTATTTCTCCTTCATTTATGAAGGATAATTTTGCTGGAGATAGTATCCTTGGTTGATAGCTGTTTTCCTTCAGTTCTTTGAATATATCATCCCATTCTCTTCTGGCCTGTAAGATTTCTGCTGAGAAATCTGTGGTTAGTCTGATGAGGTTTCCTTTATAGGTGACTAGGCACCTTTTTCATGTTGTTTTTAGGACTCACATTTTGTCTTTGACTTTAGGGATTCTGATTATAACATACCATAGAGAAGACCTTCTTGCATTGTATCTACCTGGGGATTGTTGAACCTTCTGTATATGAATGTCTAATTCTCTGACCAAATGTAAGTTTTCATCTATTTCATATTGTCTAATCCTTTAATTTGCTGTTTTCAGGGATACTGATAACTTGTATATTCAGATGCTTTACATTGTCCAACTTGTCATGCAGGCTTTGCTCATACTTTTTCATCATTTTTTGTCCAGATGGGTTGTTTTCAAAAGACCTGTCTTCAAGTTCTGAGATTCTTTCTTCTACATGGTCTAGCATATTGTTGAAGCTTTCAAATGTATTTTGCATTTCCTTCAATGAATTCTTCAGTTCTAAAAACTCTGGTTTATTTAACAAAATATTTATCACTTTAGTAAATTTCTCATATCCCCAATTTTTTGTATTTTTTTCAGAATTCTTTTGTATCTCACTAAGCTTATTTAAAAATCAATATTCTGAATTCTTTATTGGGAATTTTAACATTTTCTTTTTAAGATTTATTGCTGAAGAATTATTGTTTCTTTGAAGGTGTCATATTTCCTTGCTTTTTTCACATTTCCTGTGCTCTTACATTGACATCTGCACATCTGGTTTAACAATCACATCTCCTATTTCTGAATTTACTTAGGAAAGGACATTTTTCTGAAGATATATCTGTGATGTTGGTTGGGTAGGGCCCTTTGGCTTTGATTCTGGGTGCATGCAGTAGTATATTCTCTGCATGGTTTATTTAACTATAAATAGTATTAGTGCTTTCTGTGATTTCCTCAAAGGGTTAGTGTGTGGCTATTAGTGATGAAGTTGTGCTGAAGCCTGGAAAGCCAGGTGGGCCAGTCTTTGGGTCCCAAGAGTAGCAGTGGTGGTCTGACCATACCTGTCTTTGTGCCCCAGGGTGGTGTACACTGGCATTTGTGTAGGAAGCTACCAGTGGGATGATTCTTGAGCCTCCAAGTGTCTTGCTCCAGGTGCCTTGCTCATCTGCCCAGCAGTGGGCCCACTTGGGTCTCTGGGCAGCCTGCATGGTGTGGGTGATAGCAGTAGCAGTGGTGGGACTACCCTCTGGGTCTTGAGTGGTATGGGCTGGTATTGACAGTAGCTGTGGTATGGAATCACCCCCAACAACCCCCCCATACACTATTATCAGTCTTTTCTGCTCTCTATGGAAGCAGCAACACAGCACCACACAGAAGGGGAGAGAAGCCCTGCTTTAGCATGAAGTCTCAGCACAGAGACCATACTGCCAGTTAGGTTGTAGTTGTTACTCACCACCTCAGACAGGTAGCCCTCCGGCCCACCCACCCTAGCCTTTGTTGGCAGTAGGATCAGGTATGCAGAGGGGGAGGAGGGGTCATATTCTCTATATGAGAGCTTAAGCACAGAGGCTGCTCTGCCAGTGGCAAAGGATGTCACTCTTCATTTGCAAAGCTGGAGCACCAGAGTTTGTGCTGCTGCTGAGGATGGAGTCATTTCCCACAGCCCCAGACAGGGAGTTCTTGGGCTCTGGAAAGCAAACACTTTGGTTTTCTTTTTCCCAGGAGATGCCTTTTGGTGCATTGCACTGTCCTTTTCCCACAGTGTAGTACTCCCTGTGGACTAGAGTACTGGGGACTTTGCAGCACCTTTGGCTCTAGCCAGTGGTATGCTGCTGCAGACCTCCAAGTGGTCACTGGGTAATGTCAGCAAAAGCTCCTGGGATGGGGAGATACAAGGGCTATTGTTCCGAGAGCAGAATGCTATTCCTGTTGGCTGTGCTCCAAAAGTGTACTCTGCCATACCCGTTTAGGTCTCATAGGGGAGGGTGAGTAACCCAGAACAAGTTCCTTGTCTGGTTCAATAACCTCATAGGGTTTCCAAATTGCCACCCATCTGGTATCAGGGATTCATGTGGATAGAGGAGCTCTCCCATGGTTCACATCGCAGCAGTCTATGGTAGAAATATGGACTGCTGAAGCCCTCTCACTTAATCTTTTCTTTCCCCTCAATACCACGTTCCTCTAGGCTCCTGGCTGATCTTGGCTGAGCTGGCCACTTGTTTCGTTCTCATCTGTACATCAGGTGTTTCCCACGAGTTTTTTGTTGGACTCTAGTGTTCTCTCCTAGATGTTCTATTTGAGGTGTGATAGTCTGTAATTTTGGCTCTTCTTTCTGGAGACAGCAGGTGCCTGATGTCTCTAGTCAGCCATCTTGAACCAGAATCCAGATCTTATTTAAAATTTAAAAGAAAACATCAGGCCGGGCCAGGCATGGTGGCTCATACTTGTAATCCCAGCACTTTGGGAGGCCAAGGCAAGTGGATCACGAGGTCAGGAGTTCGAGACCAGCCTGGCCAACATAGTAAAACCCCGTCTCTACTAAAAATACAAAAAATAGCTGGGTGTGGTGGCAGGCACCTGTAATCCCAGCTACTCGGGAGGCTGAGGCAGGAGAATTGCTTGATCCTGGGAGGCAGAGGTTACAGTGAGCCAAGATTGCACCACTGCACTCTAGCCTGGGCGACAGAGCTAGAATCCATCTCAAAAAAAAAAAAGAAAGAAACAAACAAACAAAACATCAGCCCAAGGTTTGGATTTTCTGAAAATACAGGAATAAACAAGCCAAAATTATTTTCCTATACTCTCACTCAACAATCAACACAGAAGACTTCTGTGACCAAATGTGTGGGGTATTTTTCCCCACACCAAGCAAGCAACACTTCCACAGATACCACCTGGGTGTTCCCCGATTCAACTCTGACACTCTCCACCTGGAGATAGCATGATATCTCACAGAATGAGGGCTCAATGCCATAAGATTGTCCCCCACTTTCAATGCCAATTATAAGCCCCAGGGATTTTTTTACCTGTGCTTCTGACTGACTGGCTGTAAATCAGAGTCCTTACAAAATGCTATCCTTGGGTTCAGTTTATTTGCTGGAGTAGCTCACAGAATTCAAAGAAACACTTACACTTATCCATTTATTATAAAGGGTATTACAAAAAAACACAAGTACAGATTTAAAAAATGCATAGGATGAGTTACGGGGGAAACGACACAGAGCTTCCTTCCATGCCTTCCCTAGGTATGCCACCCTCCAGGAACTTCCATGTATTTGGCTATCAGAAGCTCACTGAACCCTGTCCTTTTGAAGGATTTATGGAAGCTTCATTACATAGACATGATTGATTAAATCACTGGCTATTGGTGATCAGCTTAACCTTCAAACTCTCTTCCCTACCTGGAGGTTGGTGGCGGGGTGAGGCTGAAAGTCCCAACTCTCTAATCCTGCCTTGTTGTTTCCAGTGACAAGCCTCCATCCTGAAGCTATCTAGGGGCTGCCAGCCATCAGTGAACT
The DNA here is from genome assembly GCF_000001405.40 of Homo sapiens. Lineage (NCBI taxonomy): Eukaryota > Metazoa > Chordata > Mammalia > Primates > Hominidae > Homo > Homo sapiens. Next base: position 159,603,525 of record NC_000003.12, read on the forward strand.
CATTAACATACAAAATGACACATAACTTTGAATGTTTTAAGGATTTTAGAGTGCTATGCCAGGAAACTGGGGAGGAAGACTAAATATATATTTTGCAGTATCAATGATTAGGAAAAGTATCCTGTTTTAAGGAATTTCCTGATTATTGAATTATTTCTAACCCTATCCAATACCTATAGTCTTAAGTCTTAATCCATTTTCTGTTGCTGTAACTGAATACCTAGGATTGGGTAATTTATAAAGAAAAGAAATTTATTTTTTACCATTCTTAAGACTGGGAAGTTCAACATCTAGGGGCTGTATCTGGTGAGAGGCTTATAGCTGGTGAGTACCTGCAGAGTCCTGAGGGAGCACAGGACATCACATGGTAAGGGGCTCACAAGGATGGCTAAACTGTCTTTTATAACAGACCCACTCTTGCCATCACTAACCCACTCCCTTGATAACCCATTAAGCCATGAATCGATGAATGAGCCCTCATAACCGAATCACCTCCTAAAGGTCTTTTCAACACTGCTGCATTGGAGATCAACTTTTCAATACATGAACTTTTGGGGGACACATTCAAGCTATAGCACCCCATGATCTAGTACAGGGTTGAAGGAGAAAAATTCACCCAAAATGTAAATGTAACTGTGACTCATTTTTTGGCAATTTTCCAGAGGCATTTGAGTGAAACGTAAGAATAAACCAACATCCATCTTTGTCTTTTCTGTGCTGTGTGCCTATCCCCAATTTCCTAATGAAGTCATAAGCAGCCTGAGAATTCCAGGCACATTCTTTGATGACGATTATTGTATCTTCCCTTGAGTAAGTCTGCAGACCCAAGAGAATCATTTAGATGAATTTGGCTCACGTCTCCCTCTCCTTGCTGTCTCCTCATGCCAAGAACTTGGTCACAAGTGGGCAAAGCATGATACGGGTGACCACAGTGAGATCGCTCACTTAACTGGCATTGCTGAGTGGCTTCTCTGTGCCAGGCACTGTGCCAGGGGCTGGAAATACTGAGATAAGTGAAGGCAGATGACAGTGGCCTGCCCCAGCTCATTCACAGCTTACTAGGGAAGTTATTCAAGTAAACCAGCAATTGAGGGTCACTGTGACCTTTCCACTATGAACTAAAAACAGGCAAATAAATCAGATCTACATTTGAAGTTGTTTCAATATCTAAACACAATTTAAAGGTAAAAATTTCAGACTTTGTCAGCACATTTTGCCTATGTTATTGACAGTTCATGTGTTTCTCATAAGAATATTTGGCATGACATGTATCTGACAGGTAATCAGAGTTTTTACATTTAAAATGTTTCATGAAGTCACTTGAACATAGTACAGACACAGCCCAAGAAACTAATTTCTCATAGATGATCAGCCATAACCTCACGCCACTAAAATGACCAAATTGTGAAACAAGCAGCAGCTACTAATTGACCCAGGAAATTTTCAATGACATTTGCTAACAGAGCTACTGACTTAATTTGAAATATTACTTTTCTTCTACCAGAGAAAAATAATCAAGGGACGTGAGATGAACAAAACATGCACCTACAGGGCTGATCCAAAATGACAAGTAGGAAAGCCCAAGCTAGAAGAGTTGAAATTTAGATGAGGCTGAAACCTGTAGTTCATAATCAGAGACAAGATTTAAAAGGGCGAAGCATTAGAAGGAGGGTGGGCTAGGAAATAATAAATGTAGGGCTTCAGGGAGCATATCTTTTTGACAAGAATGTTAATCATATATGTTACTAATCTGCCAAATTAAATTTCACAGTGCCACATGCACAGACAGGCATTATAATACTGGCAAAAATGAATTAAAATCCCAGTAATTAATTTATGGGTTTGAACTGGTTTTGAACTCCTGAGTGAACTCAGTGCTGGGAAATAATTGAGGCTTAGATCGTGGACTTTTAGAATTGGAAAGAAATGTAGAGATCTTCCTGACCAATCCTATCACCTTCTACGATAGGAAACTGAGTATCTGAGGGGTTAAGGGACTTAGGCAAGGTCACCCAGATAGTTAATGGCAGTGGCAGTTCTAAAAAACAGTCTGCTCTTGAGGACACACATAAAATTTTGACATGTCAGTATATGAAATGCCAGCTGACCTAAAAATGCAATCAAATGGGAAGAAAAAAACAGCTACGTTAAAGTTTGAGATAGTACAGATAATCAAACTGATGAATCAAAGTTAAGGCTTATTTAAATAATTAATTAGAATCCTTTAATTGAGGATAACAATTCTTGTCAACTCTGATCATATAAAGAAATTACCTCAAGTGAGTGGGTAGCTACAGGATCTCAGCGGGGACAACCTAGAGCAGTCTACCTCCTAAGGTATTGGAGACTCACTCTCCTGGAAAAACAATAAGAGTAATTCCACCCCACGTCCCTACCACAGGCTTGTGAGAAACTCAGATACAGGAACTACCTCACAGGACTCTGCGGCAGAAATCTTAAATCTACACTACAGCTGCCTCACATAGCAGAAAGCACTCGAACTGTGACATCTAGGGCAGAGTGTTCTTACATGAATCTCCCCAGGTAGTTCTGTTCATAAAATACTGCAGAATTGGCAGTCTCTGCAAATGTCTTTCTGGGGGAATTGATTCATAAGCATAGAGTCCAGTGGTCCCTCAACGTTCAGATTTTACGGACTAGTACATTTTCAAATAAATTCACAGCACTCACTGGTAGCTTTTTACTTTGCCAAGCAAGAACATTTTTTAAGTATACATTTATATCATAAAAGAAGGATCATTTTCACCTCAAAAAAGTGGGAAGGAGATGTATAATAAAAAAAAATACAGTACCAATTCAACTTAATGAAAATCTATATTGCCCTTCTTTTTAAAGTTTCATTTCATACTGGACCAGTGAAACCTTTGTCAGGGTTATCTCCAACCAGCCCACAGACAGCATTTGGAAATCATGATCTTACTGCATCAGAAAATATCTACCACCACAAACATTTATTCAGAATATCTACTAATAGCTTTAAGAAACAGATTCCAACCAAGATAGTTTGAGAAATTTTAGTGAAGGGGCTACTTAAGAGGTATGGGCAGAGTTCAAGGAATAAGAAGGATGGCAGGACACCCATGGTAAACATGGGCCAGAAGCTGTTACCACCCAGGCCTGAGGGACTCGAGGAGGAAGCAGGCTAGCCAGGAGAGTTGAAACGACCAGATAAACAATATAATCATGCGATAATACAGTTATCTGCAGAAAACACTACCCAGGGTAGGGAAGGAACAGAAAAGGTGTATCTTGACTTCTCCTGTCCTCCAGATTCCTGCTAGACCTTCCATTGGCTGAATCCAACTGGAAGCCAGGGGATGAGAGCCCAGATAATGTGACCCACAAGTGCTTAACCTCCTGGGCCTAAAGCAAAGTGAAGAAGGATGGATCTGGTGACAGGAGGAAGGAGTGGAAAGGAGAAGACTCACACAAAACAAATAATTTCAGAATTATAGTAGATGGTCATTCTACTTTTGAACACTTCAGTTCTTAGAAACTTAAAACCCTTTTCACGGGCTAAACTGCAAAAGAACAGTCTTGAGAATGTTTTCATACGCCCACCCTTCTTATACTACCATTTTCTTTCTAGTGCCATTTTCCTATTGAAGAGTTCAGTGCTGATATATGAATTAAATTCTATATACACATACACTTTGCTCTCTAAAACTTTCTTGTCCTGAATAAGTTTGGGATTTACTACCATTAGTCATTCAGTTCCAATAATTGTTTACACACCTTATCTTCTTGATTTTTTTCTTAAATCATATATAACAATCTGGCAGAATTTTTTTTTGCTTAAAACTGCACCTAATTTTAGCTACTTCTGTTGAGGAAGGAGGTAGGTAGCATATTTATATCAGTAGAAAGCTAAATTCCAAAATTATAACAGAGATCGATAAGGGAGGGATAAAGAAGACATTCAACTGTTTAAGCCTCTGTCAGTTGTTCTTGCTGGTAAAATGAGGGGGCCCTTTCTTTCTCTAAGAACATTAATGAGGCTCTGGGTATCCAAGGGAGAACCAGGGCCACAGAGAATGGCTGCAAAACCTAGCAGCACAAAAATATGAAAGAAACTGAGTTTTCAGAGGTTGTCAAGAGTCAGAAAACAGGAGGAAAGAGGTAGGAAACCTAAGCGTAGGAGGACTGAGCAACATGAGGTGCAGCCGGAGCTTGAAGAGAACAGGAGCCCCCTGTGAGGTAGCTGGGACAGAGGGTTGTGAAGAATGAGGGATATCTGATGTCAAGTGGTTTTGTGTTCCATAATGTAATGCTTTCTCCATAGACTCAAACTTCAGTCAAGTTTGACATACATATAAATGTCTTATATGGATGGTCTGAGGGAAGGAAAAAAAGCTGAGTGCCACTTGTGGCTTAGCATGAAGCACGGGAAGTCGGCAGTGTGGGAGGAGAGCCCCTAGCACAATTGAGATTCCAGAGGCAGTGGACCCTGGGAGCTGTGAGGGACCAAGAGAACATGAGCCACAGGAATTCACAGGACTATTGGGGAAGCCATTGGGCTGCCCTCAGAAAGTCAGATGTGGGCTCAAGGCAAAGTTATTTAAAGCTCAGCAAGACAATGTGATCGTTATGGACATCTGAGTTAAACACTAAATTCCAGAAAGCCATGATGATGTATCTGCTATTGGTCAAGGAGACCTCAGTGATTCAACTTGCTAACTTTATGGAATTAAAGTAAAATCTCAATTCACAGATTGAGAGGTTCATGCTATCTCCAATACTGATACTCCACATTTTATAAGCATATCGCTTAATATGTATATTCTCAGAAATTAGTCTCAAAATATATACATGAAAATTGTCATGAGTAAAAAGAAAAAGTGACATATTGCATTCTTTACTAGGCCACAAACTATTACAATTTTTGGACTAGGACAGTTACTGTTTTGCTGCACACAACACTGTCCGTCTGTTCCCTTTTACTCTTTCAGCCAGTAATGTGTCAGACTGTGGCCGAGTTTTAGAGTCTTACTAACTTACCAGAGATTTTTCAAAATGCTGTAAAATAAATCCAACCTCAGTCAGCCAGTTAAGTACTTCAATATTTGCAATGGCACATAAAATTCTTTTTAGAGCACTGGGATATAATGGAAGTAGCTCTACAAAGAAAGTTTGGAGACCTCAGCAAGAGTCTAACTCTGCTTTTAGGACCTGAATGACCATGGATAAGTTTCTTGCCTTTCTGGGCCTCAGTTTCCCCATCTTAAAAAGAACAGAATAAGTACTTGGTTGTTTAAGGATCTGTGAGAAAAAGATAGCTGGTGTCCTAAACAAGCCGATTAATTACTCCAATAAAGTCTCCTTGTTTCTTCTGCTTCCAGGCACTCTCTCAGTTTACAAGTAGTCAGCCATCACTTTCGTAGCAGTTAAAGTGGAATCACTGGCTTGATTTTTCTACTTTTATTTAAACTCCATCCATTCATCATACCTAGATAAATATAAACCAAGCAAATACTAATTTCTAGGGATTCAAAATAAGAATAAAATATAACCTCTACTCTTGAGGAGCTTCCAACCTAGAGAGAAGATGCATCCATAAACAAAGTTCTCCAAGTTATATCAAAATTTCAAGAGAAGACAAGTGCAGTGGCTAAATTTTCCAGTGGAGGGAGGGCATCAAGAAAGGTTCCACAAAGGAAGAGCTATTCTAGTCGATCCTTTAGCAATGAGGAGGAACCAACTAGGTGGGTAGGGGGGAAGCACACGTGTGCAAAGGAACTGGAGTGAGCAAGCAGGTTGTATATTTGAATAGTGAGTAGTCCAGTGTTCATAGGCCATGAGGTACGTAGAAGGGAAGAAAAGTGAAATAAAGTTAGAAAAATGCTCTATTATGTCACTTTATGTCTCAGCTAATGGCAAAGGCTATTAGTTGTTTGTAAATATCCAGGATCCTTTTCTTTAATGAAGTAACTCCTGTGTTTTAGCTGAGTGTGTGGCCGCTTAGCTGAAGTATTTCTCGTTGGCCTTCCTGGCAGCTTGATGTGGCCTCGTGACTAAGGTTCAACCAAAAAGATTGTAAGTGATAAGTGCCACTTTCAGAATGTGCCCCCTAAAGAGCCTGATATGAGTTCCTCCAGCCCTGTCCCTTCCCACTAGGTGGGAGATGGAACCAACAGAAGCAGCCGCTTAAAACCTGGAGATAGCAGAGTTGCCCTACGAGCCCTGGACGACTCGCCTCTGAGTGTTATGTGAGAGATAAACATCTGTCCTATTTAAGCAACTGTATTTTAGGTATTTTTTTTTTACAGCACTGATATGATTACATTCTGGAATTTAGAATTTATTTGCTAAGCGATGGAAAACCACAGCAAGCAGAGAGGGAAATGACCTAATCAGACATGCATTATGGAAAGCAAGAATTGATGGGAAACGATGAAATGGAAAGACAGGAGTGGAAGGACCTATGCTACGAGGGGCTGCCTGCCCTATGCCACATACTATACTAAGCATTATTTTGCTAAGCATTGTCTCATTTAATCCTCATAACTTGTAAAGATGATATTATTACCATTTTACAGATGAGGAATCCCATGCTCAGACAGATTTGATAGAAATGCTCAGGGTCTCACAGCTGGTTGAGTGGCAAAGTTGGAATTCAAATCTAAGTTTGTCTGTCTCTAAAGCTAGTGTTCTCTCCTCTGCACCCAACTTCCCCCTAGATGAGAGATGACATGGGATGGAGGTGGAGTCAGTGGTAAATAGCAGCAAACGATATAAAATACATTTCAGAGGTGGAACTGATAGGAACCGTTGACTGACAGCCCTGGAAAATGAGGAGTTACCTACCTATTCACTTATTCATTTTCCAGGCATGAATCCGAGATTTTGTGGGGGGTGATGTTCTGTCACTGACCTATTTGGTTTTTTTCCAAGTCGGATTCAATATTGTATTTGTCTTGTTCTTTTCAAAGCTCAGTTTGTTTTCTCACTTTGAATGCCAAATGTGGTTCAAAGACCCTTGCAGTGGAAGTCTCCAAAGACTTCCTACCTCCCTCTGTTTTCATTAGGGTATCTCTCTTTCCTTTGCCACATCAAACACCTACCCTTTGGAGTTTGAAACAAAATCTATTGACAATATTCTTGTAAAGCTGGAAAACTGGTTATATTGCTCCCTGCTATCATTAGCGTGAAATCGTCTTTTGCTTGGACCAGAGGTCTGGTATAGAATGGTATTAAAAAATCTCTATTGCTCTTCAGAGCTTGCATGGAAGATGGTTTAATTGTGCTGTAACATGGAGATATAAAATTCTGGTCATTTTTCAGTGAAGAGCTCAATGAAACATCCAGAGGAAGAGTTTGAAAATCAAATTAACCTTCCATGACAGGTGTATTTGTGTTTCGAAACTCAACCTCCATACGTGATAATATCTTATTTTTATCTAGCAGTTCACAGATTTAAAAATAATTCCATATTTATTATGACATTTTACCCTCTTAATAACTCTAAGAAGCAGGCAAAATAAGAATATTATCTCCAGATACAGAAGAAGAAATAGGTTCAAGCAGTTAGGCGACTTGGCCATGGACTCTGTGGTATAAAGCCAATACAGGCAGGGCAGAAATATAATTCAGAAGCAAAATGCTTCTTCCTATTACAAACTCTGTGTAGATAATTTCATGAACTTCTAGAAAATTAACTCAACTCCTTTAGCACAGTCAAGTCCGGGGAGCCAGGCTTATGATTCCAGTTCTTATGAATGTCAGAGATGAGATAGTTGAGAAGTTGTAGGACACACTCATGGTGCAGCTGATTAAAAATACGAGCTCTTGCAATACTATGCAGCCATAAAAAAGAATGAAGTCATGTCCTTTGTAGGGACATGGATGGAGCTGGAAACCATCATTCTCAGCAAACTAACACAGGAACAGAAAACCAAACACTGCATGTTCTCACTCATAAGTGGGAGTTGAACAGTGAGAACACATGGACACAGAGAGGGCAACATCATACACCAGGGCGTGTTGGGGGGTGGGGGGGAAGGGGAGGGAGAACATTAGGACAAATACCTAATGTATGCAGGGCTTAAAACCTAGATGACGGGTTGATGGGTGCAGGAACCCACCATGGCACATATATACCCATGTAACAAACCTGTATGTTCTGCACATGTATCCCAGAACTTAACAAAAAAAGAGCTCTGCCATTATTTTCCCAAAATAGCATAGGTAAACCCACTCTAATTTTTTACATATGAGTAAATTGACCCCAAGAGTGAACTGCAGTGAACTGAAGAAGATGCCCATCAAATACACCAGAAGACCCTCTGCTTCTGACCCCACCTGTATTGCTGGGTTTCAGTGTCATTCACTCCACTCCTCTCCTCGGTGTCTTTCTCCTTGACCCCCTGTGTATTTCTCAATCTCCCTCTCTCTTATAAAATTCCATATAATTTTTCTCATAAGTGGAAATTATAATTTATAAAATTCATTATTAATTATTCCAGGTAAGAATGATTAATATTGCTGTTAAAATCAAAACTTTACAGGCATTAAAACTGTACCCAATAAAACTTATTAACTAAAAATTAGTGAAAATATAAAATATTCTTGAGAAAATTTAGTTAGGAAAAAACTGACTCAAAAAAACTGTACTTTGCAGAAATAATGGCCATAAGAGAAAAACTCATGATGACCAAAGCTATAATCATTTTTTAAGATATCAATGACAAAAATGAATACTGATATAAAATTTAAACGAAAAGAATTGATCCTGGTGAAAATAATTTTAGTAAAATAAAAATGGTAAGGGAAAAATATTAAAAACCATTAAATGCACTCTATAGAAAATTAATCAGGAAATTAAACTGGCCTAGAGGTTTTCACTCCAGAAAATACTTTGTTGAACCAAATAATTCAATGTTGGCATAATTCTGACTGAAATATTTATATTAAGAATTGTTCGGACATGCGCGGTGGCTCACTCCTGTAATCTCAGCATTTTGCGAGGCCAAGGAGGGCAGATTACCTGAGGTCAGGAGTTCAAGACCAGCATGGCCAACATGGCGAAACTCCGTCTCTACTAAAAGTAGAAAAATTAGCCAGGTGTGGTGGCGGGCACCTGTAATCCCAGCTACTCAGGAGGCTGAGGCAGGAGAATTGCTTGAACCGGGGAGGCGGAGGTTGCAGTGAGCCGAGATCACGCCATTGCACTCCAGCCTGGGTGACAAGAGCGAGACTGTGTCTCGACACTAAAAATCCTTTACCAAAGACTTCAGATATCTGAAAGTCTAAAAATTATTTCCTTAGCCAGGAAAATCTCTTCCTTGGACTGGAGTTTTCATCTCTTTCAGATGAAGATGTTGAGATAGATTATTTTTCCCTTATTTAATCAGATGATTAGCCAGATGTAGTTTATTGTGTTTCTATAATTATATGATGAGGTAGATAAGTATTAAATTCTTTAACAATTTTTAAAACTAACTTCCAAGTCATTGTAAATGGAAAGAGATCATGAAAGTCAGTCAGAAATAAACACAGGCAACATGTCATTTTTGGTCACATAATATGAAGACTTAGACAATTACTCATATAAATGACAGAGTTAAAGCAATGAAAACACTTTGTCACTCTGATAAATAACAAAAAAATTGATTTACTGTATAAACCAAGACAAAAATCTTCATTTTTCATTTTTGAAATTCTGCAAGATAGAATATGAGAGACACCCTTGAATCTATATGAATAATTGAGTCTGAGGTTTAAGTCCTCAAAATCTGATTTTTTTATGTCTTATGTTACTGGCCAGACAGAATATTTCAATATTGAAGTAGACACTTCATTCAGAGCAATCATAAGATAATAAAGCACATTATGGCAATATAAAAACAATCAACCAATGTAAAATTGAGTCAAGTAAATAATCAATAGGTTTATGAATTTATTTTGTCAAAATTTGTTTTCTCTAATTTTGTTATGTATATCTGATCTCACTTAAAACTTCAAACATTGTTTAAAATATTCCTGTTTGAAGGCATTTTCACTAATTACAATTTCCTGTTAAGGTGATTTTATGACCTACGGGTTGAACTTAAGATGCATCCTGACAGCCCATAGCAAAATATGCAGGGCACTCATTCAAAAGCCACTGTTGTGCAGCAAACCATCTGGCTAGAGAAGCCAACAAGATCTACTATGAAAGGATGGTGATCTTGGTTCAGATAGCTACTGGCTAGTCCTCCCATTCCCAGGCTAGAGGAACTATAGGTCCTCAAAAAGAAGTTAACATGCAGATGTGATCATTTTTGCTCATTTATCTATGTATATATTTGATTACATAAAACAAAGCATTCCAACAAAAACTTGGATTTCATTCAGAATCATTTGTCTCAGAGATCATCGAGGTTGTGTTCCTTGGCATATATAAATTATTACAGTCTTCAATTAATAACAATAATGTATATTAACATTTACTGACACACTCGCTGTTCTAAGCGCATACGTATTTAACCTGTACTAAAACCTTATGGGGTAGGTGCCATTATTATCTCCACTTTACAGATGAGGAATCTAGGGTTCAGAGAGGTCCTATAACTTGCTTAAAGTCACCTAGGAAATGTCAGATCTAGGATTTGAATATAAGTAGTGTGGTTCTAAAGCCTATGGAGTTCAGCCTCCCCAGAATAGTGTGGGTTTTGGGAAGAAAATGATTGCATACAGAAATTTAAATTTATTTTCTACAGCAACCAATTGAGAGCTTTAGACATACATTTTCTCTTTAATGTGGAAGGCAACTCCTTTGCAACTGTAAATCTAAAGGCCATAATTTCTTTGGCAAAATTATACTGTGTCCTAATATGGATTTTATTTTCTCATCTTAAAGTTTCCCTTTCTTTTTTGACTACAATAGCCATTTAGAATTCAGTGTACCTTAAGAATTCTAGGTTAATGTCCTTATCTTGTTTTTTTTCACCCCGTGTGTGGGTCACAGCTGCCTTATCTCTTTAACCTAACCACGGTGCTGTTATTTTTTCCATTTGCATTTTGGGAAGATCAAGTGAGAGGAGTGATGGAATAACACCAATATACTCAGTTATGTTTTCTTCATCCCTAACCTATCTCAACCCTTCTCAATTCTGGTAAGACTGTGAAAGTGACCATGTTCAGAAAGGCAATTGCGTAGTTTAAACCGCTGTGTTTAAATGAAAAGGTGAGAAGGAAGCTTAAATTTAAAATAACTTTGATTTCTGTTAACTTTCACTGGAAAACTATGCACTTGATCCCTAAAAATAAAATGGAATCGACTTTTGTTCGTTTATTTAATGGATATTTAAGAAGAGCCTGCTATCAGCCAGGCACTGTGCTAGGTGCGTGCAAGGGACACGAAGTGAAATAAGGCATGACAGACTGTCCTCAAGGAGGTCACAGGACAGCCAGGAGATTCGGACAGGAAGACAAACATGAGAATTAAAAATGCACAGGTGCCGTGATAGTAGGTTCAGTGAGGATGTGAAAGAGAAAGAATAAATTCTCCTTGGTGGTGGTCAGGAAAAGTTTCCTCAAAGGTACAATGCTTTGGTTAACTCTCAAAAGAAAAGTTTCAAGGCAGCCAGCCCAAGAACGGGGTAGAGGTAAGGGCATTCCAGGAAGAAGGTACAGAGGGACAAATATCTAGACCCAAAACCACAGGTCCCGTTCAGGGTTCTACAAGGCATTCAGATCATGTTCAGTGTTGTGAGGAAGAGGGAAGAGCTGGACAGGTAACCAAGCCCTGGAGGCCACACTTAAACAAGTTTGTACTTTCTGACGGGAGTGGGAAGCAATTTGGGATTTTAAGCAAGAGAGTGGAGAGTGCTAATATCAGATTTGTGTTTATGAATTATCACTCTGGTTGTAACTTGAACAGTAGAGGAAAAGACAGCCAGGTGGCTGATTAGGAGACTGTTTCGTTAGAGTGAAAGACGTTGAGCGTATACTAAGTCAATTGAGAGAGCTACAGTTGGCCTACCTGGCACCTTTATGGGATTTAGAAAAAGGCACCTCCCTCCTCACCTTGGACTGAGAAGTCCCATTGGCTTGAAGATGACCCTTACCTGCCTCAGCCAGGCTCCTTTGTGTGAGTACAAACTGCTTAGCACATGCAGCATGTCATGACCTTGGCAGATGGTGTGGGGGTGAAGAGGAATAAGGTTCACCTGACAGAACTGAATAGAATGTGGGAGATGCAGAAACGATGAGTCTAGAATGACTCCCAGATTTCTAATTTGGGTGAATGACAGTACTATTTACAAAGAAAGAAAATTTGATTACAAAAATTGATTTGAAAGAACAGAGAACTATGTCAAAATGAATGCTTTCAATGTACATGTGCTGGAAAAATCAAAACATATTTGTCTATCCAGAGAGGTCGCTTGATGATCAGCAGTGCCTAATTTTACTAGGATGTAGCTTTCTCTGTGCCCTGTACAGTTGCCCTGTGGCTCCAGAGAGTCTATCTGAGGCCTGCACCCCATCCCCTACTCCTTCAAACCTAGAGTTGCTTCTCTTTTCCCAGTCTCAGTGATGGGAATGTGGGGGACAAGTCCTCTCAGAGAGCCAAGTGCACATTCTGCTTTCCTGAGAGCTGACCTGGAATACTATGAGTAGAGTTTGGGGCTTACAAGCTCTGGGGCAAGATAGCATTTTTGTTTTGTTTTGTTTTTTGTTCCCCTGCCTCAGCCTCCTGAGTAGTTGGGATTACAGGCATGTGCCACCATGCCCAACTAATTTTTTTTGTATTTTTAGTAGAGACGGGGCTTCACCACGTTGGCCAGGCTGGTCTTGAACTCCTGACCTCAAGTGATCCGCCTGCCTCGGCCTCCCAAAATGCTGGGATTACTGGCATGAGCCACCACGCCTGGCCACAAGATGGCATTCTGAGGCTTTCCCTTGCATCCAACTGGGAAAGAGGAGAGGACCTATTCCTCTTCTGACAGAGCATAACCATATCAGAAATTACCAAGGAAATGATCAACCATATGAGGGCTGGGGACATGGACGATTTCTTTCAGGACCTCCAGGACTAGACACAGTGCCACGTAGAAGAGGAATCATTTATTATTGGTTGATAGAAGACTCCTGTCAATGTGATATCTTCCTTCAGATAGTATATCAGAAAGCCTAGGCTAGGCCATGCTGTGGTCACAAATAACCCCAAAACCTTAATAAATTAGAGCAACACAGGCTTGTTTCTCATGCATGGAACATGTCCCTTGCAAGTTGGTTGAGGCTCTCCCTTACCTCATCATTGTCCTCACTCCTGGATTCAGGCTAATGGAACAGCCACCATCTGGAACAGCCGCCATCTAGATCTGCATTGTCCAATATGGTGGTCCCTAGCCACATGTAGCCATTTACATTTTAATTAAAATTCAATAAAATTAAAAATTTAATTTTTCAGTTATCCTAGCCATATTGCAAGCGCTCAATGCCACATGTAGCCAATGGGTACTCTACTGGAAAATATAGATGGGGAATATTTCCACCATTACAGAAAGTTCTACTCAACATGCTGAGTTAGAGCATTGATGCTTTTGGGTTCTTGTACCAGCAATTAAATGTCATGTGGTCCCATCCAACCACTAGGGTCTAAAAAATACAATTCTTTCCTGTGCTCTGAAAACAGAGAGCTAGAGATATCTGGTAAGCAACATTAACAACTACCTGTTGAGGTAGAGAGAAAGAGACCCCAGAGTATGGTGCTTTGGCATGTTGAGTGTTTTGAATTTAAAGACCTCAGAAATAAGCCTTAGAACCAAGGTCTCTTTCTGATCTTTCCCTGCCTCCCTGTCTCTCCGATCCCCTTTCTTTCTGCAAGCAACCAGAAGGAGCTTTTTCTGAAGTTTCCTTATCTGATTAAGCAAAGTTTTCCCAGGAGAAATGCAATTGTCTTAAAACTCCCTCCCTAACAATCTCATTAAATAACCAGGAAAGATTGACCACCAGACAAAGGAAGAAACTTACAGTCTTCATCACACTCAGATAGACTTTTCATCTCTTCTTTTGTGGGCAGTTCTGAGAGACTACCTGGGAGATTTTATCTGCATAATAAAACAATCTTTGTTCACAGTCAAGTTCCAGCCCTGACCTTCCCACCATCTTCCCCAGAGCTCAGAGCTTTGTCCCAGATGATTATTCTTTAGGCTCACTCATTTCTCCTGAAAACCATTTACTACCCCCCCTAGGAAGAGGGTATATAAGCTTCAACCACCAGGCCTTTGAGTCTCATATTTTATACAGCTCCCGTGCTTATGAACAATAAATTTTCTATGCATTTTCTTCCCATTGATCTGTCTACTTTCAGTTCATTTCAATGAACATTTAGCGGGCAGAGGGGAAACTTGACCTTCATCCCTACATACCCATTCATGACTTCAAGAGTTCACCCTTCCCCTTACCTTTATTATAATCCAGGGTGTGAACAGGGAGAAAATAACTCATAATTTGGACATGTGAAAAACAGAAAAAAAAATTTAGTGTTTTGCTCCAAGATATCACAAAAAGTTGTGAACTCAGAATGTTCACTGGGCTCAACATCTGCATTATGCATCCTATCTTATCTTCAAAATGACCCTGTGTAGGTATGCTGTACTTTCCACCTTAAATATGGGGAAACTGAGGCTCAGAGTGGTTAAGTGACTTGACCAACAGAGGTCTACCTGATCTCAAAGCACTGGAGATGCTCTATATGGAGAAGGAAAATACTATTTCCCAGGTTTTTTAAGTTTTACTCTTCAGTTCCATGTTATCACTCAAATTCTAACTTCTAATTTTACAGAAAGGCCTTAAAGAAGCTGGGTAGGTATATTTGGCTTAGTTACAAAACTATTCATTTAAAAGCCTTTGTAGGCATGAACAACGATGAACACAGACAAGAAATGAGTCTATTTCATATGCTGAACTGTTTAGAAAACATATGTATGTACACATTTATGTTTATGAAACTGATCTGGGTGATTAAGCTCCTTGGAAACCCTGAAAATCTACGGAAGAAAATTTGTGCAAAGTGTTCAACTATGATGAAGAGACTATTAAGTATGTGGCATTCGTCTTGCTCTTTTGTTTTCTTGAAGTAGTCCTTCTACCAACTTTCCATCTTCTTAGATGCAAAACGAAACAAAACTTAGACTGTCAGTGCACAGTTCTTGCTCATTTGTTAGCACTGGAGCAGAAACATTGTTTTCCGTATAGAGTTGGGGAAACTGTGGCCCTGGCAGCAAGTCCTCCAGCCCTCTGAGTGCTGGCCATAAGCCTTTGACCTGCAACCCTTGTTTCATGAGTCCTGCTTGAGATGGGAGTGTGGGGGCCTGCTCCTGGTGGGCTGTTGATTGCATCCCGGAAGCCACATGGCCTAGGCCGTTTTCCCCTTTGATTGGCCAAATAAATCACATCATCTCACCTCAGTACTCTTCCTCTCTTTCCCTTTGCAGCATTCCTTGGCAGGGTAAACAGCACCATTTCAGCAATTTTAAAGGTGACTTCCAATAAAATATGTATGTAGATTTACTTCGGGGCTGGTAGCCTGGGCTGTAAATTTATACCAAGTCAACCATGGAAAGCCCTTCAATTAAAAAAGAAGAAAGAAAATACAAAAAAATAAAGTTTCCATCAGCATTTATCTTTGGATTTTAAAAAGTGAATGTATTTCTTTTCTCCTCTTTTTTAATGGAAAAGAAAAAAAGAAAACATCCATGAAGAGCAACTGACTGAAGCACTTCAACAGCCTGGTTCATAAACCTCTCTGGTAATGCCTGGAAATAAAGAGAAATCTTCAGTGTCACCAAAGATTGCTTCTCACCAACCCTGTGCTTTCAGCTGCAGACGTGCATGCCTGACAGCCTGTACCTCTGGAGTGCAACTGGAGCCATTGCCATTGGTTCCCCCTTGCTTATGAAAACAGAGGGATTAACAGACACTGAAAGAGAAACCCCACTGAGCCACCAGCATCAGTGGGCTTAAACGCTTTTTCCTACTGCCAGCCAGAATCCTTTCAAACCTCAGCACCCATCTCTTTTGAGGAAAACTGTCTTAACATCCCTGTAAATGGATAACCTTTGGCTTCTGCCAAACAAAGGCTGCAGATTGTTTCTATTTATTTGCCAAGAATTTATTGGAGTCCATAAAACAAATTTCTGTAGCTGGGGAAACTGTACACTTTTTGTTTGTTGTTATTGTTTTTAATCTAGGCTGCAATCCAAAAGTTTGCAGCATGAGTGAACTGTTGTGGTTTGCTTTCTAGTTTTATTTGGCCTAGAAAAAGAAAACAAATGGCAGTGCTTCGTGTAACATCATATATTAGAGGTTTCTAGTGCTTGGTATTTGCCTTATCATTTTCAAAACAGAATCTTAGAAAGGGGGAATGCTAAAACATGAAGTCCATGGTATATAAAGCAGTTCTTTACCAAGTAGTAAAAGCATTAATAAAATCAAATTTACCTTCATAACAACAGTGTACCTAGGTGAGTAGAAAATACATTTATCTCATTTTATGGATAGGTATACTGACTCAGTCTAGGACCCATCCCATTCTAAGGTCATTCACTGTAGAAACACAGAATCAGCTGGAGATAGACCAGTGCCTCTGTCACTGTCCCAGAGTTCTTACCCTCTGTGCTTGCTCCCTGCCTTGCAGAATATAAGAGATTCATTTAATTTTGAAGCATAACACTTCATGTGAAGGGCCCTATAAAAAAATGTGTGACAAGGCCCTACTAATTTTGTAATACTAAAATGTATCTCTGATGCCACTGAGTGTTGCATATTTATTAGAGCTTTTGTTCTGGTCCAAAATGGAAAATGGGAAACAGGATAAGAAAAATGGCACTAAGAACTCCATGATAGGCCATGCATACTTCTGTGGAATGGCATGTTCCTTTGAAGATTTGATTCATCTGGAAGCTATGACATGCATAAAGCCCAATTTCAACTGGATAAAGAAATAGACAATGGCATTCATCCGAGTTTTGTGGTGACTGGAAAGAAGTTTGGTAAAGTAACATAGCAACCATGTCCCTTCTTTCTTTTCATGCCCAGACTCTTCAAGTGAACTGACCCTATAATTCTTGGGAAATAATACACTTTGCAGAACATTGTAAGAAGGCACCATTGGAGGCAGACCAGATGCTGTGGACTGGGTCCCACTCAGTTCTGTCCTCACACCTGGTGCAGTGCTGGGCACATTCTGTGTGATCATGGGCATGTGGTGCCTGTGTTTGGCTTGTTGGGTGTAGAGATCAGTTGACCATGTCAGAAAAACTAACAGAACCATGGAGGATCATGAGCAAAGCCTTTTCTTTTCCTTGAATATAGCTTCAGGCTTTTTTTAAAAATTGTTTTAATTATTCTTCTCATGGCATCCCTTAAACTACCTAATCATGGAATTAGCCTGACAGTCGGATTGTAGCTCTAAGTTTGTATTTTCTGGTATTTGCACAAATATGTTAAGCATCTAAAAATATAACATTTCAACATGCCTTTTATAAGTAAGCAAATGCCCAGCACCTTTCTGACATCCCGACTGAGTCATCTATTACTCACTATGATGGGAAGGAAATCAGCGGCAGGCTATGTGATGAGAAACACTGTTGATGTGGTACCATATCACTGTCAGGTGTGCTCCCGTGTTCACCTAAAACCCTGCAGGTTCCTGGGATGCAGAAAGCTGGGAAGAATAGTAAGTTGATGAGTGGACAGGAATCTGCAAGACTTGTACATGTTTCAAAGAAGCACCAACTCTGTATATGCCAAGTATACTGTAAGTACCATAATGGGAGGAAATTCAACAATTTCAAGCTAACATTAAAGACCGCTTCTTTTTCTGAATACTTAGCTGAAGAAACTCAGGGCTTCTGAAGGACAGACAAGTTCTTCATAGCCACTAACAGTTTTTAATCTTTGCAATTCTGATATAACTCAAATATCTCCAACTCTTTATCTCACAGTATTCATTTGCATCTCCAGTGCCTACAGTAAAGCCAACTTGGAGTGAAACCATTGTGTTCCCCAATGAGGCTGCTAATCCTTTCATTTTCTAATAATATAACAACTATATATGCTTCTTTTTTTAAAGGCAGCTGAAGCAGAATGGGTGTGCATGTGTGTGTGGTTTTTTTGTTGTTGTTGTTTTTGTTCTTTGTTTTTTTTTTGAGACAGAGTTTCAGTCTTGTCACCCA
Organism: Homo sapiens; assembly: GCF_000001405.40. Taxonomy (NCBI): domain Eukaryota; kingdom Metazoa; phylum Chordata; class Mammalia; order Primates; family Hominidae; genus Homo; species Homo sapiens. The sequence continues at coordinate 159,621,710 of NC_000003.12, forward strand.
GGTTGGAGTACAATGGTATGATCTCGTCCCACTGCAATCTCCGCCTCCTGGCTTCAAGTGTTTCTCCTGCCTCAGCCTCCCTAGTAGCTTGGATTACAGGTGCCCATCATCATGCCTGGCTAATTTTTGTATTGTTAGTAGAGACGGGGTTTCACCAGGTTGGCCAGGCTGATCTCAAACTTCTGACCTTAGGTGATCTGCCTGCCTCGGCCTCCCAAAGTGCTGGGATTACAGGCGTGAGCCACTGTGCTCAGCCCTGCATGTATGTTTTAATAAGGCATCTGTCTCCAAGCCACAAGGCCCCTGGCAAAACCTCTAACCCTTTCCCTTCAACACAGCGGCATCCCTTTTTATCACAGAAGTGAAGGTGTAAATAGTTCCAGAGATTCACAAGGCAATTCCAAAGCAGCTCTGTTTTCAGTCAGGCTTCCCAGAACCTACTTTGCTTCAGGCTTGAACCTAGCAAGCTGACATCATGTTTCCTAAGCAGGCAAGGTGCCACCAGAACACACAGGCAGGGGCACAGCTGACCAGAAACGAATGGGGCCATGTGAGGTGCAAGTCCAAGACAGCAATGTCAACACATCTGACTGCCAGGAATAGTTACACTCTGGGTTAAAGGGCTCTTCCAATTTCAACTAAGATAATTATATAAACAAATAGCATCTGTAGGCATAAAAGATACATGATCTGAAAAGAAATGCTATTTGTTTCTGATGAATTTTCCCAGAAGCTGAACATAGCTTTATTTCATGGAGTAATATACTAGGTTTACAGTATCACTAGAGTTCTTTTTATCTCAAGATCGTAAGGACCTTTGCAATTTCATTAATCCTTACAAGTGAATGCTCAAAAATATTGGCCTCTATACAAATGTTCCCCTTAATAATACAAATTACAATAATCTTTTGTAAAGAAATAATTTACAGCCGGGCATGGTGGCTCACACCTGTAATCCCAGCACTTTGGGAGGCCGAGGCGGGTGGATCACGAGGTCAGGAGATCGAGCCCATCCTGGCTCACACAGTGAAACCCCGTCTCTACTAAAAATACAAAAAAATTAGCCGGGCATGATGGTGGGCCCAGTAGTCCTAGCTACTAGGCAGGCAGAGGCAGGAGAATGGCATAAACCCGGGAGGCGGAGCTTGCAGTGAGCAGAGATTGTGCCACTGCACTCCAGCCTGGGAGACAGAGTAAGACTCTGTCTCAAAAAAATAAAAAGAAAATAATTTACATGGAGGAAACATATGTGCATAGATAGGTGTGCATACACAAATATATATATTCAAAAATGTTTGTTGTAGTGTCATCTGCAGGATTGGCAACAGACTGAATACCTTCCATTAGAAAAACATTGATTGAACCATAGTTAATTCTCTTAAATGAATGATCCTCAGGCAACAGAAATAGACTTACAAGCTTAATAGACTTGAAAATGCTCATCAAGTAGGCATAAGTGTTTTAAAAAGTAAACTGCAAAATTGTATTTATACTATAGATATAATTGTGGAAAAAATAAATGTATATAGACAAGACCTGAAAGGAAATATTTTTAAAGTGGGGAGAAAATTTTTCATAGGAATGGGAAACTTGAGAAGTATATACCTCTTCTGTGTGTTTAAAGTTGTTATAATGTTGTTTGAATAACAAGAAAAGTAATAAACAGTTTTACTTGGGAGGCTGAGGGAGGCGGATCACCTGAGGTTAGGAGTTCGAGACCAGCTTGGTCAACATGGTGAAACCACGTCTCTACTAAAAACACAAAAATTAGCCGGGCATGGTGGCGCATGCCTGTAATCCCAGCTACCAAGGAGGCTGAGGCAAGAGAATTGCTTGAACCTGGGAGGCAGAGGTTGCAGTGAGCTGAGATCGTGCCACTGCACTCCAACCTGGGTGACAGAGTGAGACTCCATCTCTAAATAAATAAATAAACAAAGAGTTTTCCACTTTACATGGAAACTGCTTCTTACATTACCTTTAGTAGGAAAAGTAAATGTTCAGGTGCAGGCTGTAGGGTACTTGTATAAAATTTGGAAGATTTTGGGTAAAAGAATCCTGCAGAGAGAATGTAGTGTACCCCATAAAACCCTAGGATCACATTTAAGCTCTGCCTTAATTTAAAAAGAATCTCTATTTTGCCCATACCCCACGTTTTCTTTCTCTCACAAAAGTAGACAACTTGGGAATGCTAAGTCCATGATAAAAGGTGTTCCCTACTCCCACTGCCTTCCACCTGAGTCTAAGCCTCTTGATTATAGGAGGGACAAGATTCTCCTACAAGGCAGAAATCTGATGTTTCCAAGTTAATGTATAACTAGTCAATCAAAGAACAAATTGTTACTATTTCATATGGCAAAGGTATCTTGTGAAATATGTATAGTGCAAAATTAAAAAAATATATAATGGTTACTCTTTATTGGCCCAGGAATTGTGCTAAGCATTAGCACAATTAGATATGCATTATCACATTTGATCCTCACAGCAACCCTCTAAAATATGTTCCATTAATAGTTCCATATTCCAGATCAAGAACATGAGATTTGAAAATAAATTCACTGTTAAATGGAATCAAAGTAACCTGTGACGCCAAGACCATACTTTAATAGACCTGTACTCTCCAGCTTTCCAAGTACTCATCCAGGTACTTCTAACATTTTTACATTAAAGTCTATCAGGCTTCCTCTGGACAACTCAGTGATTGCCTTTAACGGGCAAAGGTATAATATTCTCCCAGCATGGAGGTGATCTGTGTCCAGGACAGACAAATCCTAGAGGTGGAGAAATGCAGGGTAATTAGGGAGAAACCATGCAGAGAACAAGAAGCTAGAAGATGGAATAATAACTGGGCCTAGAGGTGTGTGTTTTACCCAAAATTCATGGATTATCGACTCACCCACTTAACGAGTGACACCTAAGGCCGTGGAGATTGGGGGTGGAAGGCAGATAGGCATCTACTTGGCTGGAGATTGAAAGGGCAGCTACAAATAATAGCTAAATTTGGGCTAAGGAAGCAATCTTGAGCTAAGCTAATAAGAACCACCATGACCCAGAGATCCAGGGCCCCAAGGAAGAACTAGAAGAGCCTTCCAACGAAAAGGTTGTGAGTCACAGCACCTGAGGGACTTGTTTGGGATTTTTGGCTTTGGCAATCTCCCTGGATAGCCTGAGCCTAAACTTGTAGCTTCCCTTGTGTGCAAGGTTTATACCCTCTAAAACCCTCACACTGAGATGAAAGTTTGCAATGCACTTGAACCAGCATTATATATTGAATTTTGGAATAAAAGGAGCCACTACAGGAAAGGAAGAGGCAGTTAGAGAAAACAAGAACATGAGAACAGTGGTCTTTTGAGGAAAAGCAACAAACAACAGACTTAAGACAACTCAATCACCTTTGCCTTGGGTCTGTGGAACCAGGGGTCTGTGCAGCGCAGTGTGCTGATAAAACCTTGGCCCTTGGAGCTAGAGAAACCAGGTCCACCTCCTAAATCTCCCACTTCCTAACCCTATGGCCTCACTTTGAATCTCTGAATCTGCATTTCCTCATCTGTAAAATAATACCAATCACACCTGCCTCCTAGGGGTTTTGGGAGGCATAAATGGCATAAAGCTTGTGAAACAGCCCACACATAATAAGTGTTCAGCTACTTAAGTCCTGTTTCTCTCTTTTGGTCTGAGAGTCACCCTTATTAACCAGGAAGCTTATGGGGACCAGTTCGAATAGCATTACATTTCAAATACGTACCTCAAGAGCCCAAAGTAACAGCATTGTTCTGTCCTCTTTCTCAAAGAATATTAAAATGATTAAAATACTAAATCTTTTTTCTCTTCTCTTTATTTCCCTCCTACCTAATGTTGCACTAAATTTTTCTAGCGAGTTTGCTTCACGTTAGTAGTTTGCAATCAGCCGTAGTTGGAATTCTTACACCATGGAACTGGGCAAAGGCTACAAATGGGCTCTTTTTTGTTTCCAGAAAGCTGGTTTGTCTGCACACCACTGTTCCAACCCACAGCTTCTCCAAAGCCTTTCTCCTTAACTCCCAACTTATCCCCACCCACCTGCCTCTAGAGTAAACTCATCCTTCACACTCAAGCTTCACGGCTTCCCTCCCTTCTGTATTACCCTCCCTATGTCTCAGCAAGTTAATACGTAGATCAACTGTGCTTCTCCCTACATGTAGAGGACAGAGAAGAACCCAGCTAGCAAATACAGGGCTGTCTGGTGGAATAGGAAAAAGATGCTGTTAAACCAATACTGGGTCAACAGCAGCTTTCCCCTCAGGAGGATTTGACATGAACAGCGATGGTAGTTGCTCTATACTAAACTTGTGGCACCTTCTAAAACTAAGACTGAAGGCTTCCCCACTCTAGAGTGCAGCTTATATAGATAGATAGATAGATAGATAGATAGATAGATAGATAGATAGATAGATATATCTAGATATATATATATATCTAGATATATCTATCTATCTAGATAGATAGATAGATAGATAGATAGATATATCTAGATATATATATATCTAGATATATCTATCTATCTATATAGATAGATAGATAGATAGATAGATAGATAGATAGATAGATAGATAGATTTTTTTTTACCTTAACCAAAGAACAAAAGAAAAGGAAGCAAGTTATTTACTTTGGGAATGAGGGCTTGTGGAGTCTATCTTCCTTCACCTCAGGGGCTATATCACTTACAGCCACTGTCTCAGATGGTACCTGGAGTCCTTCCTGCCCATGTTTCTTGAAGGATCTAATCAGACATGATGTCACCAGTTTCTATACTAGTGGCTCTCTATCAGTGGTCCAACAAGGGTCGTCTGGGGCATGAATGACCCATTATATTATATAATGTGATAGTAAACTCAAGAGGTTAAAAAATTTATCCACCAAACAAAGCTTAGCAAACATAACAGTTTGCCTGGTGTAGATAGTAGTTTGCTTTTTCACATTCAGGCCAGACTAACAAGACCATTCAGTTGTGAGAAGTATCCTTCTCATGTGAGGATTCTACAGGCTGTTGTGTGGTTTGTTGTCCCCTGATGCAGTCCCTGAAGAAGCTGGTCTCCTAGATTGCATTCCTGTCCTCCCTTTTGTACATGCATTGGGATTGGCAAGTGTCCTAGACAAAACAGTATTATATTGCCAGTCAGCTGCCATTTGACTGAGGCTTTTAAGTTCTGGGATACAAGTGCAGAATGTGCAGGTTTTTTACATAGCTATACATGTGCCATGGTGGTTTGCTGCAGCTATCAACCCATCATCTAGGTTTTAAACCCCACGTGCATTAGGTATTTGTTCTAATGCTCTCCCTCCCTTTGCCCCCACCCCGACGGGCCCCGGTGTGTGTTGTTCCACTCCCTGTGTCCATGTGTTCTCATTGTTCAACTCCCACTTATGCATGAGAACATGCACTGTTTGGTTTTCTGTTCCTGTGTTAGTTTGCTGAGAATGATGGTTTTCAGCTTCATCCATGTCCCCGCAAAGACTGTGGCATTTTTGTAATTATTAGTGAAATTATAGACCATGGACTTCTCCACGCCACTATGGTAGCAGAGAATCTTCTAAGTTATCCGTAAAAGATTTATTTAAATATTTTATTTTCTCTCAAACTGCATGGTGAGGCAAATATATTTTATCCACAGGAATGGCCCCAGGCAGAGAAAAGACAGGAAAACAACATTTACTTGGCACTGGCTGTCTGCCAGACACTATTCTCAGCAAATTACCTCATTTAATCCTCACCCTATGAGGGAAGTACTATTATAATTCCCATTTTACAGATACACAAATGAAGAATCAAAGATGTAAAATAATTGCCCAAGAGCTAGAAATTGGTTAGAAACTGGTTGAGCCAGGATTTGCACCTAAGTCTATCTGGCATATTCTTCCCAGTAAGTTGTGCTATGTTGCTTATCTGGGAGTTCATCGCCTAGTGAGATGGCCTAGCCAGGTTGAGCCTATGATGAAGAAAAATATTCATCTGAAGAACAACTTGATAGGCTGAATCAAATTATTTTTAAAATCTACTGGAGGGTTTCTGAGGCTGCCAGGACTTGGAGGCCAAGATCCCGAAGAGAAGAGAAATTTATTGAGGCAATGTCAATATTGTGTGCTTTGCAATGCTTGTAAAAGTGTTTGCTGACTCTTACGTGGTTTTGGACGGAAGGCAGCTGCTGAAAGGTAGATAAAACCCATAGAGCTTTCCATAACCTCATTTGGCTGGAGGAAAGGGTTGGGCTTACTAAAGCAGTCAGAACTTTGGGAACCAAGATCCTAAGAAATAAATTAATGCAGAAAAGTGAACCCATCATTTTAACCAAGTTTTCATCTCAGGACATTTGCTAATTCTTAAGTTTTGAAGAGCAAGAGGCTAAGAAGCCAAAGTAACTGAGGAGTGGAGTTTTTAGCAGTCTTGTAGAGCTGTGAGATCAAAGTTGGAGTTCAAGGCTCACCAAAGAGGAGAAGACCTCTAAGCACTCAGGGACTTACACTAGAGACCTACACTCAAGAAATGTAGGTGAACAGAAGAAGAAACAACTTACAAAGCTTGGAACGAGCTGTGAGGGTTAGGGTCGAATTGTGGAGGTTTGCTCCTGTCTGACAGAATATATTTGGGAAAATAGTTAACATCATCCAGAGCATCTTCAATACTTCATGCACAGTGTCTGACATTCATCTAAAGTTACCATGCATGCCAAGAACTAGGACCAAGAGAAGAAGAAAAACAGAAAATGGAAGCTGACGTACAAGTGATGCAGATATTGGATTTTTCAGACATACTTTAAAATAACTATGATTATTAGGTTCAAGAAAATGCAAAACAAGATATAGAATTTCACCAAAGACCTGGAATCTGTAAGAAAGAATTACACAAACATTCTAGAAATGGAAAAAAATACAAGAATTGAAAGTAAAAGATGTATGAGAACCCAAAGGTATACCTGTTTATTTAAACCCAGAATTTAGGAAAAGCCAACAATACATGTAGACACATAGCTATTAACAGGCATTTTCTATGTGTAAAACAAGGTCAATAAAACAATATAAAAAATAACAAAACACAAAATGACCTTTATAGCATGGCCATAAAATCTGAAATATTAAAGATATCAAAGCAGCACCTGATTATGTTTTAAAGATTTTTTATGTGTAAAAATTTACTAAAAATACAACATAAAATCATAAAAACATACAGTTGGTGGAGAATAGACAAAGCCCACTCTTTAAGAAAAATTGTCTCTATAAAATACACAAAAGATGAGGTAAAAAAAGTGAATCTTCCTTTATTTAGACATTATCCTAAAAATAATAGATGATAAACTCAAAAGAGTACATTCTATCAATTATACATGCTGAAAATACGGTAATGATAATGCATAATATATTCTGTATCTGTAACTCATCAAGTTACTTGAAGTTAAACAAAAACACACACACACACACACACAACTTGATTACATTATTCTCTTAAGAAGACATTGAGACCCCAGGAGGTCCAGGCTGCAGTGACCTGTGATCAAGCCACTGCACTCCACTCTGGGTAACAGAAAGAGACCCTGTCTAAAAAAAGAAAAAAGAAAAAGAAAAACAAAAACAAAACACTGAATTTTCTTTTTCTGGCTAAGTCTTCTCCATTTGCTTATTTCAGAAATTTGCTTTTCCAAAGATGAGTTCACCCTGTCCCATTTTGGTACAAAACCTTTCATTTTATCTTTGAGCTTCTGAATTAACACTTTATTCCTACCAAATCTTATTGTTCAGGGATCAGGCAGTTAGTTTAAAGGATGAATCATGCCTATCAACAGGCCTGGCAGTTGCAGTCAACAGCAAATTGTGATTTCCAGAATGAAAGTGACTTGTTGCAGGACAACACTTACCAGCATGTGACCTGGGGCAAGTCACAGCCTCCCTGAGCCTCTGCATCTGTAAAGTGGGCTCAATTCCACCTCCTTCACAAGGCTGTTGTAGAGATTAAACAAAATAGACCATGTGAAAGCCCTGGGCCTCATTTATGTTTATAAACAAATCCTGTATTTTTAAAAACAAATTTCCACATTTCCTTCACTCAACACACATTTATTAAATATCTGCTGTGTTCCAGAATCCTTGACAGGCACTGAGAATACAAAGACCAATAAGGCATGCACTCTGCAGTCAAGGACCTCACAGCCCAGGAGGGAGGACAGACAAGTAAATAAAGTATTGCAAGACACTATTATAAGTGGCGGAACAAAGCAGGAACTTATCAACTCTGTTCTAAAAGTCAGGGAAGGCTGGGATTATGAGGGGTAAGAAGGAAATAAGGCAGATGAAGGAAATTGGAAAGACAGTGGCAGCCAAAGAGAATGTACAAAGCCCCAGAAGCATGAAAGAGCATTACACATTTATGAAACTGTAAAGTTTCAATTTCCCCTTTACTAAAATATGAGATGCACATTGGGAATACATAAAATGAAGCAGAGACATAATCTTGATCACTGACCTTCAGGGGCTCAATCTGATGAAAGAAAAACACACATATGATTAATCTCAATGGTTATGCGGAAAATTAAGAAAAAATTCCACACTGTATGACCTCATCTACAGAATTTTTTTTAAAACTATGTAAAAAAGTGACTAGAAACAAAAGAGAAACAATCCAATTTTTAAATGGGCAAAGATGTTTATAGCAGCACAATTCACAATAGCAAAACTATGGAACCAGCCCAAATGCCCATCAACCAACGAGTATATGTGGATAAAGAAAATGTGGTATATATATATACACCATGGAATACTACTCAGCCATAAAAAGGAACTAAATAATGGCATTTGCAGCAACCTGGATGGAATTGGAGACCCTTATTCTAAATGAAGTAACTCAGGAATGGAAAACCAAACATCATACGTTCTCACTCGTAAGTGGAGCTAAGCTATGAGGACACAAACATTCTCGCTCATAAGTGGAGCTAAGCTATGAGGACACAAAGGTATAAGAATGATACATTGGACTTTGGGGACTACAGGAAAAGGGAGGGAGGTGAGGGATAAAAGACTACAAATTAGGTACGGTGTACACTGCTTGGGCGATGGGTGCACCAAAATCTCAGAAATCGCCACTAAAGAACTTATTCATGTAACCAAACACCACCTGTTCCCCAAAAGCCTATTGAAATAAAAGAAATTGGATAAAATCTTAAAAAATAATAGTGTTAAAATTAGATGTGGTATTCAAACCTCCTGATTTGGGTAGTGGTGCATTTTCACCCAAAGTTGAATTACAAGGAAAGTACCAAAAAAAAAGTTAAAACGTGGGCAAAGAATTTGAAAAGATATCTATCCAAAGAAAACATACAAAGGAGAAATAAGTACATGAAAAGGTGCTGAACATCATTAGTAATTAGGGAAATGCAAATAAAAACCACAGTAAGATACTACTTAACACATGCTAGGATGGCTATTACTAAAACTTAAAAAAAAAAACCCAGAAAATAACAAGTGTTGGCAACAATATGGAGATATCAAAACCCTCATGCATTGCAGCTGGGAATGTAAAATGGTGTGACTACTGTGGAAAACAGTTTGATGGTTTCTCAAAAATTTAAACATAGAATTACTATATGGACCCATAATTCCATTTCTAAGTATATACTCAAAAGAATTTAAAACAGGAACTCTAACAGACACTTGAAGACCAATGTTCATAGTGGCATGAGTCACAATAGCCAAAAGGTAGAAACAAGTGTTGACCAGCCAATGAACAAAGTAAATACATACAATAAAATATTATTCAAGGATAAAAAGGAATTAAGTTATGACACACGCTACCCTGTCAATAAACTTTGAAAATATTATGCTAAGTGAAATAAGGCAGAAACAAAAGGCCAACATTGTATGGTTCCACTAATAGGAGCTATTTTGTGTAGGCAAATCGACAGAGACAGAAATTAGAATAGAGGTTACCAGGGGCTGGAGGGAATGGGGAATAGGGAGTTATCGCTTAATAGTTACAGAATTTCTGGTTGAGATAATGAAACACTCTAGATAGTTGTGATGGTTATACAAGATTATGAATGTATTTCGTGCCACTGAATTTTACACTTAAACATGGTTAAAATAGTAAATTTTATATTTTACCACAAAAAAATTTTTTTAATAAGCAGTGGAAAAAAATGGAACATCTCTAAATATTAACAATGGTTTCTCTGTGTGATATGCACCCCCCACCTCATCTCTTACTTTCTCCACTTATTTGTATTCTTTTTTCCTTAATGAATATGTATTCTATGTTTTTAAAAACTCTAAATTTTACTTTTCAAAAAGAAAGAAAACAAAAAAAAATATGGTAAGATTTTTTAAATCTATGTTTTAGCTATGTATGAAGTCCCTTGGGAATGGAGAGGCCATCATCTAGATTGTACTAGGGCTGGCAACAACCTTGCAACCAGCTCGTTTGAGGACTAGAAAAATGTGGCTATGTGTCGTCTTGCCCTAGAAAACCTCTTGGAGGAGATGTAGCCTGAATCCGGATTATTGTGAGCCTTCTGCAAAGCTTTAGCTCTGCGCTGCAGCCCCATGTAGGCCAAGACGTCTACAGGCGCCAACTTCAAAGAGACACTTCTCCCTTGGAATGCAGCTGCCCAGCTGGCCTGAAGGACTCTGCAGAGATTAGAAGAGTCAGATAACAACTTTCCACTGAATAGGAGGTGGGATGCAAACATCAGCTAGTTTCTTCCTGGGACTCCCTCTCCCTCAGGGCGAGGCCTTTGGCTGTGTAGGACCAAACATCAGGCACCAAGGCTTTTCCCATTTTGGGGAAAGGAGGGAAGCTAATTTTGTTGTATTAGCAACTGGCTTCTGGACCTTGCTCTCCTTCCCTTTGTCAGAGAGAAAGCACAAATGATATTGTAGCCATGTATCTCAAACTTGGAACAAATAGTTTTAGAACTGGGCCCTGCCATGGAATTGGATCATCAAGCAAAGACCTAGAGCACTGCTAGTTTGCTCAGGGTTTTGTCTTGAGCTGGTCTGACTGAAGGGCAACTGAACTGCCAGGGGAGGACGGACTATGATGAGCTCCCAGGAAATCTGTCCCTGATGTTGATGATACTCAGGATATTTCAAAAGAAGATAGGTTTAAACCACAAGGTGGGGAGATGTGGACCCCTAGCTTGAAAGCTCCTTAACTGTTAAGGGGCACATGTGGGAGACTTCTAAATAAGGTGCTGAAGATGAAAGTTGCCTTTTCTTCTAGGGTTGTATCAGAAGGTTGACTCTAGATTTAGTTCAGTTATAGCCCCAGGGAATAAGCACCAACAGTGAAAACCTTCTCCTAGGTCTGAGAAAACTTATGGCCACACCCTTGAAAACTCAGACCACACCCTGAAATTCCACACCTTGGAATTTCATTCTTTTGCTTTTAAACTCTGCAGTCTCATAATTTCAGAATTGAACTAAGGGTTGGGACACAGATTTTTAACACAAAATCTTCATTTTCCCTGTGTTTTTCTCCTTTGAGATATCACACTTTCTACTGCAGGTATCTATATACATATAATAAACCTTGAATTTATTCTGTAAGGAAGCTCATCCCACAAGGGACAACAGAAAAGCCAGAGGGTGACATGTATTAAAGATGTAATATGTAAAAATGTGGCAGACCTGAAAAGCACACGTCTCCAAATTGAAAGGTACCACCAATGCCCGGCACAATAAATGGAGGTGGGAGAGAGAGAAAGGGCCCCACCCACAGGGCACACCATCTCAGTGAAATTGCAGAACATTGGGAGTAAAGAAAAAGTCCTAACAGCTTTCAGAGAAGAAAAGTAAATCACATACAAAATTCAAAAATTAAAATGACATCAGACTCTTCAATAGCAACACTGGAAGCATGAAAAGAATGGAGTAGTTCCCTGGGAATTCAGAGGGAAGTAATTTTAATATGAAATTTTCTACCAGACGTATCAAAACTCAAGTGCACAAGCAAGAAGAAATATATTTTTCCATATATATGGCTCAAGAAATATATATCCTATACACTCTTAATTAGGAAGTACATTGAGAATTCATTTTTAGCAAAACAAGAAAATAAACCAAAAAAAGAGTTTCCACTAAAGAAAGGTTAGAACAATCAGATATCTGATGTGATGAAATATTTGGAAAATATTAGTGATAGGCATTAGAGGGTTTTTTGAAATATTTGGAGTGGGGAAAATACATACATGGACCTACGCATAACAGTAAAAAAAGCAATAATTAACTCAAAAAAACCTGTAATCTTAGAACACTAGTCAACTTAGTAGTAATATTTAGCGACAAAAACAAAGACTGACTATAGATTTAACCAAAGATTGTGACATATGAAGGGATGGGATATGGGGAAGTTTGGAGGATTTGTTTTTCAAGGATTTTAGGGGGTAAATTAGAGAGCTTAGTAACAGAAAATAAAGAGATTATGTTTAAAATGTGTTACATAAGCAATAGTAATATTAAGATGCTAGTTAGAAATGCAGAGAGAGTGTATATTTTAAAAGAAAAAGTCATTAAGAGTTGCAATGGATTGCCTCTGGGAGGTAGAAATGAAGAATGGAAGAGGGTTAGTTTACTTTTAGTAATGTTTCATACCGTAAAAATAAGAAAAAAAGAAATAAACTATGTAAGTGTATTACTTTGGTTAACAAATATTTATTTTTAAACCAGTGTATCAGATTTCATCAAAATCTGTAAGAATTCAAGTTTTTCCAGCCAGAATAAACAAATAGGAAATGCTGAACAGTTAGAGGCCCACCTCTCAGTTTAGTCGTTGGTTTCACAAAGGCAAAGAAACCAAATTTATCTTCCTTTTGTTATGACTTCCACACTGATTTTGACAAATTTCCCTTAGTGCCTGTGCTCCACTGCAAATTACTTATTTTTCTGAGTCACTCTTGTCTAGACCACAAAAGCAGCCCCTGCACTGTGTGTGGCTGATGGGAATTGCAGGTTGTTCTCAGATTTGTTTGTACAGCACTTCTTCCCTTGCCCAAAGTATACATTATATGTGAATGAGGCTCGTCACAGCTCTGCATAATTACCGCATTTGGAGCCATTCTTCTCTTCAGAAGTTTTCCCCCCCTTTTCCTTTTGATTTCTTATATTTTGCAGCAACTGTCATCATTATTTTGATGCCATGGCTTAATAGCGCCTTCAAATGCAAATTTGACAACACAAGCTGAAAATCATGGGTGGCAAACAAAGCAACTAAACTTCCATGCCTGTGTTTTTTGAGAGCTCCACCTGATCTGTAAATGCACACGTTTTAGTAGCCAGCCCTGCTTACAACCTTCGTCTTTGTATTATAAGAAGAACCAGAATTTTCTGAAGATATTCTGCAAATCTAGGCTGTAAAATGGAGTTTCAATTCCTCTTACTCTGCTTTTTACAATTCTAACTTTGCAGATAGTTGAAATCCATCTGGAGGCTGTTTCCCAATGAACCTGTTCTCTTTGTATCATTTATCTATGAGTGATAAGTCAAATATTTCACAACCACAACTGCCCAGGCATTAGCCAAGCAAGCAGAGGAGCAGTCGGGCAGGAGCTCCTAGCCAGCACAAGCCTTCTACTTTTAGTTGCTGGACCATGGGAGAGGTGGTAGGGATGGGGGGTCTCTAGTCAGGGACTCGAGGGGCAACGATGGTGCTTGGGAGGCCAGAAGAGTAGCTGTACCTAATTGACATGGAAGTATTTTAGTGTTTTGACCACCCATAGAGCAGTATCTATGCATAGTGAAATACCATTCCTGTGGGATTCCCATCCTGCCTGTAATATAATTATAATATAGCTTCTTCTTCCTTCTGGTTTGTAAGTTTCTTGAGGGGATATTGAGACTCAGGTTCTTCTGTGTGACACCATGTTTCCTCTGGATGAGTATATGAATGAGAAAATGAATGATGAATGACAAATTATTTCTCCTCCTTTGTGAGTCTAGCTTCCTTACTCTCATTTGAAAACATTTAAATGTTTCAGCTTACTCTCATTTCAACATTTCAGCTTACTCTCATTTGAAAGCTTTTCATTTGAAAACATACCGAAACTTAGGTAAAGAAGGACATTTCATAATCACAAATGCAGTTCTTTGTGAGGACAAGAGATTTAGAAATAAACATTCAGGAATCAAACTATGCTCTTTTCTTGATAAAAGTTATCATTGTCTTAATAGATATTTGGGAGAAAGAGGAAAGTATACGCCTTGTACTTTGTTAGTTTTGTAGGCAGGTGTGGAATGCAATGGAAAAGATCTCATGCTAACCATTTTTCTTTTGAAAAAAAATGGAGATTTTATTGGCAGTGTTTTAATTTTGCAATATTTTATTATTTTATTTTATTATTTTGGAGACAGAGTCCTGCTCTGCTGCCCAGGCTGGAGTGCAGTGGCACAATCTCAGCTCACTGCAGCCTTTGCCTTTTGGGTTCAAGTGATTCTCCTGCCTAGCCCCCAGAGTAGCTGGGACAACAGGCATGTGCCACCATGCCCGGCTAATTTTTGTAGTTTTAGTAGAGACGGGGTTTCACCATGTTGGCCAGGCTGGTCTTGAACTCCTGGCCTGAAGTGATCCACCTGCCTCGGCCTCCCAAAGTGCTGGGATTACAGGCATGAGCCACCGCACCCAGCCTAATTTTGCAATATTTTACATTTAAATTAATACAAGAGAATCAAACCATAAGCACCACACTGGTAACTCTGTTTTCTCTGCTGAAGCTAATTGAAGAACAGAGAGGGAGAGAAATCCATAAATTGTAAGGAAGAAATTAGACTTTTTTAAAAAATCAATTTCAGGACCTAAAAGTTATCAAGCTATAAGGATAAGGAATTGTAAAGGAATGTGATTTTTATCTAGGTCATAAAATTTACCGCTGTTTTCCTTTCTTAATTTAAATGTAGAAGTGATAGGCATCTACAATGTGCCAACCCAGCAGGATCTGAAACATGAATTCATCATAGGTTAAAACATTTATTTTTCATCCAGAGGGAAATTGGCATGAAATAAATTTATCAAGGGACTACACGTTTAAAGCATGCATTGCATGACTGCCTAGGACAAAAAGAGAATTCTAGTATATTAAAGTAATAATTCCTCTTGAACTATAGCTATTAATGTAAGATGATAGAAATAGACCAAAATAAACAATTTTCAAAGAAGAGACTGAGGCCAAAGTATCATCTTGCCTCTCCAATACTTTATTAGTTGTAGTTTGTAGTTTTAGCTACTCATGTTCTCAAAACAATTACCTAGAATTTTCTCAGCTCAATCTGAAACTGAGGGGAGTTAACTTATTGATATTACACTACTGATATGAATCAAATGAAGGCTGTTTCTTTCCAAGCAACTGACTGGTTTATTTAATGTAAGAACAGTTGATCATTTGAAGTAAATAGCAAATCACTGTAACTAGTATCCATTAGATTTCAGGATATTTTTCATTGTTCTTTAATAAGATTCTGAAAATAATTTGTGTTTCTCTAATAACATGCTTCAGGAGCTACCATGTGCTAGACTATCACCACACTGAAAATGTAGACATAAAAAACAATCTGTCATTTTGGAACTCAAGACTTACTGTGGGGAACAGACAATTCCACAGATAATTTCAGCAAAACCTGAGAAATTTCATAACAAAAGAAACCCCGGCCCCAGCCACACACACACACACACACACACACACACACACACACACACACACACACACCTGACTCTTCTCTCTGCTAAGGGTGGGAGATAGGAGTAACCAAGAGAAAGTCTCTTAAGCAACCCCTGAGCTTGCTAAGAAAGTTTGTAAGGAAATAGAGACATTAGCCAGGCAGGAAGGACATGCCAGAAAGAGGGAATGAAAACTCGGGAAATGCATGTGGAATTGCAAAAGCATAAACTCAGACTGGAATTCCTTAGAGAAAATCTAGTGTTTAAATTAATGAGACACACAGAGGCCCAAAATCTCCTTCTAGAAAAGTCATACAGAGTGAAATAATTAACATTTTCCTTTTGAGAGTTATCATTGCATTATATTCTTTGTTGCTTTCAATAAAACATATATGGAAAAATTCCCAAGGATTAGCTATAAAAATGCTTGGGAAAATGCCAGCATTGGCCATTACAAGATATTTCTATAATATTTAAAATTTCTGTCCCTGAGAGGGTAAATAAAATACTAAATGCTTATGCCCATAGAATTAAGACTGAAATGTGCTATATTTGAATATTTTTAGAAGAGTTACATGTAGTCCATCTATGTATCACAATGTGAACTCTTCAAAATTGTCTCTCCATAACAGTTTTCCCTATATAAATGGAAAATTGAAAAGCTAACATGAGTCATGTGGAATGTGCATTCCTTAGAAAGTAAAATAGTCTCATGTTCTCAAGTACCAAGTCCTCCTTCTGAGTCCAGCTAAGATTTGGACTGGCCTAGAAGATACAGACTGTCCTTGCCTCCTGCATTAATGAGATACACCTACATGATTTCCGTGTACCTCAATTTTTTGCTGTAAAATGAGACAGTAGACTGGATAACCTCTAAGGTCTCTCAGCTCTGTCACTCTACAAGATTTTCATTTCATGCTTGACATCCTAATGAGTTTCCCAACACCAGTCAATGAAACCACTTCTTTGGCAAGAGTCCCAGCTATGGAGATCAAGGGTCTTATTAATTGTAGCTTGCCTTGTCTCACCTGAGTCATAATCGTATTTCTCCACCCCTAAGTGGAGCACATTAGACCAATGCTCTTCTTTTAGGTTTTCACCTAGCAAGGGCTGCTCATTCAACTACATCACCCCAAGCCCAAGTCAGAGTGCACAAAGAATATGAAAGACTTCAAGGTGGTAGACACCCAAAGCATTAAAAAACCTTTCTCCAGACAACCTCCTATGGCCCTATTATAGAGGAAAAAAAAAAAAAAAACAGCTAGAGGGGGTGCGATCTCTGCCATTTGATAGCGTTATGTTGTCTCCATTGAGCCTGTCCCACTTAGTCTCTCCTGAGTGGGTCTAAAGCAGTGGTCCCAGGGTTTTTTGATCACATACCACCTCATCAATATATAAATACTTATATTCATTTATATATTACATATGCATACGTATTTATGAATATTCACATAATATTGAACTATTAAATCATGTAGATAATAAAACAAACAAATAGAATCTTTAAAGTATGAGATTTTTAAAAATAGATGTTGAAGTTCCAATATTCTTTCTGAACTCTTGTGGATTATCTCGAGTGCCCTACTTTGAGACAATTGATTTAAAGTGCTCTTCTGAATGACCTAGACATTTACATAATTTATCTATTCTTCTTTAATCTTTTGTAATTCTCAACTGCTTATTAAAAATTGTAAAATATTTAAATTTCTTAAAATCCCCAAGTTTTGTTATTTTTGTGAGAGGCAGTCAGTTTTGCCTTTTTCTGTGAATGAAAGAGGTGAATGAAGGCCAAGTTTAGCAGGCACATATCAGATCAAATCATTATTGTTAAAATTATTGATTCATCTCAGCTCTCCAAAATCTCACCCTTAGTCCTCATTTTTCTGTACCATTTATTGGATCTTAAATGTGTTTTTCTTCTTATTGGAAAATCCTTTTTCACGTGCATGTGAGGCATAAGATAGTAATGCTGGTTTGGTAACAAACACTCCAGGAAGTATAGAATTGCATTTATTTTTATAATCATATTTTATTTCCTTTTTTTGGTTTCTTTTTAATTCTGTCACCCATCTTAATTACTCAATTCATTTACTTGATTAAGCCATTAATAATTTTTAACCATTTCCAAAAATCAGACCCATAGAAAAGGTGTGTTTTATGGCTAAATAACGGCAAATATTTAGCATCCTTGGGGCTATTTAAAACAATGTGTGCTAGAGTTCCAGCAGTAAATCCAAAGAGGTTTGACAGCATCTTTAACATCGGTGTATAAACAATTTATACATTAAAGGAACCATATGAGTCTATGGTTTGTAACAATCTATTTTATTTCTTCATAGACCCCACTGTAGATGTTAGCCTCTCCACGTAGTTTGGAAGGTAATGGGGTGTACAGACAGAGGTTTTGGAGGACTTTAAACCAGAGTTCATCATTAATTATGTGACGCTGGACAACTGAATTGCTTAACCTCCTAGTCTCAGTTTCTTATTCTGAAAAATAGGACACTACCTCTTAACATGGTTGTAAAGACTGGGTGTTTATAAAGCTTGGTTCTGTGCCAGAAAAGAACAGATATTAAATGGCAAATATTTTTGCTATGCTTTTAAATCCTTAAAGATTATGATTTGTATCTTTTTTTCCCATTTAGTACAAAGCAAGTATCTTATCTGGAGTTAATGTTTAGAATTTTTCTATTGACTAATACAAGTAATCTGACACTTTGATAATTTTATTTAACTTCATAGGAGTAAATGATGTTCTGAGGGCCTGTTATATTTTAGAGATTAAAGATAAGATAGTTTGACAATATAACAGTAACAACAAAAAGTCTGTTTGTGCAGGCCCGTCTGCTCTTCCAGCATACGGAACATTGATTCCCAGGGTATGAAGTTATCTGAGCTATGAGGTACAAATGAGAAATTGAGGTGCTCTAATCCTGATTCTACCAGCAACTGTGTATGATAGATCTGCAAATCCTTTCTCAGAGTCAATTCCACAATGCAGGTCTGAGTGTGGGCGGTCAAATCTAATCCTCTTCATTTGGTGACTTGCGTAATCCTCTGACCTCCATCTTTGGGGATAAACCTTATTTCTCAAGGGAAGCAGGGAATGTTGGTTTTTCTATCCATATATGGCCAGATTAGATTCAGTATGAGTGTGTATACGTGTACACACAAAAAAGGCAGAGATAGTCAACTTCATCTTCTACAACTCTCTGCCTTAATTTATGAGAAACTGGGCCTGAATTTTAATCATTCACCCCAAAACAAGAAAGCAGGTTACTGTAAAGGGCCAGGCCATGAGAAGGCACAGCGTCACAATCAGATATGCAGAGAGGCTGTCTCCCCAAAACACAGCCCCAACTTTTCTGTTGGTTTCATTACCATTGACTGGCCAGGAAAGCCCACACTGCATGCCACCATGGGGATTGATAGATGCTGTGGAAAGATCAGCTTCTCCAGCTGATAGTTCCCTGTGAGCAAAAATGCATATAAGGTTAATCAGCTCTGAAGCAGTTCTTGCCTACATTAGAAAGACAATGATTAAATTTGCATAATCTGGCAGGTGGCATGTCATGGTGGACACACATTTTTGACTTAGAATCAAATGACCTTCGTTGGAATTCTGGTCATTTCATTTAATATCTATGTGAGCTGGAAAACGAAGCCTAAATTAGGGTATCCAACATTCTCATAAATTTTTTTAGGGGAGAACTGATTGAAAGAACAGAAGTTAACAATTCTCTAGACCATACCTGGTATGTAATAGCCATTCAATAGGTGTTGAATCTGCATTAAATAATAAAATGAAGTTCTTGTTTGGGTTTATACTCCTCTATCTCATCCCTCCAACATGGAAATTTGACAAAAATAATTTTAAATTCTGCTTGTAGAACAATTTATCATGGATTTGGATTTGTGATCTTTTGGATAATAATTCAGTATTAATTATTTTACTGCATCAAAGATAGGTTTTAAAGATTTACCTCTGTATGAAATTTAATTATATTTGCATAGAGCTATGCTCTGCAAAAGGCACTCCCATTTTCTCATTTGTTCCAAAGTTAATACAGTTATGCTCTTAAATTTTAGCATCAATTTCATGGAGATGAGTTTAAATGGTTTTCTGTGCCTGGATACGAACAGGGCTTTTTATTTTCAAATGTTCATTTGAAAATGGCAACATATCTTATAACCTACTGAGAAATGACACTCAAATAGGGCAGTGTTTCAAAGGAAATTCAGAAAAATTACAAGCATAGATTAAAGAACGAATGTCTGATATTTGCTTTGGCTCCTAAGTGAGTGTAATTCACCCAAATGGGTGGCACATGTGCAGTTTACAGCACACTTGGAAATACTCAAAGGCCCACTCTTCACAGTGGATAACTTACCAAGAAACACAAACAAATGGTAGTCTCTAAGAAATAAAATATTGGTGCTGAATTCTTTATGGACAGTTTATTGTAGTACAAAGGAAGTCCACATTAAAGCAGAAGAAGGAAATGATTTTGTTATACTAATACATTAGATGATTTTCATCACTTTTGATCCAACTTGAACTAGATCTTCAAACAGAGTTCATTTTTGCAGGCTTATTGTGTAAGCAGTGCAGCTGAGGGAAAATGTGGAGGAGATTTAGAGCCAGAGGACCTGGTTTTGAATCTCACTCACTTCTCCCACTTATGGACTCTGTGATCAGTGATTAAATTTATGGGGAGACTGTTTCCCCATATGTAAAACGACAAAGCACCGCAAAAATTACCTCAACATTTATTAGGAGGATTAATGAGATAATACATATAAATAGCCCTCAATATACTGTAAAGTGCTAAATAAACTGTAATTTCAGTGTAGTAATATTAGTATGAGTAGTGATAAGAGTAATACTGATATCGAGATTTTTATGTTGCCTTGATCTAAGTATGTATGACCCTATTATCCAGTCCAAATCCCCTATCCCTACATAGACAACCACCTCTGCCTCCAGGAAACTCCTTTCTGCACCTCCTTCAGGTTCAAGGCATAACAAATGTGACTCCTTATTCACATGGCATAACACCCAATATGTGAAGACTTCAGCTACATCCTCCTGTGGCTTCTCATCTCTGTTTAACTTCCTCTAAAATGTTCACAGATTACTCAAATGATATTGTTAATTTATTCATTCCATGAACAAACACTAGATTAAGGGTTATGATGTGGAAGGTTCTATGAAGGCACTGCCAGACCACCTCTCCCAGATAAGCTGAGGTTCAAAACTCTAAGGCATAGGCAAAAAATAAAAATCACATCCAACATCTGAGGATATAAAATATTGGGGGACACAGGGACAGAGCTCCACATGCTCATGGGTTGCAGATTGTGAAGCCAATAGGAAAAATGGTGTTTTGAACCACCTTATAGTCAGCAAGCCAAGGATGCTTGCCAGATAGGAGAGACTATGAGTACAAGGACTCAGAGACAGAAACAAAGGAGAGTGTCAGGTCTACAGTGTAGGGGGAGAACAGAGAGATGGCTGCGATTCTATAGAATTTAGACTGTTCTTGGGGAATGAGAGGAGATTTTTGGGGAAGGGGCTAGTCCTGCTTTAGTGGGAGGAGGGAGGTAAAGGTGAGTAAGCACTGAACATGAAGAAGAGTGGTAGTCAGATCTAGGGTGGTGAGGAAAGGGCTACTGGTTGGTTGGTGAAACATCTTATGTGCTGGGTATTGTAAATGGCACAAAAAGGAATCAAACTCAGTTCCTCCAAGAAGTCAAGATTTAATGAAGCAACACCTAAGAATCAAATGACATGTCTGCTACAGGTGTTCACAAGAAGGTTATTGTTCTGATTTCCAGAAAACAGTGAAATTGTCCAAGTACAATGCTGGCTGTTTCCCAAGAATTCTCAATGAGGTAGAATTTGTTACTTTGGTGAATTTACCATGCTCCAGAGTCTGTGGCTCAGCTTTGCAATTTCTAAAACTGGATTCTGTAAGCACATCAAGAGTGGCTCTGACCCTGCAGGACAGATTTGCAGTAGCCAAGCCCATGAGAGACAGAGTACCAACAGACTCATTTACAACAGGAGCCATTACTGTCATACATCCTAGAATACTCACATGGCACAATCAGAACATTCTCTCCCTGTAGCAAGCCTATGTGGGAAGTCAATTTGTAACCAGAGGGTAGCTTGGTGGACACAGAATCATGGCATGAGGAAAGAGATTATTTGAATGTCTAATGGCATCAAGCTACAACAGAAGGTTGTATTC
Source organism: Homo sapiens (assembly GCF_000001405.40). NCBI lineage: Eukaryota > Metazoa > Chordata > Mammalia > Primates > Hominidae > Homo > Homo sapiens. The sequence continues at coordinate 159,643,631 of NC_000003.12, forward strand.
ATTAATCATAATACTAATGTCCTTGACTATTTGCAAAATTCTGTAACTTTTTAATCTCTTCTGCCCTGGACTAGGCTGGGAAATGGTTGATCATTTTCTCTGACTCATTTTTTCCTATGATCCACCTCAATAATTGATGTTTTCTTCCTTAGACTTGTTTAATGCATAATGAACCTGGCCTAAACTCTCTCTCTTCTCATCCAACATATGTTGACTTTGATGTTTTGACTCTGGGAAGTCCATTTCATTTCCACAGTTTCTCTATCTAGGGGCAGAGGTAGGTGGACAGGACAGCGAGCACCACTCATCGTCAACCCTATTTACTGATAACAGATACAGTAAATTTGAACATGCTCTTTGCTTTTCCCCACTCAACATAGAAACATTTCTAGGTTGTCAATGTCCATCTTAAAAAGCCATACCTGGAAGTTAACACAATATTCCAGGTATGTTTTGAGGGGCCCACAGAAACTGCAACCTGCCCACCCATTTTCCTCAGGTGCTTTACTTCCAGTAATGTACTCTAATAGAGAATTCGTTAAATAAGTCAGCAGCAATACTGCATTGCTGATTTACCTTGAGCTTTAAACTAAATCTCTTAAATTGTCTTTTTAAATTAAACTAAATATCTCTAGCTTTTGGGTAGTATTGTTTATTTACTTCTATTAAATTTCATTTTGCTTGCTTTGACCCATTATTACAGACTATCAAACATGTTAAAATTGGTTTATCACTGATCAGGAACTATGTAAATATCTGGGTACGTATGACAGAATGAATTTCTACAAAAAGTGATTGTTTTCTCGACCCTGTCCAGGTTATCTGTAATTCTAGTGTGATGTAAATGCACCAACCACATTTCTTCTTGATCCTTTTCTCTTTCTTCTTTTGGAGTTTTGTATGAGCCACTTTTCTTTTACATTGGTGACCACAGAAAGATTGAAACAATTAGCTAAAATGCTCATCTCACATTGATCAATAAGCAGGACCATAAAAGTACTTGTTATTCCAAAAGTAAACAAGGTAGACCACAACTCTGCATATTGAATAATGCCCATTAAATTCAAATTAAAAGCTAACTTCATTATTTTACAAAATCACAAGATTATCCATTTTCCTTACTTTTTCAAGTACTGTGCTTATCTTGTGTCATTTAACGTATAAGCATTCTGCAACGTGGGAAAGAGACTATCAGTCAAAAATATTGAACACCTACCATATGCAGAAATTTGGGGGAATAAAAACTAAAGTAGACAAAAATCCTGCCTCCAAGGATCTAACACTCTCGTTTGAGGGAACAAAGGCTGGAATGAGAATATTTAACTAAATATTGATACACCTTGATACCCCTCTAACTGATCCCTGAAACACAGCTATACAAGCATCCCCCAGAAGTAAGGCAGAGAACATCTGCTTTACCAAACACATACAAACAAGTTGCCTTGATTTTATTTCCTATTTTATCTAATAAATCATTATTCCAGCGGGAAGAAAACGTCAATGTAGTTGTTTTCACTTTTAGAAATTCTTAAGAAGGCAACACAATCCATGTAAGCCACAGTTGGAGAAGCCACGGCTCTGGCACAAACCTGAGAAAAACCCTCCTTCAATTAAGAACACCTCCTCCCCCAGGCTTGACCCTCTGATCAGGCTTATCTAAAACAAGGCAGGCTGCCTATTACACTCACCAACATATCCAAGCTCCTTGGGGAGCCAACTAGCCAAAAAGTGCTTATCACATCGACTCCTGCAAGAACAGTGGGTAGAATCTTGCCTTATATCCTACAAAAAAGACAACTCAAAAGGTTCTTCTCAGAACAAAATGATAGGTTACTCTCAGAATAAATTCCATTTTACATGCTAGAATGGATAGACTGCTTGCAACCTTCAGAATGACCATTGTAGTCTTTCAATCGTCTACACATTCTACCTCTACCAGGCACCCTCTGCGTGTATTGGTATCTCCTCTGGCAGGAGTGCGGAGAATGGATTGTGCAGGGTATCCTAAAGGCCAAAACCAGTGAGGGAGCCATTGCCATCAAGGGCATCCAGGAAAAAGATGTCTATTGTGTCCATGCCCATAGAGTTGGAGAGGAAAAATAGAGAAATACCACTGAGCAAAAAGAAATAGGACTTGATCATGTATTGGATGTGGTGAATCACCATAGGAAAAAAATCAAAGGGTGGTGTCCAGATTTCAGGCTTGGGTGACTGGGTGAGTGGAGTTCCTGCTTGCTGTGGCAAAGAGAAAGTCTAAATGAAAAGAAAACACATTCAATTTTGATACCATTGTGTTTAAAGATTCTGTGGAATATAAGAGTAAATTTGTCCCTGTCTTAAATTGGGTCCTCCAAAACATATTGTGAGTCAAGATGTCATGTGCAAGTTATTTATTTAAAAATTGCTCCCAGGGGAGATTAGTCAGAAAGTGGGCAAAGCAAGACAAGGAAGAGGAGCAAGCCAAACTAGGCCTTGATCTGAAGCAAAAACTCCACAGAGCACAAGCTTTACTCTGATCCATGGGGGAATTCTGATGGGGGAAGATGCATCTCACCACTCTCCACCTATGGAGCCATGGATGTGAGCAGCTCAGAATGCCCCTCAAGAGAAAACCTTCACAAGGTACGATTAGCTATTATCACTTAGCTGTTTGTGCTTTCAGCCTCAGCTTTTAGCTTAGACCACATGCCTCCCAGAGCCTCTAGTGAGCAGCTTAGCACAGGGGCAGTGTAATGTCTTACCACTTCTGGCTCTCTACATGCAGTCTTTGCACAGGAACACCCCATTGGACTGACAGACTTTCTTAGAGCTGTACTGCGGTCTGAGGCTTATTCTTTCTCACCCTCCTTCCTTCATCCTCTCCTTTACAGGAATCAACTCATCATCGTGGTCTAAAAGCTTTCTCTGCCTACTCTTGCTCCCTCTCCCCTTAACCTTTCACAGGCCTTACCTTCAGTAAGATAGTAATAAGGTAACTTCAAACTCCATCTTGGCATCTGCTTTCTGGCAGACCCAACACAACCCTGAATACAAGGGAGCTGGTCTGTCATACCTCGTACATAACAGTCACTGGCTAATAGCTAACAATAGGACAGATGGGGAAGTTGGGGGGTGGCACATAGGCTCCCAGAAATCTATAACTCTCCAGGCACACAGGCAAAAGTGCTCCAGTAATCCAGTAATCCAAGGACAGACTTCTGAAAAAGAGCTGAAAAGGCAGGCCTCAAGGCTGAGGAGGAAAATAACCAGGAATACTAAAAGAGACCCAGGACCCAGGGGTACCTAGGCAGTGCACCAGCACTGTCTGCCCCATCTAGTAAGGGAGCTGGATATCCATGTAGATCTGGAACACAGGAGAGAGATCTGGGCTAAGGATTGGAAGATAATGGTGTGTGGTTGTCAGGTTAAGACTAGGAGATAAGGTAACCGAAATGGAATACATAAAGAGTGTTAAGGGAAGAGAGAAAACAGCCAAGGGAAGAACCAGAAAGTAGACCACCATTTGAGGGAAGACAGAGGAGAGAAGACATTAGTGCAAAGGGGAAAGGTAGAAAGGCAAAAGGAAAACCAGAAGAGAGTGTCATCGAAAAAGCCAAGAGGAGAGAGAAATCCAAAAATAAGGAAGTCGTAGGCAATGAAAAATACTTCCAAGGCCAAGCAAGGCCATGAGAGAAATGAGTTCAGTGGAGAGCATGGGGAGGTGGGAGGAGGAGAGGGTTGAACGGGGAATGAGGTAGGGACCCAAAGTCTCCAATACTCTTTCAAGAATCTTGTCACTGGATTGAAGAAGAAAAACAAGGCTACAGGGAAGGGGACTGTAGATCCTTCTCAGGTCCTTTGGGGTTAGAGGAACATAATGGGCTTGTGAGAATTTCAAACAATAACGGTAAGCTTCATATGGAGAAGCAAATTCCCATGACAACTCTGTCCCTGTACCAGCAGTGTCTGTCAGAAGAAATGACTCTGCTAATTGTGTGCCTTCACAGTCATTGCACTTTGTCCTACAAAGCCATTATCGCTAATATTCTGATGCTTTTTACTACTTTTACCCACTGGACTGGTCCAAGATAAAACAATTGTTCACCACTGTTCATTTTCCTTCATCTTGTCTAGAAGCTTGTGTCTACTTGCTGACAGAAACAAAAATGGAAAGCCACGAGAACTAAATACGTATTTCTTCCCATTTGGTTTCTTTGGGAAGCAGAAAAGATTTGAAAATTTTAGAAACATTATGTTTCTTTAAGAAGCTCCCTCCCAAAAATAGGCTTTGTTATTCCAGAGGGTCATGGAGAAACTGATTTTTCTGGAGATCTTGGTCCAGAAGTAAGTTCATAAAACAGGGAAGAGGCAAACCACTTCTTCCGCTAGATCCCACTAAACAAATGAGCTGAATCTGCCCATGGCCCAGGTTTTTTTCAGAAACTGGCTACCAAGCCAGCACTGAGGAAGGAGGCTGCAAGAGCTTCCTGAAAGGAACAGAAATAGAAAGTGGAAGACTGAAATTGTCTATCCCAGGCACACTCCTCTCTACTCCCAGCCTCAACTTCCCTTCTCTGAAAGTGACAGGAAAGAGTGTTGGCCTTACCCTTGACAGAAAGTTAGGGTGAGGCAGCTGCACACCTCTGCCCTGATGTCATGCACATCTGCCTGACATTCAGGCAGGAAATAGCATCATGATTGAGAGCATGACCCTGGGGTCAGGCTGACCTTGTTTAGAGCCCTGTCTCTACCACCTGTTATATAAACTTCAGTGAGTTTCTTTCCAACTCTAAATCTTAGTTTCCTATTTCTTAAATAAGGACAATAATGCCTACCTTAACAGATGGTCATGAGGACTAAGCAAAATACTGCCTGGAATATGTTTAGCACAGTGCTAGACACATAACAACTGTTCAACCAATGGTAGCTAATAGTATTATTATAGAAACTGCTACTTATATGTATTGAACATTGCCTCATCATCTTTCCCTTTTATGCTGGATAATCTCCATTTGCACACACACCCCCAAATCTACTCCCTGCCCTTGTCTGTGCCCTAGGAGTTGACCCCAGTGGACAACTTTACCCAGGCTTCCCTGTTATCTTACTTACACCAAGATTCTGCTAAAGGAACATACCAGCAGCCTGGTTCTAGCTGTGGCGGGCCCCCTCTTTTAGGTAGCACCCCTTCCATAGCTCTAGCTCTCAGTGGTCCAAGTAACACTGTTCACGGCCTCTCTCTGGATTTCCTGTATGGGGGAGGGGAGTGGGGAAAGAGAGAGAGAGAGAGAATGTTCTATCTTGTTTAAGCTATGGTTAATTTGTATTTCTTGTCACTAGGACCTGAAACTAATCCTACTTAACATACCCACCTCCATTTTCCTGTTCTTGGAGATGGAAGATACACAGAATGGGACTTGGCTATTCTGGTAAAGAACTCTGATGGAAGGATTTCAGGGAGAGAAGCTAGAGATTAGATATCTGGCTTTTGTTCAACAATAAAACAAGAGGTCTGGGCCCTGCCATTTTGACAGGAGGTAATTTGCCCAATGTCATTTGCTTCCATTGCTTTGTACTTGTAGATGTTTGGGCCCCTGTGTGCGTTCACTCAGCAAAGATGTCTCAGACTGCAGTCATTTCACCTTGGGCCTCTCTCTGTCAGTCTCCATTTGCCATTGTTCTCTCTCTACCCCAAAAGTGCTCACAATTTTATCAGGAATTAGCTAGGAGATAAATGCAAACCATCAGTCTTTTATTCAAATTTATAATAAACAATGAATGTTGAGGGTTGAAAATAAACACAAAACTGACAATGACTAAAAATGTAAAAGCGAAGTCAACATTGAATAAAAACAGCGAAAGAACCAAATCATCACAAAATTTAGACCTGCAAAAGTAGGCTCACAAAATGAACTGAGAAATAATGTCCATCAAAAAAAAGTCAGAAGATAAAAATCAGTACAATTGTATATAGACAGAAAACTAATTGAAGAATCAAATCTGTAAAATTTAAGTGGAAAAGAACTTAGGCCAATGCAAATAATTTCAGCAAAATAAAAATGTAAATTGAACAAAATAGGTATGCTGTGACTACATCATATGGAAGATTGATGGAGAGATTTCCATTGGGTTGAAGTGCCTTTCAGGAATCGTGTCCTCAGTGAAAGTTCATCAATGTTATGGTTCAGATTAAAATATGTATATGTATAAAAGTGTCCTTTGCATCAAAATAGTAGGACCAAAGTGGAGGGGGATCCAAATATCCTGTGCCCCTAACACAATCCTGAATATATGACCTCCAGAAAGTTCTGGTTGCTGCCATATTTCCAGAAATTCTATTTTCCCAAGACATAGGTATATTCTATTTGTTTTAATAGCATAGCTACACTTTTTCATAGAACCACACACAAGCTTTGTGAAATCACAAGCCAGCCTCCTAGAGTCTGTAGCTTTATTTTTATTTTTTAATTCATACTCTCAAAGAATCATTGAGCTGGAAGGGACTTTGAGAGATCATCTGGTATAAACTATCCAGGACAGATGGTATTCTGTCCCCTCTTTGTTCTCCCTGGAGCATGAGAGAGATGGAGGAGAATGAATAAGAAATGAACACTGTTGGCAGGGAAAAACAAATGCTCTATATTTGAAATAATGAAAAAAGGGAAAATTCCAAACTGCTATTTATAATGTCACCATCAAATTAATTTACTTGTGCTAATTATTTTGACTGGCCTACACATTTTTTAGAAATAGCACAGAATATCAAAAACTACAAAATAAAATTGTTGTAGAAGTTACGTATTCACAAAATTTATTTTATTTAAAATACTAGGTAGTGAGAAAAGATGTAGAGTGGGTATAGAGAAGTCACCTGATACACCTGTGGTACAGCTATAAACTTCCACAATATTTGGGGAAGATTAATTGGCAGTATTAGGAGCTTAAATGTATATATCCTTTGAACACTCCCCCCATGAAGTCCAATTCTGAGAAAAATAAAAGTGCAAAGTGCTAGTGCATAGGAATTTATGTACAAAGCTGTTTATTGCATTGTTGTTTATAACAGCAAAAAAGTGGAACCTGTCTACATGTTCATGACAAGAGAGTAGTGGGACAAAGTATGATACATTCAGGTGACTGAAAGTCATGCAGCCATTTGCAAGAGTATCTTCAATCTATCTTTATTGCACTGGAACGAGGTCAATGATATTTTGTTAGGTATGTGAAAAATTTATGGGAAACATGTGGTACTGTCTTCCTTACATAAACCAACCAGAAAAGCTGAGTGTGAGTGACAGCATAGCTTAGTAATCAGAACTACCATTTGAATGTTGTGTCTGCTACACACTGGCAGTGTGACCTTAGGCAAATCATGTTACCTCTCTGTGACTCATCTTTCTAATCTATACAGTAAGATGAATACCTGTACCGTCTCATAGGATCATATGAATAGTATACTATATGTAAAGTCCTTAAAAAACCTGACATATCCTAAGCATTACATAAGTGTTATTTGCTATCATTTTATTATTACTTATGTTTATACAAGCAAAAGGGAAAATATACAATTCATTACCTAAATATCTAGCATCAGTTATTTGAAATGAGTAGAATTAGAGGAGGAAGCAAAACTTATGAATTTAGTATAGATACTTTGCTTTTGCTTGAACTCTTGCAACAAATGTGTGTTACTTTTGCAATTCAGATGACTGAAACTTAAGAGAAACAGCAAGGAAGTTTTTTTTAGTAAAGTTTATCAGGTAAATTTAGAAGTGTCCCCATGCACTTGAATCTCCCATAGATGAGCAGTGTGGACAGCAAAGCTCCTGGAAGCCTTTTTATGACAAAGACTGTGTCTATCCTTCTCCCATTTGTAAAAGCACAACATCTTAAGCAGTTTTACTACCATTATTACTAACAATATAGTTGTTTGGTTATTGCCTCAATCACATTAAAATGCATTTTTGTTTCTATAAGTGCACCAAAGGTTTGGTAATTTCCATTAGCACCTCTGTAGAGAGCAGTTGCAAGATAAAAGGCAAATTGTATAATTATGAAAGCATTACACCCAACTTTTCTTATCATTTCTATTACTTTTTAGTAAGCAAACTTTTTTTACTGAAAAGTCTAGCATCAAGTAAGTTTGGAAGCCTAAAGCATTTTATTGTTGAACTACTCAAAATATTACCATAAGTATAGCAAAATTATACATTGCAATTTAACTTTAAAAGAATAGGTCCACTTTGGGAGGCTGAGGTAGGCGGATCACCAAGTCAGGAGATCGAGACCATTCTGGATAACACGGTGAAACCGCATCTTTATTAAAAATACCAAAAATTAGCCGGGCATGGTGGCACGTGCCTGTAGTCCCTGCTATTGGGGAGGCTGAGGCGGGAGAATCATTTGAACCCAGGAGGTGGAGGTTGCAGTGAGCCCAGATTGTGCCACTGCACTCTAGCCTGATGGAGTGATTGACAGAGTGAGACTCCATCTCAAAAAAAAAAAAATTGCTACCATGTGCTTTTGCTATATTTGGCTCATGTTTATGGTCTATAAGCAGTTTATTCATTATTCAGGCTACCAACTTCATTAGGATTTGTTAGAACACCTTCAATATTTCTTTTTCAACATTATTGGAGGAAAAATTATATTTTTTATCTTTAGTAAGGCATTTTTTGCTACACTTATTATTTCTTGGTAAGGTAGTGATTGGTGGTTTTTTAACATATTTAATGTAGTGTTAGACACCGTTAAGAAGTACATAAAGTAGAAGGGAATAAAACCAACAGTCACTACAAATTTTCAGGTTTTGAAAAATTATCTTTACCTAAGCCAATAGGGGACCCAGACCTGCCCTGTGTTTTCCTTGGGTACCTACTCTGCCAGGTGGTAAGCTGGGGTGGTCCCTGGCCCAGTGGAGCTCATGTCCTAATGGGAGACAAACAAGGAAGCGGATATGTAAACAAGACAATTACAGCCAATAAGTGCCATGAAGGACATACTAAGAGTGATTATAAAGGAAAGTGACCTCACAGATAAGATGGGTGGGGAGGGGTGTGCAATGACGACTGTTGAAATGACATCTGAGCTGAAACCAGAAGGGCAGGAGTGAAAAAAGCCACATAAGAGGGTGAGGCATTGGAGGCACAATGAGAAAAACAAGGATGAGGTGATCTTTAAAATTGACCATTTAGGACTAGTTTGTAATGATAAATTATTCTCACTTCTTTAAAAATGATCTATTTCTTCAGCAACATGGATAAAACTGGAGATCACTGTGTTAAATAAAATAAGCCAAGCACAAAAAGACAAAAATTGTGTGTTCTCAGTCATCTCTGGGAGCTAAAAAAGTGGATCTTATAAAATTTGAGAGTAGATTGGTGGTCGACAGAGGCCAGGGCAGGTATGGCGAAGGAGGGGATGAAGAGTTTGATCAAGGGTACAAATATACAGTTTGAGAGGAAATAAGATCTACTGTTTGGATGCTGGCAAGGCTGTGGAGAAATAGGAACACTTTTACACTGTTGGTGGGAGTATAAATTAGTTTAACCATTGTGGAAGACAGTGTGGTGATTCCTCAAGGATCTAGAACCAGAAATACCATTTGACCCAGGAATCCCATTACTGGGAATATACACAAAGGATTATAAATCATTCTACTATAAAGACCCATATACACCTATGTTTATTGCAGCACTATTTACAATAGCAAAGACTTGGAACCAACCCAAATGCTTATCAATGATATACTAAATAAAGAAAATGTGGCACATATATACCATGGAATACTATACAGCCATAAAAATAATGAGTTCATGTCCTTTGCAGAGACATGGATGAAGCTGGAAGCCATCATTCTCAGCATACTAACACAGGAACAGAAAACCAAATACCTCATGTTCTCACTTATAAGTGGGAGTTGAACAATGAGAACACATGGACCCAGGGAGGGGAACATCACATACAGGGGCCTGTTGGGGGGTGGGGGGTAAGGGAAGGGAGAGCATTAGGACAAATACCTAATGCATGAAGGGCTTAAAACCTAGATGACAGGTTGATAGGTGCGGCAAACCACCATGGCACATGTATACCTATGTAACAAACCTGCACATTCTGCACATGTATCCCGGAACTTAAAGTAAAAAAAAAAAAAAAAAAGATTTGATAGATCAGTAGGTGAATCTAGTTTACATTCATCTACTGTATATTTCAAAAGAGGTAGAAGAGAATAAATTGAAGGTTTCTAGCATAAATACAAATATTTAAGGTGATGGATATCCCAATTACACCCATCTCATCTTTACAAATTATATGACTGTATTAAATTATCTCATGTACCCCCTAAAAATGATCAGTTTAAGAGTCTAGTCTCAGATTTTGCTATCTAAAATATACTATCATACATTCTGGGGTAAATTGCCTTTAATACTTGATGTCCTGCTTTTTATCTTTTTAAATACAGATTTTTTTCTTTTAATTGCTTACTTACAAATAATTAGGAAGATATTCACATGCAAATCGCATAAAGATGTCAGAGAAACTCCCTAGTCCAGCTTCCTCCAAGAGTATCTTCCTCCAAGATACTCTTCTGAGTTGTAGAATTTTAACATTAATAAAAAATGAACCACTTTTTACTCTGGCACCATGCTCTTTCCCCCTTGCAACCTCACTCATTCTCTCTCCTATTCATCACTAGTTCATTTTTCCCAACTCTCTATCAGATTTGGCACTCACTTTTTATTTACCGTTTGACTCTGCAGACCCATTTAATTTGCTGAGTCACCTTGGACTTCAGTTTCTGCACCTATAAAATTATGTGGCTGGCCTAGATTATCTATAAAGTCTTTTTCAAGTCTAACATTTTTCTGGTCTACAATTCACTATCTACAAACCCCCCACTTATATATATTATCAGTCATCTCTCCACCTCCTTACTCCCTGAGTGTGTTGGCCTGCATATGTCTGGTGCCTATAATTTGAGGATATGAGTCTGTGTGAAGAAGGTGATGAAAGCAGGTGGAAGGAGGGTGTTGAGTGTATGTGAGCTCCACAGAGGTGGCAGGACAGCAGGGAGTCAGTAGGGGCCCATGGGGAATTGGGGTCAGCATGGATGGAGCTACGGGACACTTCAATTTCAATTACTACCTCCTTGAAAAATGAAGCTACTTTACAACATGATCTATGACTTTAAGTAAAAAAAAAAAAAAAAAAAAAAATCCTCACAAACCATGCGAAGACAATCTGTACACATTCAAAGTGACATACTGATTTGTCACCAGCTGGTTGACAGTAAGCAGTGCTGACCAGAAGTGATAGGACTGGCTACCCTGAGGCCCTTCATGTCACCTTAGTGTCTGCTGCCCACGAACTGCCTCCCTTCATAAAGCAGGAAGGCTGTGCTGCCAGTCACTTACTGTCCCTATTGAGCACAGTACAGTATAGTCATTAAGAAGATGAGTTCTGGGTTCAACTCCCAGCTCTACCATTTATTTGTTGTATGACCTTAACTAAGTCACTTGAATTCTCTAAACTTACTTCATAGGTTTTATGAAAATTGAATATAAAATATCTGGCATATAGCAAGTGTTTAATATGCTACCAGTTACTACTGTTGTATAGTTGATAAGACTTTGGTGTTAATTAACTTGCATTTGCATCTGTAAGTATGAAATGAAAGCCTGTGAACAATTTTCAGATGTCAACAAGTAGGTGGAAAGACATTTTGGGGCAGAAGATTCTGAAGCATGCGACAATGGTAGCAGTAGTAGTAGTGATGATGATGATGATGATGGTGATGATGATGATGATGATAGCTACCACTTATTAAGAACTAACAAGGGGCCAGGCACTATGAGGCTGGCTGGAATGCTTAGCTCTCTCGGGTAGGACAACACTTAAGTCCCTGGTCCTTCTCAGTGCTGGGTGATGAATCAGAAGCTGGAGATAGGAATGTTACCAAGAGAGAAGGGGACATAGAACCAATGAGAAAGAAACAGCAGGCCGAGCGTGGTGGCTCACACCTGTAATCCCAGCACTTTGGGAGGCTGAAGCGGGAGAATCATGAGGTCAGGTGTTTGAGACAAGCCTAGCCATCATGGTGAAACCACATCTCTACTAAATATACAAAAAATTAGCTAGGCATAGTGGAAGGTGCCTGTAATCCCAGCTACTCAGGAGGCTGAGGCAGGAGAATCCCTTGAACCCAGGAGGCGGAGGTTGCAGTGAGCTGGGATTGTGCCACTGCACTCCAGCCTGGGTGGCAGAGTGAGACTCCGTCTCAGAAGAAAAAAAATAAAAGTAAAGAAACTGCAAAGCATTAGAGTGGGTGCTTTGACAGTTAATGGACTAGTTCTTCAAGGATGAATGAGAGTTTTCCAGAAGGAAAGATGGGGTAACAGTATTTCCAGCAAAGAGAACAGCAGTCCCAAGGCAAAAAGCTGTGGATGGCCTGGCTGTTCAGGGAAGAACAGATGTTTCATTGTGTGGCATAGACTTCAGAGACCTGAGGACAGATCTGGTAAGAAGAATCTTCTATGGTAAGCAAATTGGAAGGGGATGGAATTTACATTAAATGAGTACCTACGATCTGTCAGGTGCTCTGGGTACTTCATATACATGAACTCAGTAATCCCCAAACATCCTATGAGTAGGAATCATTCTCTCTCTCTTACAGATAGGGAATCCAAGTTCAATAAAGGTTGACATTTCCAGAATCTCACAGTTACTTAGTGCAGAACTGGTGTTACACCCTTTGGTGTTCCTGACTCCTAAGCCCATGTTCTTCTTGCTGCCCCCACAACCTCCTCTTGTACCTTAGAGAGTTCTCGAAGAAAGGCGAGCCCACTTGGCTTCTCCTGTTAGTCAGTTGCCAGGTGGCAACTGACTAATCTATTGATAATAATGTTAGTAATGTTAGACATCCTATACAACGGCATGGTGTTCTGTAGATTACAAATCATTTTTGGTGTGTGGCTTTGGGCAAGTTATTCATCTACTCTGTGCCTCGGTTTTCTCATCTGAATTACGTGGTACCCACCTTATATGGTTTCCATGAGAAAAAATTAAGTCATAGGAATAAAGTGCTTAGAAAGCCCCCGAACATAGTTCTGTAAATGTTGGTTCCAGAGTTGCCACTAGTTTCAGCAGCTCATTCAGGTTTTATATATAAGGTACTTTCTCCATTTTACAGGTGAAAAAACAGGCTCAGAGAAGTTTGTAAACTGCCCAGACACACTGCTTCAGAGTGACAAGGGAAGGATTCCAAGCCAGGTCTTCTGACTCCCCTCCACCCATCCTCTTCTGTTGTAATAGTGTATGTCCACCTGTTCACCTACCTCCCTCAAGTGACATCCAGGGGCATTTGAGGTCACATACCTGTGTTCAGAGTGTGCAATGAGCAGGGGTCCCTCCTCATGCATACTGCCAATCTCGAATGCACACACCAAATAAATGGCTAGAAGCATAATGGTTTCCCCTGTACTACCACATGTGCTACTCTAAGTCTACATGTACTAAAATAGCCAGAAGCATTATATTATTTTGTTTAAAATAAGCTTCCAGGAGAGATGAAATCATCAAGAATTAATGTAAGTGACCATCTTCCAACAGAGATGGTGCTAACAAATGATGTGAGACACAGATCAGTGACCTCTTCAATTACCCCAGCTCCACCTGAAAAGTCCAAGTCAGCTGCCAAAGCACATTTATGGCTCTCTCTGGACTTGTGCAGTCACTGTTGTGTTCATTTACTTTAGCCTTTATATAATTAGCCCACAGATAGTATTAGATGGTGATAATGTACACGTGCATCACACTCCGTTTACAGGCTTGTAGTGAAGGCTGTTAGTCACACTCCATGTGACTACAACCAAATCTGTCACACAGTCTAAACTGACCAATAAATCCATGTCAAGTGGAGAGAATAATTTAAGTGATAATAAAAGGCAACCGGTTTAGATTTTGATCTTATTGGCATAAGTTTCCTGCTGCCTAAATGTCATTTAACTCTTGAGGGAACAGCGATGAGGGCCCTGAACCTTCCAGGCGTAAGTTTAACAGTGGGGATTAAAAGAGATGTTAGCCTCCTGAAGATAAACTAATTGTTAGATCCAATTTTAAATTAATAAGTGCCATCAATGGCGGAGAAGCAACTGATAGGATTTGAGGGGTCCTTGGAGGTGCATTCTGTGGACGCAGTTGCTATGGTGATGGGTTTGTTCTCCAGGAGACAGAAGCTGGAACACAGGATGCTTGGAAGTAGGATGTCATTGTCCACATGAAGCACACCCTGACTTATAGCTATGAAGCTTCCAGGGTCCCACCAAAGGCGTTTTTGCTTCCAGCACTGCCTTGGCAGATGCAGCAGCCTGTGGGCTAATGCCATTGATGTCCGGCAAATGTTCCAGGAGTGGTGCCTAGCCCAGCTTCTCCCTCTGTTAGGTACTAGAAAGAGCAGAAAATTGCCTGTGCATATGGAGAGGAAGAATGGGTGAACAGGAGCCCTGACATTGTGATGAGACGTGTGAATTCATTTCATAAAATTCATTCTGAACACTGATCAGAACACACATCAGAAGAACTGATGTTCTTCCCAATTCAAAGACAAAACATGATATCTGGCTTTTTCACCAGTCCCCATTCAATGTTTATGATATCCAGGTGACAGTATCATGGAGTCACTTCCAAATCTGAGGCTGGGGAGCAGTAGTTAGATTCTTAGGTCAGTGAGAAAGGGAACAGTGGCAGATATTTAAAATAATGGTTGGAAACCCCTGAATTTGCAAGTCAGATACAATACACCCAGTTTTTTACATACTGTTCAGGTATTCTTATGCATATTAAAGTTCGAGAACCTGAGAAAAATTAAAGGACTGTTGTCCTACTTTTACTTGTGTCCAAGATACCCCATTCCCAATGCCCCTGCTGGATCCTTCTCATCTCTACAATCCTGTAGGTTGGACTGTCCCTGGTTCAGACATTGAGCCTTAGTTCTCATCTGTTTATACTCACTCCATTGGGCAATCTAATCAAGTCTCACAGCCTTAAGCCCATCCAAAACCCATTCACATCCTGACCACTTTTAAATAGGTATCTTTAGCCTGGACATGCCACCCAAATACCAGATTTATATATCCAACTCTCTATTCAACACCTCCACCTGAATGTCTACCTGCCATATCAGGCAAGCCCAAAACTGAATCTCTAATATTTCCCCCTACAATCCTGTTCTTCCAGTCTCCTACATCTCACTAAATAATTCCATTTTAGTTATAGGAGCCAAAAACCTCGGAGTCATTCTCAACTCTTATGCCCCACATCTAATCCAACAAACGTTTACTCTGTTTTCCCAAAATATACCAACATGTGTACCTGTCAGCTCAAGAGTTTATTCCCCTAGACATATGCCTCTCTCACTTAATGAATATTAGTAGGTGCATTTGTTGTGTTGTGGATTAAATGAGATTATATTTGTCAATGCTGTTTGGGACCGGGCACATAGTACATACTTGAAAATATTGGCTGGATTTGAATCTGAATTTTGTTGATCAGACTCACATTCATCTGTAGTATTTTTGAAAAGCTTCAGAGAAGCCCTTAGCTACCTCTTTGTTGTTGTTCCTAGTTGGCATGTCCTTGGGCTTGGTTTCAGGACCCTTCATGCTGTGGTGATCCGACTGATCATGAAATCTCCATGAGGACAGAGACCATGTCTGCTGTGCTCTCTGTTGTGCCAGCACAAGGTGGCCAGGTACAAGGCTCACTAGAGAAGGAAGACTGCTTGTGAATGTGTGAGAATCACTGGGATAAGAATGAGCCCTCAGCATCTCTAAATGGTGTGCCTTTTTTTATGTTTATGAGAATGTCAGGAGTGGATGAGATATTTACCTGCATGGCACTGCTACAAGAACCATCAGACCATGCAGCTTCATTTCCAAGTGCCACTGTGAGTCTGGCAGGATTGCTTACGACAGCTCCCTGAAGGTGTACAATCTTCAGTGCCACCTCATCAAACATTTAGCACTTCTTCAATTGTGCTAAGAAGACTGACAATAGTGAACTAAAAATGTAAATATAATATCCTTGTTAATGAATCATGCCTTTTTGTGGTGATTCTCAGTTTAAAAAAAACCTGAGAAAGCTAGATGAAGGAAAGTCATGACATATTAATGATTTCAAATGTGTCCTGGAATTGGCAGAACAGAAAGTGGCATGAATAATTCAAATAAGACACCGATTTTTTTCCCCTTCTTGCAAAAGGTTAAAGCGTGAAAAATAGGGGAGGGGGCTTCTGGAAAGACAGGCAGATCTATCGTGTATTCTGGCGATCTCCTTGCATTTGGAGGGTTAATAGAAGTTCAAGCAACATAGGACACCATCGAGTCATTCTGAGGGGATTATATTGAAATCTTTTGACACCATATTTAGTTCCTTCTGACTCTGGCAGCTGCTGAGGAGAGTTAAGACTGAATGTTTGATGCCCAGTGAATTAGAGTATTTTTGAACTCAAATCTCCAAATCCTGAAGGAATGGCCACTGAGAAGAAAGGAAAGCAGGAAAGAGTGCTGGGGGCAGTTGATTTAGTGCCCTCTCTCCTTATCTCTACCACGCAAATGATGATGGGAGTCGGATATGAAATGGCCTGAAAGGAAGCTTCGAGTATAGATGATGTCTGTGAGTAGGCCACAAATAAAAGCCAATAGAGCTACCTTTTGCTTTAGTACCTTTTCCTCATTGTCTTTTCCCCTGAAACTACTTTTAAAAGCATAGCTATAGTGTTCCAAATGAAAGCGGAGTTTATTTTAGCTGTGCATAGATTGTCATGGGTTAATATTCATGAGTAAGATTTTCTATCAGATGGACATAATGTAGATCTGTGTGTGTATATATATATACATATATACACATACAGATCTAATGTGTGTGGGTATATTTTATACACATGCATACACATATACATAAAACATATGCACACATACAATGAATATATTTGAACAGTGCAGCAAAGAATGTTTTTTTAAAAAACTACGATGAGTGTGCTCAAGGCTCGAATTAATAAAGAATGAGGATTTAAGTGATTAGGGCAAGATGAAATCTCAGGAAGTCTATGAATTTGAAGTTCTCTTTCAGAGGTTCAGCAGAGAAGATAAATCAATAGGTACTTGAGTCAATCCGTAAATTATCTGTTGCAGGTTGTCTTTTAGAAGTTGGCCCAAAGGGATTAGAACAAAGGGAAAAGGAAAGAAATCAGCCCACAGAATCAGGCAGCAGTCTGCAGCTGGGAAAAGGACAGTCCATCCATCTATCTATCCATCCATCCACCCATCCACCCACCTGTCCATCTGTTTATATACTGAGTGTATACGAATGCCAGGCACTATGCAAGGTACTGTGGATATGAAATAAAAAACCAGAACCCTTCACTTCACTGAGGTCTCAGCCCAGTGGGTGAGAGAAACAAGGAAACCTGGAACTTGATTATCATATGCTGAGCTATGATAAGAAGGGAGTAGCAGGCTCTGGGTATGCAAAAAGGGGGCAATAATTATTCATCACAAAGCTATCTAAGATTCCAGACTTTTAGGAGTCAGAAAGCAACTCCTTTCTGTGAAGATTAAGCTACATGAAAGCTGAATTTCCTATTTTGTTTATTTACACCATGTAACTTATATAATCATTTATAATGTTTTAGAGGCATTTTCCATGTATCTCTCCATATACTAAGAACTGACATAAATGACTTTTTTCCTGCCCAATCATAGCTATGTATAGACCATTCCCAAATCAAATAATACTTGCAGATTTTTATTTGAGCCCCTACCATGTGCCAATCCTTGTGCTAGGAAGCTATCTTACCCTCACAATGTATACTACAAATACATACATTTTATCCACTAATATCGTGCAACATATGACACACAATCAGTAGGGTTAGCCTAGAAATAAATTAAAGAGTGTCTAATTCATGGTGGCCTGCAAGTGAAATGTGCCCCAAACACGTAGTGTTTTGCTTAGTTTAATTTAAATGTTTATCTTAGGTATGTATGGGGAGAGTGGGGTTAAGGTTTCACATCTAGTGTTTCCCAGGGCACCCTCTTGTAGCCTTGTCCAAAGACTTTGAGTTAATAATCCCTGAATCCTGGTGCAAGCCCTTCCTTTTCCAAGGGAGGAAAAGGAGGCTGGGGAAAATTAATTTACTTCCCAAAGTCAGTGCTCAGTCGTCCTTGCCCTCCAGGACTTTGGCATCTAGACATTGTTGGATACAGTGGGTTCTAGATTTCTCTTCGAAGAATCAGTATGTCAGTATATTCAGTTCTTTGTCCTCCATTTTAAAGTTTAACTTCCTCGTAGTTTCAGTAAACAATCTTTTCCACCAGTTTTAAGCAGTTCACATCTGTTCCCCTGGTCACCTGCTCCATCCTGACTCATCATGGTCACCTTCTTTGACCTGAGTCACCCCTGGTCACCTGCTCTGACCTAAGTCACCTTTAGTTACCTGTTCCATAACAGTCTTCCCTGCCAAACTGCTCACGCTGCCACTCTGGCTCATACCCCCGGCACTCTTTAAAATAGCCAATCAGAATTAGCTTAGACTATGCAGTCCAACCCTAGACAATAGGGGAATGACACAGCAGTAGGGGCTACCTGTTTCTGCAATAAGAACCCCTTCCCCTCCCTTGTTCAGGTGGGCTCTTGCTATTGCTCCATCTGCAAGCTACACCCTTCTATAGAAGTAAAATTGCCTTGCTGAGAAAATTAAATTTACGTTTGAGTACTATTTCTGTGCAGCACTGAGGAATGAGCATTTCTAACAACATGGAGACAATTTAATTCCTATGAACCACTCCAAATGCCACTTGAGGCAGCCCTATTGGGTTCTACACCCAGCCACATCAGAATCAACTAAGAATCAACTACAAATCAACTACACCCAGTCATATCAGAATCAACTAAGCTACTTTTGCTTAATTGGCTGTCTTCTGTGTGTATGCTTTTAAAACTTTCTTGGGGGGAAAGAACAAGAATATATGCACATTTTAAAAGAATCAAACCACTCAAAGGGGTATATAATCAAAATTCCTAGTTTCCTATCCTCTAGGCCAAACCCATTAACAATTGTTATGTATTCCTCTGCAACACACCCAAGATCATGCAGCTTATAAGAGGCAGAGCCAAGATATGAGTTCAGCTCCACTTTAGAGTCTGTGTTAAGTTATTCTAAACTGCCTCTTTGGGTATCTTAGTCTGTTTAATCAAATGGTCAATTTAATTTTTTAAAAAAGATGGAATGACCTAGACAATAGAATGTTCACTTTTCATTGAATTGTGTTGCTTTAATCTAGATGTAGCAACAGTGGGTATCCTTTCTGCCATCAACAGCATTGGAGCTACGTTCTGGGGGATGTGTGTCTTGGGTAGAAAGATCATAATCACTTTCAGATGACATTTTCCTCAGATCTCTTGGAAGGTTGGAATAGGAAGTGGGTTTTGTCACTCTGATATTCTTTGTCAGAAAGACCTTATCTAACCTCCAAGAATTCTAGGTCTCCAGGAACATGTATAGCTCAGGACCTAATCCATAGAGATGGTCTTTCCTGGTGTGAGTGTAAATGAATGTCCTTGAGGCCATTCACTTAATTTAACTCAGGTCTGAGGCAGGACTTTGAAAAGCCTGAGTAACCCTTGGAGTGTGTACCTAAGTGTGCCTGTTGGTAGGACAGGTGAGGAGGGTTCCGGGTGAAGTTCTGAGGTGAGCTCCCACAAGAAGCAGAAGACAGATGACTGACAGAGTGGCTCAGTGAGAAGAATCTGTTTATTCACATGGTTGAGGAAACACATCCTGCACCTGGATGGGGTCTCTAGGATCCATTGTATGTCTAGCTCCTCAACAGTCCTCAAGTTCCAATTTAGTGTCTGCTCCAGAAAGCAGACCTTCAATTTCCTCATGTATAAAATGGGGATATTAACAGTACCTAACTCAGTGTTTTGTGAAGATTAAATGAGGTAATATATGTTTTTGTGTGTATGATACATACATACACATATCACTTAGAAAAATGACACATTAATAACTGATATATGCAGAAGCTAGTTACACTGTTTGGACAAAGTCTTTCAAATATTATTTATTTCAAATTGTTTTTCCTAGATGGACAAGCCCCGGGACAGAAAAATTAAAGCTAATTGTATTGTAACAGGAGGGGTATATATGATATACATTAATTGCATTTATCCAGCAGTTCCTCGCTCACAAAAAGCACATCAAAATTGTTCATTTCAACACAATATAGTAGGATATAAGGTATAAAATAATTACTTTGGGCCTCAATTTTGACAGACCTTATAAGAATCTTACTTTTAAAATCGCTAACTCGGTGTGAAAAATAAAAACAAAGTTTAAATTGAACACTATCTCATATTCCTTCATTTGAGGTTTGTTTCTCTCTTTTTATTTGGTCCTTTTGACAGGATTTAATGGAAGCAATGGAAGCCAAGAAGGGTCATAAGGCATTAACTGACGAGGAAAACTTGCACAGAAAATTGTAGGAGGAAAGGACATTTCATTCATCTCTCCCCACTTGGCACAGTGCCCTTTCCCCAGAGGCAAAGTCACTGTGAGAGAAATGAGTCTCTGCCTGGTGTGGGCAGAGGGTGGAGAGACCTAGAATCTAGTTTATATTTACACTGATATATACTCACTCAATGTCACATCTGTGATTCTATTATTAATAATATAGTAGTTATAGTCCCTTATTCATTGCTTTAAGATTACGGATTTTTTTAAAAGCATAGAGTGGCTATTTTAAAATGTATTAAAACATCTCAAGTGTTTTTTAAAAATGAACAGCCATAGTTTTTTTTTTATTTACTTCAATTTAGGAAATAAAAGCTTATTTAATAAAAAAATGTTGTAAAAGTGTACATATTAACATTATAAGTTCAATAGAGTTTTCCTAATTTATGTTACTGCAAGAACTCTAATGCCAATTAGTAAAAATTATGGGGTCTTAATGAAACATGTGTTGCCACATCGGAAAGTGTTGCAGGCAAAAGGAAGGTGTGTTCAGAGGCCTATAGGGTAGAGAGAGCACCATGTATTTATAAGAGGCATATAAGACATTCTGGTTGGACTGAACAGAGTATGAAAAAGGCAGGAGGCAAGAACTGAGGCTGGAGAGAACACCTATCTTGATGGTCAGTCACTCTGTGTACAAGTGGCTCTCAAAATGTGACCCAGAACCAGGAGTGCCAGCACCATCTGAGAACTTTTGAGAAATGCAGATTCTCTGCCCCATGCAGATCTACTGAATGAAAAACTCTGGAGGAAGGCCCAGCAATCTGTGCTTTATACAAGCCCTCTGAGTGATTCTAATGCTTTGGTTCCAAAGGCCTGAAAACCAGGAGTGTAGACCGAGCTGAAAGATTTCTCCTGCACATTACAATCACCGGGGGGACTTTGAATACAGACATCTGAGCTCCACCCAAGCCAGTTAAATCTGAGAGATGGGCTCTAGCATTGGTATTTTCTGAAAGTTCACTAGATAATTTCAATTTAGGACCAGGTTTAGAACTACTGGTTCAGACTAAAGTTTCATAATCTGTAACGCGATTGGGATATAGTGTGTGCCAAAATAGCACTCAGACCCACTGTTTCCCAAAACTGGAGCCAATTTTAAAATGATTTTTCAGTGGGGTCATTTTACCTTCATTTCGTTTCTAGTAACAACAAACCTTTTCTCAGCAATTATGAACCCAGCAAGATTGTTGAGGCCAGTGCTATGGAATCAAGCAGAACTTGGTCTCTTCTCTCCCAGAGCATGGGCCCCCACACCCTTTTCTAATAGCAGCACTCAGACGAGCCCCTGTTCCCATTTCACACGGGTCAAACACACTCTATATATGTTTGTTTTTTGTTGTGGTGGTTTTTTGTTTTTGGGGTTGTGTGTGTGTGTGTGTGTGTGTGTGTTTAAGGCCATACAGTCAACACACTTTATCAAATCCCCTCCATCCCCTGACCAGTGGTCTCCAGATAGGGGAGCCCAGTAGGCACAGGACTTCCCTTGCCACTGACAGCCCACACATGCAAGCACCCCAAAGTGAGGTCCTGGAGGAATAAGCAGTGGAGGATGCCAATAGTGTGAAAAGTTGTCTCATTTCTTTTCAGCATCCCCAGGCTTAGCTGGAAACTTCTTTCCTTTCTAGTGAGAAAACAGACTCTGAAGGGGCAGGCATTTCCCATTAGTCCTCAAAATAAAGTCAGAAGAAATGCAGGAGAGGTTTTCAGATGATTGATTGCCTGCTCAGGTTAGGCGTCTCCTTGGGCTTCTTGCCTTCCTCCTCCTGCCTTCCAGTCTCCATGCTACTCTGCAGAGGGAAAAGCTCTCGTTATCGCCTACATTTCCTGGGACTTTAATCCAGAGCAGAGAGGAATACGTTTACCTGGGAAAAGGAGCAATGGAACACCTTCCTGCTTTACAGCCACCTCCCCTCCAAATAATGAACTCCAATCCCAGTCAGTAGTTAATGAAAAGCAGAGTGGTATGAGCCCAATTAAACCCTTAGAGCTCCTGCATATAGTTGTACAGGTTGCACACTGAGCAACTCCATAGATTGCAAAGTGAATAGCACCTTGAAGTTGTGCAGCACATAATCTGCACAGCTATACGTGACAGCCCTGCCAACACTGACGCTTTGCTCAGGCAAATAATAAAGGGTAATACTGTACATTCACTTTTTCCAAGACAAAGTAGGAATAGAAGACCCTGCTATACAAAATTTTCTATAACGGTGCTATCAAGACTTCTAAGTTATTCAAATTCTCATCTGCTCAAGAAAATCAGATGTCTTTCTGAATAAATAGAATGCTTGTTTATTTCCTTCCTTGTTACAAATCTGAGGTGGTTTATAGTTATATTTATATATGTACATAGGTTCACATAAATAGAATTGAAAGATTGAAACAGTGAAAAGGATAAAGAAATTATGCTAACCATGGAATTAACACACTTACTATAAACATTATGTTTAAATTTAATTAAGTCTTCTGGAAGCAAAGGCAAAATAGAGAAATACCATAATTACATAATTCATAGGTAATAGATAAAAACATATGAAAACTTAAGAGCATAACTCCTTTTCCTGACTCTCAATCATTAAAGAAATGTATCATCATGAAGCTAATGTACTTTCCCATCTTGGCCAGAGAGCAATGGTGAGACTGGGTGAGAGGGTAGAACTTTGATACCTATGTCTACCAAACCTGCCCGATGTCTACATCGGTCAAGGTTTCAGGCATTTAAGCCAGCCAGTTAGGTTCAAATCCCAGCTGTCCTTGGACCAGGTGCTTAGCATGGCTTCAGTTTTCTGGCCTGTAAATGGAGGTAAAATGTTACCCACCTCATGATCTGCCTGTGAGAGTGCATGAAATAATGGCAATGATGTGTGTGTTAACACAGCATCTGTTCCACAGTAAGCCCTCAGTATATGTTTGTTCTCATTGTTGAAGCTTGGGATAGTAGAGGGGGAGTGAGAACTTGTAGCTTAGATCGGATGCTAGAGCTATACACCAAGATGCCCAAAGCAGACAAGAATCATTTAAAATCAAAGGACACATGAGATGACAGGGCAAAGAAACCAGAGTGAGGAGCCTTTTGGGGGAATCCTGAGATGACCAGCCTTTGTACCCAAGAATTTGAATAACGCCCAGTTCCACCCCTCAGGAAAGCCTTTGCTTTTCTTTAAAGCATCACTTTGCAACCAGTGGGTGACATGGAAAAGAAATAACTATTAGGTTAGCAATAGTTTTGCTACAAATGCAAAAGGAACCTGTACGTGTTGTGGGTTCTTGAGTCATTCCTGAGTGATGATCAGGGCATCCAATGATCTGGCCAGGCCGGAGACTCAGGCCACAGCCTGGTGTGCATGGTGGGTGACAGGATGAGGGAGGCTGACACAGGTAGTGGGCATGGGGTGCACAGGAGCCATAGTCCTAGTCCTAAATCGTTGACCTCTGGAAGGAAAGAGTGTTTGGAACACTGAGTCCAAGAAGTAGGCACAAAGCCAGCACGATCCCCACAGGGAAATGTCTTTTATGGGGCCTGACAAAAAAGAAGTCAGGAAGTAGAGGACAGAGAGCTCTCTCAATTATTTGTCCACCTTTTCAGCCCATAATCTATAATGAGAAATATATTCTACATCACATCCCAGTACACAAGTACACATAGAACTAAACAAGAGTTCCACCAAACAGTTCTTAGTCTCACCACGGATGCTGCATTCTGACATTATCATACCCATTCTATTTTTTTAATGCTGTTTTATTTCAGTTTTGAAAATATTGCTTTAAGGAAAAAGTTGGAGAAAGGCCCACTTTGGGGGACCCTAGGTCCAAGCCAGTGAAAGAGAAGTTTCATTAGAACACTTAGCAACAGCCAAGGGCCTCACCCTGTGTGACTGCAAATTAGGTTAAAGAGTGAGTCCCGGCCAGGTACAGTGGCTCACGCCTGTAATCCCAGCACTTTGGGAGGCTGAGGCAGGTGGATCATGAGGTCAGGAGATTGAGACCATCCTGGCTAACACGGTGAAACCCCGTCTCTACTAAAAATACCAAAAGAAAAAAAATTAGCCGGGCGTGGTGGCAGGCGCCTGTAGTCCCAGCTACTCGGGAGGCTGAGGCAGGAGAACGGCGTGAACCCGGGAGGTGGAGCTTGCAGTGAGCCGAGAGCACGCAACTGCACTCCAGTCTGGGCGACAGAGCGAGACTCCGTCTCAAAAAAAAAAAAAAAAAAAAGAGTGAGTCCCATGAAGGACTTGAGTCCCACATGTATAATACACAGTAGGCATTCAAGAAACCTGGAGGTGTATACCTACTGTGTACCCACAAAAATTAAAAATCTTAAAAAATAGAAAAAGGAAACCTGGAGGACCAGGTGGATGGCGTGTCTCATCATCTTCACCTGGGCTTTTGCAAGTTCTTAACAATAGAGTCAAGATCACACGCTCTGCTGGGACCTGGCACACTGGGCCTCTCTGAAGATATTCTAAGGATGTTGAGTCCAGGTTCCCATCAGCTGGAAAGAGCTGAACAACTATTAATAGTTCAGACTATTAATAACTGTTCAGACATTACATGAATTTTCTAGAAGTGCTTTCCCTTCGACTCTTTCCTCTTTCTGCAGTATAGAACTTTCTTCCTTTTCCTCACTTCATGCCATTAGACTTTTCAAATAAAAGTGTTATGGTACTTTTTTCACAAGCAAATAAGTGCTCTGGCTATTCCAGAATGCTAATGCTTATCTAAAAGGAAAAAAAAAATTATGAGACAGTTCTACCTCACATCTGCAATTTCCATTTGAAGCAATGCAGTCTTTTTCCCCTCAGGCCCTTTTCCCCTAGTGCTCCCAGAGTAGGTTCTACAAGAGACCAGAATTTTCATTTAAGGAAGGGCTGCATGGGGTGTTTAGGAGCAAGCCATGCCCGAACTCCAGCTCCACCCCCGGGTCAAGTTACTCAACTTTCTGACATTCCATTTCTTTTTCTGGAAAAGGATATTAATAAGTAACTTGTGGTGGTGTTGTAAAGGTCAAGAACAATGTACGTAAAGCAAAGGAGAGGGCCAGGCACATGAAGGTGCTGAAAAGTCATCTGAGGAAAAGGAGGAGTTGTTGTCAAGTCGTAAGTTTCCTTTTAGGTAGACCCAAAGAAAGCCCAGCTCATTTCGACAGCAACCAAACAGGAAATGGATCATGACTGTCGTCATCACTTATGAAGTATTTATGAGGCAGTCTACTATTCACGTCACTATATAAACATCATTAGACCCAGTGTCTATCCAATAGGAAGGTCTTTAAGATGGATAACGGATGTGATGTGATAGGATTCTGTGTGAAAACTTAAAATTAGCAGTTTACAGGAAGTGGGATCTAGACAACTGCCTTCACTGGTACAGATTTTATGCACAGATCTTTTCTGTTCTGCTAGATTAAGAGCCCTCCCACCTCACTCCAGGTCACAGACTCTTTTCATTTGTCTTCAAGTTCTCTCCAACCCCTCAACTTACTCTGCTCCCTGTACTTAGAAGGTATTAATATTTAGCAAAACTTTCCTAGATGGATAAATATTAGACCATTCCATGACACTGAACACGAAACCTAGGTTATGCTTTGGTTGGTGATTCGGGATAAAGAGCAAACGCCAAGGCCCTTTCCAGAGACAACCCCCTGTGTTCTGCCCACAAGCCCTAGGAGGAAGCTATGTGATGAATCGTTTTTCAAGTCAGAGCTGGTAGGAGGCATATGTGAGAAAGACAGGGCCTGAGCCTGTCGTCAGGGAGCTGCGTGAGTCAGTGTCTATTGTAAGCAACAAGCTTCTTGGTAAGGGGCTCTCTAATGAAATGAGATTTTCCAGGCCACGATTTCTGGACAGCTAAAGAAGAATCTACCTTGAGGGATGATGTCAACCAAAACTCTTTAAGAAAATGATCTGTTGTAGGGAACATTTGTATCCTGAAAAGGGACTTTATGTTCTGCTTGCAGGCAAAATCTTGGTTGTATAAATGTATCTGTTTGCTTTTCGGCTGGATTAGACCATTCAAGGCATTGAGATTGTAAAGTTTGACATAAGATAAGCAGAATAAACAAACCCATCAAGAAGAAATATTCAAATGGCTTCTTCTCACTAATGTTCACTGTCAAAATTAAATCTCAGAGCCTGTGTATCTAGTTGTTTTCAATTAGTTATCTTCCAACTAATCACAAGTAAAAGAGCTCTTTCATTGCACTTTTACAAAGTATATCAATGTTTAGTTGAATTTAAACAGCACAGAAAAATTCTCTGAACTGAAAACAGACCAGTCAGGCAAGGTGAATGCTTCCTTTTGCTGTCCGAAATTCAATCTGAGGGTATATGAAAACTCATCATGAACTGTATTTTTGCCATTCTAATACACACTTTTCTTTTTGTTGCACAATGCAATGTTTACTAAATCAGTATATGTCAGATATTCTATATGGACAATTAATGTGTTTACTTTTCTATGAAAAAAAGAGGCCATCACCAAGCCAATGAGAGTCATATTTGATGGTATCTTAGAATTTTTTTAAAAAGATACTTCATTGCTTTCCTCTAAGAATTCTGTGCATTACTACTGAGCTTCCTCTCAAACAACCCCATCCTCCCTGGGGTCCTGGAATAATGTAGATGTGGCACATCACAAAGGTATATCCAGATAGTGTTCTCCCTCTCTTGCTTTCTCTTTCTCTCTGTGGGTGGGTGGGTGTGTGGGTGTGTGTGTGTAAGTAATCGGGACCAGTTATATAATTTGCAAAGCCCAATGCAAAATGAAAATGTAGGACCCTTGTTCAAAAATTAAGGATTTCAAGATAGCAACAGAGCAATTAAACCAAGTATAGGACTCTTCTGAGCACAGAGCCCTGTGCAGCTGCACAGGTCACATACCCATGGACCTGGCCCTGCTGCTGATGAACAGAGCAGGTGGTCCTGAGCTTCAAATGCCACACAAGTCCTCATATGCTCTAGAAGCCCTCCCTCACTGATACTTCAGCTTTCCTCAATACCATCCCCCAGCTAAGTCACACCATACATTTTTGCACAACCTATTCTATGTACACTCAAGTAATCTACTGTGTCTTATGAAAGGCAGGGCAAGTCCCTTGTGAGCACAGTGAAGCCTCAGGAGATCTCCTGACATGGATCTGGGTGATATAGTCCCCACTCTGAGCCCTAGGCAGTGTCAGCTTTTCTTCATTGATTCTTCTTTCTGGTCACCTTTGTCCTCCTTCTCGGTCCAGGTATCTTCTGCTTTAGAATTAGCATCTCTCTGCCTCACTCCCAAGGCTCTTTCTCCCCATCCCTTGTTCAAATCATTGTATCTCATAAACCCAAGAGTGCACTCAATAAAGATTTTTATCATGATTGCTTGATCTGTAAGTCAGAAGTCTTCTCTATGTGAACCATAATATGGATCAGTTTATTATCAAGTTATTAGATCAGCTTCTGGGCCAGCCTGTCATTTACTGGCAGTGTGGTGCAGATGCCTAAGCTGTCTTCTGCTGGCATTATTCTTTAATTTCTCCCCCTAAAATGTTCACTATGAAGCCATTGGTTTAACTCAAACTAATGAGTTCATGATATTTTTTTCCTGAGACTGGGACTTTGATTTAAAAATCACTTTCAAAACCCTTGGCGTTTTAGGGGAGACAGTATTAAGGAACAAAGAGTCTGAGAAATGCGAGAACCCAGCTCTGAATGAATCCCATTTTCCCAGAAGCCTCCATGTATTTCCCCAAACAGGGAGTGACCTGCAATTCCACACCAGGAGAGCACTTGGTACTAAAAAGAATGTGTGATCATATTAACTAATTGATATACTCCATGAAAATCGCTCAAAACAATCCTTTGACAGAGCAAGTTGGGGATAATTGGAACCTCAAATGTCACTAAAATCTGATATCTCACAAGGACTCCAGAATTGAACTTTGAAAAACTATTAGTCATTACAGAATGTCCTCCTGCTGCTGCAGTGGCAAAATTTTCTTTTCTGAATCTATTTATTATCTACTGAGGCTGCTGGCTTATCATTCTTCACAAGGTATGGAGATAATCAAATGAGCACATGAGTATAGTAAGTGCTTGGCACAATTCTTGGAACATAGTAAGCACTCAATAAATGTTAGCTCTTATTACTACATATTCCCTTATTTTGAAATGACATTAACTACTGTGACAACTAAAGTAGATCAGGGTCATTCTGCTGCCATGCAAGGCAGTCTCTTCACATGGGTGCTGCTATTTACACCATCCACATGTTACTTTAGTTTCTAGCTAAGCCAAGAAAAAAGATTGGAACTTAAAGCCCAGGTCAGCCACTTACTCTACAATGAGTAATGATTCTTAACTGGAGCAATTTTGCGCCCCTACCCAGGACATTTGGCAATGTCTTGAGATATTTTTGGTTGTCATACTTGATGGGTATTCTACTAGCATAGACAGAAGCCAGGGATTCTAAACATCCTACAATGCACAGGACAGCCCCTCACCTCACAAAAACAACAACCATTTAATCCCAAGTGTCATTACTGCCAAGGTTGAGAATTTTTGCTCTATGAGAGACCTTGCTGGAATATTTAATCTTACTGGTCCTCAGTCTCCTCATCTCTAGAAAGGAGAAGAAATAGCATCCTACTTGTAAGCTTGTCTTAAATAAAATATAAGTAAAGGTAAATGAAAAGTGCACTGTGGAGTCTCTGGCACAGAAAACCCTGATGGTTACACTAGTAGTAATAGAAGTGGTGGTGGCGAGTACTGCAGTTTCTAATACAACATGCCCCTCCCTATTCACACCACAGGAATGAGAGAGTCTCTGAACCATATAAGCTCTTTTTGTTATCCAAATAAGAAAAAAAGTAACCGAAACCTGTTTACTTCTTTTGTTTCTTGTATTGGCCTTTTAGAGGTTTCTAAAAAGGCTCCTCAATGTTTCCCGCCTCCTCCAATACACAAAAATCCCAGTTGTCCAGTGACACAGCCTTGAAACAATGTTTCTGTTCTGTTAGTTATTTGGTTATCATTGACACTGGGTCTCTGCCTTAATTAAGCTAATACCTTCACAGAAAAAACATGCAACAGTAAGGTACAAAGTCTCAGCTGTGCAGAGCCTGGTGAGCAGTCTGCATGGCCCTGCTCTGGAGTTACTTCTCCAGCACTTCAAAGAAAATGCACTGATCCTGTATCCTGCTTAGCTATAGCCATGTATGTCTGTGACTTCTTGATACTGCTATAGACTATTTCTTCAGTATGCAGATACCATTGCTTTGGAATGTGTTGATTAAATTGATCAAAAAGGCATAGCTGAGGCTGATTTGGCAATCTCTCACCTGATTCCATATCTCTTGTCAGTAATGTTAGACAACAGGTTCCTGGAGGAAAGAACTTTGGAAAGTTCTCATGTGAGCAGCTATATAGGCCCAGTTTGGAGTTTTCCTCTGGGATGCAAATGAGTTACCGCAAATCCTTCTAGGTCCCCTGAAAGGAGGTCCCCATTTATCTCTAGAAATGCGTAAGCCAGCTTGCCCTTTGTCAGAGGGGAGAGCTGAGGGAGAAAGTTACTTGCTATCTAATATGTTGTTTCCCACCAGGAAATGACTTAATATTAAAAACAACAACAACAACAACAAAAAACATGTGCAGCCTCATTTAACATTCATTCAATGACAGTAGGTTTACCAAATGCCAACCATGTTTGGGACACTGTGCTAGGCCCAGGATACAAAAATGAACAAGCCAGTCGCTGCCATCAGGATGTTCCCAGTATGCTGCTCTCTCCTCCTGCAGTTCCTTCTACCCTGGTACCCCCTGTTATGAAAGTGTTTACCCAATGCTTTCCATGGAGCTTATCTAACCTACCTGAAACCGTCTCTTTACATATTTTTATCACACTACTTCCTTTGTTCTTCAAAGTTATTTCCAAATATAACTCATCTGCAAAACCTGCACCAGGTAATGGGCACGCTCCATTTATCCCACAAACTTTCACTCTCTTCATCAATCCCTTGCCATCTCCTTCATATATTTATAAAATGTAACTTACAAATTCTTTTAAAATTGGGCCTATTTGTGACATTAATTAAGCACAAGTCATAATCATTGATCCCCAACAAACTGTGGCTAGAAGGGTCAGGGAGAGGGGCACCAAGCTAAGTCCCCAGCACTGGTTGAAGAGGGCCTGGAGAGGACTGGCCCAGTTACAGAAAGTGCCCCTGAGAGGGCATCTGGACAGCCCATGCAGAGTGCCCAGGGGCCTAACTTCCAGTGTCTGCTGCTAGCATATCCAGCAGGTGAACTAGATACAACAACTGGAAGTCCCGGCAGTCTTTGAAAGATCAAGGTTAGACATGTGGCAGCGGTCTTTGGAGGAAACCTGTCCATGCATAGCAGGATTTTGATCCACTGTTCTTACATATAGGGTCAGGATTAAAAAAAAAAAAAAAAAAAAAAAAAGCTGGGAAAAGCTAGCCCTAGAAAAATACATTTGAATTAAAAGTAGGATAAGAAGGGAGGCAAGGTGTATATAAGCAAGGCCACTGCTCCCTAAGTGAGAACCTAGAAAAAAATGCAATCCCAAAGGCTAGGCCAGTTCCAATTAGGATATGACTCAGTCGTACCTGGACCCACTGGGCACACCTCTTGAATATATGGGCACATGTCTCCTTGGAAACCATAACTCATGAAATAGAAGCAGGGATCAGGGAGAGATGGTGAAGAGCCCTACAATGGCAGCAGTATCTACGGAGTTTAAGGTTGGGAGCAACTTTGTGCCAACCCCAGCACCAGGGACAAGGCTGCCATTGATGTACACCCTACATTGGACCAGGAAGGCTCAGAAAGGAGCCCAGGCCACAGACTGGTTTGTGCTCTCGGTTTTCTGTGCTTCAGAGTCAAGCTTCAGGGCTTGACAAAGACAGAAGTAGAGGTGGAGAAAACAGCAGACAGGTAGCTGGTTTGTATGGCTTTAGACATTCAGAGGCAGAAATGTTGAACTTGTTGGTTTGACATGCCAGTGAATCTCCTGTACAAGTCTGAAAGGCCTTTTAGTTTATAGGCACAACTTCTCCATGCTTTGGAAAATCCCATGTTTGCTATGGCTGATAATGCTAGTGAAGAGGAAAATGCATATATTAAATTACACAGTCCCTGCAAATTAAGAAAAAATATAGCTACAGATGTATTCTAATGCTTCTCTGAAACACACGTATAGATGAGTCGTGAAGGTTGACACCATCCCCAACTATGTATGATGAGTAAATTAACTTAATTGAATGTCAAATCATGGTCTTTGTTTTTCACACTCTAAAAATAGTCACCTTAGTAGAAAGAACACAATGTGCATCACTATGAAATCTTTGGAGATGGTTCCACGAAAAGGCCAGGAAACTGCCTTCCAGGCCCGCATGAGCTTGGTCTGCACAAAGTGTTTAGAGAGAATTATGTGTTTAAGAAGCTCTGGTGAGTGTAGTTCAGGAATGCTGACAGCCCTAAGCATCTTCACTTATTAGGCCAGTTTTACTTTCATAAAAATCCTCCCTGGCATACCTGAAAGTAAAAATCCCTCCTACTTGGAAATTGAAATCTATGCAAAGAAAAGTGCTGTCTCCCCATCTTTGTCCATGACAGAAAACTTGGAGTCATGTTTGGGCTCAGAAGTGTGTGTTAATATTTATATATGAGGCCAGGCGTGGTGGCTCATGCCTGTAATCCCAGCACTTTGGGAGGCTGAGGGGGGCGGATCACCTGAGGTCGGGAGTTCAAGATTAGCCTGACCAACATGGAGAAACTCCGTCTCTATTAAAAATACAAAATTAGCCAGGCGTGGTGGCAGGTGTCTGTAATCCCAGCTACTCAGGAGGCTGAAGCAGGAGAATTGCTTGAACCTGGAAGGAAGAGGTTGCAGTGAGCTGAGATTGCACCCCTGCACTCCAGCCTGAGCGACGGTGCAAGACTCCATCTCAAAAAAAAATTTTACATATGAAATCTATGGACTTCTTCAGATATGGGAGGGGTACTGGGCTCCAGAAGGGTTTATACTTTACAGTTCTTTTCAAAAATATTCTTCCTAAGGAAACAGATGGTAGGTAGCTTCCTTTATCTACATCAAAGTTCAAGAGCAGTCAATTACTCAGATTATGCTGAAGATAAACAGTGGTATTCTGTTCAGTTCTTGAAATAATCTTCCATTTAAATCATAGCTAATTACTATTTGGCTAATTAAATTCATTGAGTACTTCAAAAATGTCTATTTCACTGTCAGAATAAATGCTTTAGGGATTCCCTGTTGTGAGGAGCTTTCTTTTTATTACATAGAATACTGAGTTGGCCTGAATCTGTGACAAAGAAGTTTTTTTCAAGACCCCTTAAACAACACAAAGAATATTTGAAACTTCAAGTCTTCTACATTCTTTCAGCACATGGAGTTTCCGGGGTAAACAGACCTTGAGCAGTCTCTCTAGCTGTGGACTAACCCTCAAAACCCACATGTCTGGAGGATAGGAGAGGAGAAGTGGGACAGACTGCTGCCCCTGCCAGCTGGAGTAGTCTACGACTGAGCAGCTCTTCCCAAGAGGGCTGCCACCTGGGCTGTATGCTCCAAGCTCCGTGGTCATCCAACCACCATCATCATCCAACCACCCAACCTCCCTGCAACCCAAAGGAAGTCTTCCTACTCAGAATTTTATAGAGACAATAATAGTTCCTTGAAAAGAAATAAATCCACATTATGGAGTGAAATATATTTAGTAAACAATTATTACGTCTACAGCAACACATTACACACAGTAGAGGCAGAACTACTGTGGGGTTATGCCTACTAACAACACTGCCCTTAGACCCCTGCAAGTAAAGGTCACGTGTTTTACAGAACCATCTCTGGCCATCCTAAAGCCACATTCTCAGACACATCTTCCATCCCCCATAGCAAAGAGTTCAAGGGGCCAAAAGGTCTTGCCCACCTGGAACCCAAGCCTTCCCTTCTAGGCAATGATCCAGGTACCCAATACCCTAGAATTCCCTATTCATTTGAGGGAATTTGATTGCAAGCCTACAACCCTGACCTATACAGCCTTCTACCTCACATCCTGTCTTCCAAGGACAGACTGTGCCACTAGTATGCACACTCAGAGGCCCAAGGAGTGGCCAGTGGAGGGGGGCTGTTGATGTTGAGTATGAATGGAACTTGGACATGTAGTAAGGGGTTGGAGGTGTTCACATACATGCAGACAACGCCCCATGGTTCAGGGATAGGAAGAGAAGGGAGTTGGACTGCAGGCTGAGAATCAGGAAGCCAGCTGTTCTTGCACAGCCATGTTCTGGTGTGGACCCTGAAAGTCTGAGGATCCTAAATTTAAACCTAATCTTCCAGGTAGGTATGAAGGTACATTTGTTAGGTTAAGAGGACAGATGATTTTAACAATTTAGTAGCTTAATTGAAAACTTCTAAATATTTACACATGGCAGATGAACCTCCATCTGTACCCCTGTCCTGGAGTCCACCAGCGTTAGGGAAATGAAAGTGGCCAGGGAGATCTCTAGCTCTGGGGGGATCCTTTTTTTCTACTATCACCTGGCTCTGCAAGACCAGCTGAGCTGCCTCTTGATTACACCTCAACAGTTTTAATGAACACAGAGAATTCTCACTATGCACATCTATAGTTGCTCATCTTTTTTGTTTTGTTTTGGAGACAGGGTCTCACTCTGTCACCCAGGCTGGGGTGCAGTGGTGCCATCATAGCTCACTATAACCTCGAAGTCACGGCCTCAAGCAGTCCTCCCACCTCAGCATCCCCAAAGTGCTGGAATTACAGGCATGAGCCATTGTGCTTGGCCTCAAGCCCATCTTCAAAAGAACCTTTATCAGATCTGTGTCCATTATTCTAGTTATTTCACAAACCTGTGAAAGCTCTAGTAATTAGGGCAGGAATATTCCAAATAAATCTTATCTGTCTGTTGTGTTTATTTCATCTCCTCTTTTGAATCCACAGTTTTTGTGCTATTCGCAAGCAATCCAATATTTCCACTCACCCAGGTCTGAACTCCCATAAATTGTCCTATTTTTCACTTTCTCTACAAGTCTGTTACAAGTCCCATTTCCTCATTGAAGATTATTTCATCCAAGTGAAAGAAAAGCAGTCTTCAGAGACTAATTCACACTGAGAAATGAATGATTGATAGTCCCCTTCTTACTATTTCAAGTACAATTGACTATTTCAAAAAGCTCTGGTTAAACAAAGTGAGTAATTTCAGCTGCCAGCTCTAGTAGACACATTTTGGGAACAAGACAGGTGTTTTTACTTTTATCGGTAAAGTTTTTAGAGCAAAAACTTATTAACATTGATAAAATATACTTTTAATTTTACAATTTACTTATATCTAAAACTAATATAACAAAATATTCCATATAATAAATATCTCAGTAAAAGAATGTAAACTAATTAAACTTAATTGGTTATGTATCGGATCAACGGCACTAGCTGGAAAAGTAGAAGGGAAACTTACTGTATTAGTCCATTCTCACACTGCTCTAAGGAACTGCCTGAGTAATTTATAAAGGAAAGAGGTTTAATTGACTTACAGTTCCACATGGCCGGGGAGGCCTCAGAAAACTTACAATCGTGGTGGAAGGCACCTCTTCACAGAGTGGCAGAAGACAGAATGAGTATAAGGAAAGGCGGGGGAAACCCCTTATAAAACCATTAGATCTCGTGAGAACTCACTCACTATCACGAGAACAGTATAGAGAATATCGCCCTTTGATTCAATTATCTCTACCTGGTCCCACACTTGACACGTGGAGATTATTACAATTCAAGGTGAGATTTGGCTGGGGACCCAGAGCCAAACCACATCACTTACTTTCTCAATATTGAATAATGCCCAAAGGATTCGATTGATGAACTATCTCCTCTACCTCCCAATTTAATTCTCACAAAGCGTGACTTTAGAATTTAGTAATTAAATTTGAATCATGACTGTCTCTGCTCTTCAAGCCCATGTGAAGGTGATTTCAACTCAAGAGAATTACTTTAAAATTTAGAGAGGGCTTGTTGTCAAACGTGTTATGAAGAAAAAAAAAAATCTCCCTCAAATGGGTTTATAATACAGCTACTACCATGTTCAAAGACAAAAATGGAACAAGGAAGGAAATTAATTTTATTCTCCCAGTTGCATTCAGGAGATCACAGATCTGAAGTTGAGAGCATCTCGACAGTTTATTTCACCTCAGACTTGTGGGGAAGAGTAAACAAGTTGTAGATGAAGTAATTTTACAGTGGGAATTTCTATCCATCATACACAGGCAACATCTAGCTAATTTCAGCAGGACAAATAGTTTAGCTAATCTTTTTGTAGACAAAGGGAGATTTGGAGGATCCGTGTCTGGCCTTGTCATGAGTAAACAGAGGTATCATCCTCGAGTCTTATCTAAATTACATAGGGAAGAGTGATTCTTTATAGTCACCTGTGTCATAATACAAAAAGGGAGGGGGATTTTTTAACTGTCAGTTTCCCAGGAGCACAGGGCTCTGGAGAAGCTCTCCATGATGGCCCCGAGGAAGAAAGTGTGCCCCGCTGGCGCACCTCCTGCTGTCCCCTCCACACCCCTGAGAGCAGTACTGTGCTCACCATCCCCTGCTTCGACGCCCCTCATCACTGTCACTGGCCTCTGTGTTCTCTCTCTACTCATCTGCCATTACAACAGACACATTCAGCCCAGGGCCTTTGCCCACATTTGTCCCTCTTCCTGGAGTGTTCCACTCCAGACATCCAAGAGCACCCTCCTTCAGATATTTCTCTCAAATGCTGCCTTTTCCGTGAGACTGTCCCTGCTGTATTGCTAAGCTCCCTGCTGTGCTTTATTTATCTCGGTACTTCCCACCGAGAAACACACTACGTGCGTTACTTCTTAACCAGTTCATTGGGTCTCTTCCCATTAGGATATAACCTCTGTGAGGACAGGGAGTTTTCACCACCATATCCCCAGCACCTGGAACACAATAGGCACGCAAAAAATGTTTCTAAATAAATATGTTAGAACATTTATTAATAGTATATGCAGGGCCAGGCGCGGTGGCTAACGCCTGTAATCCCAGCACTTTGGGAGGCTGAGGTGGGCGGATCACGAGGTCAAGAGATTGAGACCATCCTGGACAACATGGTGAAACCTCGTCTCTACTAAAAATACAAAAATTAGCTGGGTGTGGCGGGGTGTGCCTGTAATCCCAGCTACTCGAGAGGCTGAGGCAGGAGAACTGCTTGAACCCGGGAGGCGGAGGTTGCAGTGAGCCGAGATCATGCCACTGCACTCCAGCCTGGTGACAGAGCAAGATCTTGTCTCAAAAAAAAAATATATATATATGTATATAATATATGTATATATATAATATATATAATATATGTATAATATATCTATATATAATATATGTATAATATATATTATATATGTATATATAATATATATTTTATATATTATATAATATATGTATATATAAAATATATATTATATATATAATATATGTATATATATAATATATATTATATATAATATATGTATATATATAATATACATATATAATATATGCTTTGCCTCCTCACCTATGGGCAAAGTTATTTATTACAATAGTTAATATTCTTTGGGGTTTTACCCAAAAT
Organism: Homo sapiens; assembly: GCF_000001405.40. Classification (NCBI taxonomy): domain Eukaryota; kingdom Metazoa; phylum Chordata; class Mammalia; order Primates; family Hominidae; genus Homo; species Homo sapiens. Next base: position 159,680,822 of record NC_000003.12, read on the forward strand.
AGCATGAATAGCATGATCCGTGAGGAATAGTATGCCTGGTTATTTTTTGAATGTTTAGTCTAAAAATATAAATTTTTAAACTTTTATTTTGTATCAATATGACTGAAAATCCTAAAGCTGTTATATTGCTACATATGCTTCGAATATCAACTTTTGGAAACTTGGCTTTGTAATTTACTTATCTTTGATTTATCTGAAAGAAGGCAGCAGAATATTGTGTATATCAAGAATTGGCTACTGACTGGCTCCTCTGTGAACTACGGGTCCCATGTTTTAATCATATGCCACACATGGTCTTGGTATGTGTCTGTTAATCTCTCTGCAGCAAGTGAGGGATACACAGTGTATTCCGAGAGTTCTTTTTTGGTAGGAAGGGATAAGAGGTGGGAGTGAGTGAGCACAGCCACAGTTTCCAGAATTTGTTATTATCCTGCAGAAGATTTGGATTTCCAGAAGAGGAGAAATGGGGAAAAAAAAAAAAAGACTAATGAAAAAGAAAGGAGAATTAAATTCTCAAGCAACGTTCCTTTATTTTTACTTTTTATTGTAAAACTAACATCATCACAAGTAATAGAATTCTTTAAAGTCTTTGCTGAGACTATGACCCTAATAAAGATTTGTTTTCATTATTACATATTTCCCTCCAGTTCCTGCTCACATGCATTTATAATTTTTCATTTCATTGCAATCATAGCATGGATAAAAGTTTGTATCCTTAAGGTTTGTTCCCTGAATAATTATATTCTATAAACATTACCCATATTACCTTAGCATTTTCAAAATTATATTTTTGTGCCTGAATAATAGTCCATGGAGTCACTTATGTACCACAGAGTTTACATGTTCAGGAGAGGTTTCCCTTTTTCCTGGGCTATTTCCCTCAACTTTTCTTTGCATTGGACCTCTTATCAGTTGGACTTTAACCAAAATCTTCCAATGTAGATTAACTTGGTTTAACTCAACGTTAACTTAGGTTAACTTGGGTTAACTCAACGTTAACTTAGGTTAACTTGGGTTAACTCAACGTTAACTTAGGTTAACTTGGGTTAACTCAACGTTAACTTAGGTTAACTTGGGTTAACTCAACGTTAACTTAGGTTAACTTGGGTTAACTTGGGTTAACTCAATGTTAACTTAGGTTAGCTTGGGTTAACTCAACTTAACTTGGATTAACTCAATGTTACCCAAACCACATTCCACAGACCTTCCCCTGAGATACTAACAGGTGCTATGTGCTATGTGCAGGAGGGATGATAAGGGAGAAGCCCTGTCCTCAAATGTATTTGGGGAGTTTTTAATGCACACATCTTACTTATCTTTTATTACTTATCCTTTCTGAGGTTTAATATCCTCATCTTTCCCCCAAATGAGATAACATATTTAGAAGGTCTAACACATAGTAAGCACTCAATAAATATTAGTTTCTTCCTCTTCCCTTTTTCTGTCCTATGTTAAGTAAATATCAAGTATCTAAAGGAGACAACTGTTGAGGTTCAGTAATTACTGCCAGAAAAGCCAATTGAGCATAAAATGACTCGAGAAAAGGGCTCAGCTTCAACTAAGTAGCATGGGAAGGTGGCTGGTACACCCACTCAAAGTTTGGCTGCTTAATTATATCATGCCTATTTACATATTGGGTACAGTGATATCAGTGAACTATAAATTTCAAAAAGAGCTTAAATGAGTAGATGGTAAGTACAAAATGGGAAATGGTTGGGGTACCTGCTAAATCTTTGAAAACTCTAAATCTAGAGGGAAACTGTGTGCTTCTCCTAGAAGTCTCCTGAGGACATTATTATAGAAAAATTAGTAGAATTGACAGAGCGTCTGGTGACCTAAGCACACAAGATGAAGTGTGGAATCTGAGCTTGGCCCTACCTGATCTAGGTCCCTTGGCAGCTGGGGTTATTTCTACCGACACCTAGAAATAATAAAATTTTATTTGGGCTCAAATTTCACAACTGACATTCAAACCATTGTTTCATTTATATATTCCACTGATGCCTTCAATGTAATGTAGTGTTGAATTAAGTAGTTTTTCCTTATTCCTGATAAACTTTTAACCGTGACCTTGATAAGAAGGGTGAAAGTGGGAAATATTCAGCTATAAGAGTATTTCTCTAAGTTTGATCTTCGGACCACTTACATCAGAATTATTAGGGATGGTGTTAAAAATTCAGATTCCTAAGCCCCATCTCAAACCTATTGACTCAGAATTTCTGGGAGCAGGATTTAGGAATCTGCATTTTGTTTTATTTTATTTTATTTTTGAGATAGAGTCTTGCTCTGTTGCCCAGGCTGGAGTGCAACCTCCACCTCCCAGGTTCGAGCAATTCTTCTGCCTCAGCACCCCTGAGTAGCTGGGATTACAGGCGCACACCACCAGGCCCGACTCATTTTTATATTTTTTAGTAGAGATGGGGTTTCACCATGTTGGCCAGGCTAGCCTCGAACTCCTGATCTCAAGTGATCTGCCCACCTCAACCTCCCAAAGTGCTGGGATAAAAACCTGAGCCACTGTTCCCGGCCCAGGAATCTGCATTTTAAATGTGCTATGTAGATCTTTCACATGAACACTAAAGTTCAGATCCTTAGCTGGTGTTCTTGCTCCATTGCGTTTTTTTTCAATCGTTTTTGTAATATTCTTTCTCAGCTTCTAGATTTTTCGTGCCATTCTTTCAATGAGAACCTGGCATGGCTCCTTTCGATCACCTCATTCTGTTTAGACCTATCCCTTGATGGTGAAAGGCCTTCCCTCTGTCTTTCCAATGCCATCTCACTGTCTCACTAGCCCTGTTCCCAACTCATGAGTTGTCCACTTGGGTCAACATAAGATGCCCTCAAGGTGTGCTCAGCAGAGCTTTGGAGTTTCCATAGAGGACCATCAGGGCTACTATTGTGGGAGACAGGGTGGGAGATGGAATTGTTATGACCCTCTATTTCCATTCAACCAGAGCTCCACTTGTGCTTCCACATGAAGTTTATCTGAAGATAAGACTCTGGTGTATAGAACAATCTTCTAAAAAGCATCGTCCTAGATTAAATTTACTATGCCCCTTCCCTGTCTGCAAAGACTTTGTTTCCTTTGTGTAAAACTTCTCTCTCTCTCTCTCTGTATTAATCATGGTTTTAATTTTCTGTATCTTAAATATATTTTGATATCTTAAAAATCTTGCTGGCCAGGAAGAGACTGCCTCTCCCAGGGCTATGAAACTCTTAGAGATAACAAAGGGCCCTGCTGGGCTTTGAGCACACCTTTTATATATAAAACCAACCAATGTGAGTCTACACCCCCAAACCTACACCTCCTAATCTAACTGTCACTGATTGAGCCAATATTTCTCTTGCTCTAAAGCAGCCCAGCAGCCAGGTAGCAGACTAGAGACCACCCCTACATTCCAGAACTCACTGATGTTATTCAAACTAGCCAGTCCTAAACTGTTTACTCCACCCTGCCTTCTGTTCACTCTGCCCTGCCTTGTCTTTCCTTCAAAAACCCTAATAAGGGCTCTGGCTTAGGCTTTCTCCTTACTATCTCCTGACAACATTGGTGTTTTCTCACTGTGGCCAGGTGTAATGTGTTTGCCCCTTCTCTCAGGAAAGGTGAGTAATACTTTCTTCTTTCAGTGGCATTAACCCTTCCATGTTACAGTCAGTCATACCTCTATAAATTAAGTCTCAGGTAGATTGAAAAACATCCTCTGCCGGGTGTGGTGGCTCATGCCTGTAATCCCAGCACTTTGGGAGGCAAAGGTGGGTGGATCACGAGGTCAGGAGATCGAGACCATCCTGGCCAACATGGTGAAACCCCATCTCTACTAAAAATACAAAAATTAGCCAGGTGTGGTGGCATGCAACTGTAATCCCAGCTACTCAGGGGGCTGAGGCAGGAGAATTGCTTGAACCCAGGAGGCGGAGGTTGCAGTGAGCCGAGTTTATGCCACTGCACTCTGGCCTGAGTGGCAGAGTGAGACTCTGTTGCAAAAAAAAAAAAAAGAAAGAAAGAAAGAAAAAAGAAAAAAAAAAAGCATCCTCTCTCACATTTAAGGCTTCCTTGTCAACAATCAATAATTACCAAACTTCAAAATGTTCCTCGAAATGCAGCTGGATCCTGCTTAACCTGATGCAGCTGGATCCTGCTTAACCTGCCAGCCTCCAGATTGTCTTTAACATCCTGAGCTCAGGTAACCTCACTGCAAGTTCAGCCTAAATTCTTAAATTATACTTGTCTCAGTTATTTATTTCATTTATTCAACCAATATTTATTGACCCACCACTATGTACCAGAACCTGCATTTGGCCCCAGAAACATAGTCTTGAACAAAATAGACAAAAATCCCTGCCCCCCAAGGAACTTATATCTTTGTGTGCATGACTTCCCCAAATAGATTGTAAATTCCACAATAGGAAGTTGTTCTCCTACTTGTTTTGCATTTTCCCATAGGACTTATTAAAGTAATTAATTACATTCATTACAGAAAACATAACATAAATTTATGACAAAGCCATTTCATGTCTTACTATTAAAACTCAGAGTAAAAGGTTTTTATTTTCTGGCTATTTAAAAAACAATTATGAACAACATTTTCTGTAACTGCTTCCTGCCCATATCTCAGATTCTGTTTAGAATCAACGACCCAAAATTTAGAGAGAAAGAATAAACAACAATTATTTACAACTCTTTAATTCTGTAATCAAAAGGATGTAATTAAATTTTTCTCATACTTTCTTCTTAAATATCTCTACAACCCTTATAAGAAGAGCTTGCCTAAATTCCCAAATTTACCCAACAATTTATTTTACTTGCAAAAAGTACAAAGAGCTTTAAAAGGAGGAAATGTTACTTTCTCAGTTTCCTTCTTCCTTTTCTTGAGTTCAGAACACCTTTTTTTTCCTACCTCACTCAGTGTACTGAACATGAATTTTACCCACATATAACTCAGAAATGACTTCTGATGTCCAGCAATGATGGGCTAACTTATTCAGACCAATTCTCTCACTGAAAATTACTAAAAATACTGAATAAAATATGTTTTAATCTTTATTTAAAACATCAATATGCCAAAACATAAGTAAGGCATTATCAGGCCAAAACCAAGAATAAATGAGAGCACAGAAAAGTAGGCCAACCACTAGAAGTTGTTTCTGTTCCAAGGGCATCTGCCTATTTGGACTGTGAAACTGAGCTATGGCTACAATGGATTCCTGGTGTGAGGCAGATGGAAATCATATCCCAAGGCCCACCAAAAGTGGAGAATATAACAGGACAACCCCATATTAAACTGGAACACAAAAGGCTACACCAGAGGTAAGCCCATTCCCTCCCTTCAGGCTCAGACAACTACAGAAAGAGTTGTTTTAGCTCAGCACAAAGCAGGGCATAAGGAAAAGAAAAAGGAAATCCAGCCCTGAGAGGCTGTAACCACAGGAATATTTGAAGCCCAGATGTGCAGCCCCAAATTTGTACTACTGCCAAAAATCTAGTTTAGAGTACCAGAATGATATTATACCTAATTCTCTAAAAGAAGAAAATACAAACCTCTTCCAGAGGAAGTTATCTTCCTATTAGTAGGTCTTTGAGAATCCTCAGAAATATGTTTTCAAGTGCTACGAGTAACACAGAATCAAAGATAGCCAAGCACACAAAGAAACAAGGCACCATGAGCAAGAACCAGCAGACAGCAGAATCAGACATTTGCAGACTTAAGATATTGGAATTACCACACACAGATTATTGAATAAAAATGTTTATTATATTGAAAGGAATTTTTAAAGCTTGAAGATACAGGAAGGCACAAGAATCTATAAAAAATGTCAAAGCAATTCTTAAAAAGAGGCAAATAGCTCTAGAAACTAAAAACATAATAATCCATATGAGAAATTTTTTCTATAATTGAACTTAGCTCCTGAGTCCTTATTTCTGCTGATAATGGAAATTACAAATGTATTCATGATTAAAGGTAACTCAGTCACCTCCAGATTAAACTCTGTCTCTTTTGGGTAAATGATAACTTAGTAGGCAGTAACTTAGAACTAATCTAAGTTCCAGGGTCTGGCACATCCTTGGAGGGCAGTTTGGTTTGGGAGGTCTTCTGTTCTCTGTTCTGTACTAACCCTGCTTTCTTTCGTTCTTAGGCATTTATTGGCCTCTTTCCTCACTGCACCCACTACAGAAGTGCCCACACTCCCTTGATAACTCCTGTCAATCTCAACTATAAGACTTCTTTATGTCCTCTGATTTGTATCTAGTCCTTGCCTGTACTTCTAGAAAACATAGAAAATTTTCACTGGCTGGGCTACCCTCTGGAGGTGCAGCATGGACTGCCTCAGGTCATAAATCCCCATCTAGGAAGCTATATTTTCTCAGACAGAAAGTAGGAGAAAAATTCCCTCTACAATCAGATCCACAAACTTATCTGTCTGTTTTTTCTTTCACAATCCCACTCCTCTCCCCACCAAGACTCAACCAAAATAGGAAAAAAGAGCTCTTTTTCTTCTCCTCTCCCTCTCTGTCAAGCTTCTTACCCATCTCAGAAATGAGTCTGTCCCCTCTCTGAATGGCAAGAAAATATTCTATGTTTACTGAAGAATTCTTTCTGTTTTATGTTTATTGTATAAACTCTATGCTCTGAGACCTGCAGGCTTTGTTTTGATATTCAAGGTTTTGGAACAAAAAACAAACAAAGAAATAATAACCTCCCCCACCCCACAAAAAAATTTCTCTTATTCAGAACTTTGCTGTCAGAGTTGAAAGATCTCACTTGGAAAACCCTCTCTTTTTTGTCTATTTTTTATATACTGTAAGTTCTGGGATACGTGTGCAGAACATGCAGGTTTGTTACACAGGTATACACGTGCCATGGTGGCTTGCTGCACCCATCAACCCATCAATTACATTAGGTATTTATCCTAGTGCTATCCCTCCCCTTGCCCCTCACTCTCCGACAAGCCCCAGTGTGTGATGTTCCCCTTCCTGTGCCCATATGTCCTCATTGTTCAACTTCCACTTATGAGTGACAACATTTGGTGTTTGATTTTCTGTTTCTGTGTTAGTTTGCTGAGAATGACGGTTTCCAGCTTCATCCATGTCCCTGCAAAGGACACGAACTCATTCTTTTTTATGGCTGCATAGTATTCCATGGTGTATATGTGCCACATTTTCTTTATTCAGTCTAACATTGATAGGCTTTTGGATTGGTTCCAAGTCTTTGCTATCGTGAATAGTGCTGCAGTAAATGTATGTGTGTACGTGTCTTTATAGTAGAATGATTTATAATCCTTTGGGTATAATCCCAGTAATGGGATTGCTGGGTCAAATGGTATTTCTAGTTGCAGATCCTTGAGGAGTCACCACACTGTCAACCACAATGGCTGAACTAACTTATACTCCCACCAACAGTGTAAAAGTGTTCCTATTTCTCCACATCCTCTCCAGCATCAGTTGTTTCCTGACTTCTTAATGATCGCCATTCTAACAGGCGTGAATTTGTATCTCATTGTGGTTTTGATTTGCATTTCTCTAATGACCAGTGATGATGAGCTTTTTTTCATAGGTTTGTTGGCCACATAAATGTCTTCTTTTGAGAAGTATCTGTTCATATCCTTTGCCGACTTTTTGATGGAGTTGTTTTTTTCTGGTAAATTTCTTTAAGTTCCTTGTAGATTCTGGATATTAGCCCTTTGTCAGATGGGTAGATTGCAAAAATTGTCTCCCATTCTGTAGGTTACCTGTTCACTCTGATGATAGTTTCTTTTGCTGTGCAGAAGCTCTTTTGTTTAATTAGATCCCATTTGTCAGTTTTGCCTTTTGTTGCCATTGCTTTTGGTGTTTTAGTCATGAAGTCTTTGCCCATGCCTATGTCCTGAATGGTATTGTCTAGGTTTTCTTCTAGGGTTTTTATGGTTTTAGGTCTCATGTTAAAATCTTTAATCCATCTTGAGTTGATTTTTGTATAAAGCGTAAGGAAAGGGTCCAGTTCCAGTTTTCTGCATATGGCTAGCCAGTTTTCCCAACATCATTTATTAAATAGGGAATCCTTTCTTCATTGCTTGTATTTGTCAGGTTTGTCAAAGATCAGATAGTTGTAGATGTGTGGTGTTATTTGTGAGGCCTCTGTTCTGTTCCATTGGTCTATATATCTGTTTTGGTACCAGTACTATGCTGTTTTGGTTACTGTAGGCTTGTAGTATAGTTTGAAGGCAGGTAACGTCATGCCTCCAGCTTTGTTCTTTTTGCTTAGGATTATCTTGGCTGTATGGGCTCCTTTTTGGTTCCATATGAAATTTAAAGTAGTTTTTTCTAATTCTGTGAAGAAAGTCAGTGGTAGCTTGCTGGGAATACCACTGAATCTACAAATTACTTTGGGCAGTATGGCCATTTTCACGATATTGATTTTTCCTATTCATGAACATGGAATGTTCTTCCATTTGTTTGTGTCCTCTCTTATTTCCTTGAACAGTGGTTTGTAGTTCTCTTTGAAGAGGTCTTCACATCCCTTGTAAGTTGTATTCCTATGTATTTTATTCTCTTTGTAGCTAGTGTGAATGGGAGTTTGCTCATGATTTGGCTCTCTGTTTCTCTATCATTGATGTATAGGAATGCTTGTGATTTTTGCACATTGATTTTTGTATCCTGAGACTTTGCTGAAGTTGCTTATCGGCTTAAGAAGTTTTGGAGCTGAGATGATAGGGTTTTCTAAAAATACAATCATGTCATCTGCAAACAGAGATAATTTGACTTCCTCTCTTCCTATTTGAATACCTTTATTTCTCTCTCTTGCCTGATTGCCCTGGCCAGAACTTCCAATGCTGTGTTGAATAGGAGTGGTGAGAGAGGGCATCCTTGTCGTGTGCCAGTTTTCAAAGAGAATGCTTCCAGCTTTTGCCCATTCAGTATGATATTGGCTGTGGATTTGTCATAAATAGCTCTTATTATTTTGAGCTATGTTCCATCAATGCCTAGTTTATTGAGTGTTTTTAGCATGAAGGGGTGTTGAATTTTACTGAAGGCCTTTTCTGCATCTATTGAGATAATCATGTGGTTTTTGTCTTTGGGTCTGTTTATATGATGGATTACGCTTATTGATTTGCATATGTTTAACCAGCCTTGCATCCTGGGGATGAAGCCCACTTGATCATGGTGGATAAGCTTTTTGATGTGCTGCTGGATTCAGTTTGCCAGTATTTTATTGAGGATTTTCGCATAGATGTTCATCAGGGATATTGGCCTGAAATTCTTTTTTTGTTGTGTTTCTGCCAGGTTTTGGTATCAGGATGATGCTGGCCTCAAAAAATGAGTTAGGGAAGAGACCCTCTTTTTCTATTGTTTGGAATAGTTTCAGAAGAAATGGTACCAGCTCCTTTTTGTACCTCTGGTAGAATTCGGCTGTGAATCTGTATGGTCCTGGACTTTTTTGGTTGGTACGCTATTAATTACTGCCTCAATTTCAGAACTTGTTATTGGTCTATTCATGGATTCGAATTCTTCCTGGTTTAGTCTTGGGAGAGCTTATGTGTCCAGGAATTTATTCATTTCTTCTAGATTTTCTAGTTTATTTGCATAGAGGTGTTTATAGTATTCTCTGATGGTAGTTTGTATTTCTGTGGGATCAGTGGTGATCTCCCCTTTATCATTTTTTATTGTGTCTATTTGATTCTTCTCTCTTTTCTCCTTTATTAGTCTGGCTAGCAGTCTATCTATTTTGTTAATCTTTTCAAAAAACCAACTCCTGGATTCATTGATTTTTTGAAGGTTTTTTCGTACCTCTATATCCTTCAGTTCTGCTCTGATTTTAGTTATTTCTTGTCTTCTACTAGGTTTTGAATTTGTTTGCTTTTGCATCTCTAGTTCATTTAATTGTGATGTTAGGGTGTCAATTTTAGATCTCTCCTGCTTTCTCCTGTGGGCATTTAGTGCTATAAATTTCCCTCTAAACACTGCTTTAGATGTCTCCCAGAGATTCTGGTGTGTTGTGTCTTTGTTCTTGTTGGCTTCAAAGAACTTGTTTATTTCTGCCTTAATTTCATTATTTACCCAGTAGTCATTCAGGGGCAGGTTGTTAAGTTTCCATTTAGTTGTGCAGTTTTGTGTGAGTTTCTTAATCTTGAGTTCTAGTTTGATTGCACTGTGGTCTGAGAGACTGTTATGATTTCCATTCTTTTGCATTTGCTGAGGAGTGCTTTACTTCCAATTATGTGGTCGATTTTAGAATAAGTGATATGTGGTGCTGAGAAGAATGTATATTCTGTTGATTTGGGGTGGAGAGTTCTATAGATGTCTATTAGTTCTGCTTGGTCCAGAGCTGAGTTCAAGTCCTGAATATCCTTGTAAATTTTCTGTCTCATTGATCTAATATTGACAGTGGAGTGTTAAAGTCTCCCACGATTATTGTGTGGGAGTCTAAGTCTCTTTGTAGGTCTCTAAGAACTTGCTTTATGAATATAGGTGCTCCTGTATTATGTGCATTTATATTTAGGATAGTTAGCTCTTCTTGTTGCACTTATCCCTTTACCATTATGTAATGCCCTTCTTGGTCTTTTTTGATCTTTGTTGGTTTAAAGTCCATTTTATCAGAGACTAGGATTGCAACCCCTGCTTTTTTTTTTTTTTTTTTTGCTTTCCATTTGCTTGGTAAATATTCCTCCATCCCCTTATTTTGAGCCTATGTGTATCTTTGCACCTGAGATGGGTCTCCTGAATACAGCACACCAATCGGTCTTGACTCTTTTTTCAATTCGCCAGTCTGTGTCTTTTAATTGGGCCATTTAGCCCATTTACATTTAAGGGTAATATTGTTATGTGTGAATTTGATCCTGTCATTATGATTCTAGCTGGTTATTTTGCCCATTAGTTGCTGCAGTTTCTTCATAGTGTCAATGGTCTTTACATTTTGGTTTGTTTTTGCAGTGACTAGTACCAGTTTTTCCTTCACATATTTACTGCTTCCTTCATGAGCTCTTGTAAGGTAGGCCTGGTGGTGACAAAATCCCTCAGCATTTGCTTGTCTGGAAATGATTTTATTTCTCCTTCATTTACGAAGCTTAGTTTAGCAGGATATGAAATTCTGGGTTGAAAATTCTTTTCTTTAAGAATGTTGAATATTGGCCTCCACTCTCTTCTGGCTTGTAGGGTTTCTGCAGAGAGATCTGCTCTTAGTCTGATGGGCTGCCCTTTGTGGGTAACCCGACCTTTCTTTTTTTTTTTTTTTTTTTTTTTTTTGAGACGGAGTCTCGCTCTGTCGCCCAGGCCGGACTGCGGACTGCAGTGGCGCAATCTCGGCTCACTGCAAGCTCCGCTTCCCGGTAACCCGACCTTTCTCTCTGGCTGCCCTTAACATTTTTTCCTTCATTTCATCCTTGGTGAATCTGATGATTATGTGTCTTGAGGTTGCTCTTCTCGAGGAGTATCTTTGTGGTGTTCTCTGTATTTCCTGAATTTGAATGTTGGCCTGCCTTGCTAGGTTGGGGAAGTTCTCCTGGATAATATCCTGCAGAGTGTTTTCCAACTTGGTTGATTCTCCCCGTCACTTTCAGGTACACCAATTAGACGTAGATTTGGTCTTTTCAAATAGTCCCATATTTCTTGGAGGCTTTGTTTGTTTCTTTTTATTCTTTTTTCTCTAATCTTGTCTTCACACTTTATTTCATTAAGTTGATCTTCAATCTCTGATATCCTTTCTTCTGCTCAATCAATTCGGCTATTGATATTTGTTTATGCTTCATGAAGTTCTTGTGCTGTGTTTTTCAGCTCCATCAGGTCATTTATGTTCTTCTCTAAACTGGTTATTCTAGTTAGCAATTCCTCTAAACTTTTATCAAGGTTCTTAGCTTCCTTGCATTGGAAAACCCTCTTTTAAAACTCAAAGGTAAGAGTCTGACGGTTCTCACTGTTCTGTTTGTATTTCTCTCAGGCTGATGGCAGAGGGAGACTACTAAGAAGGAAAAATACGTCCAATAATATTTCAAAATATTATTCTGCTGTATGAGCAACTTTTTATCTAGTTCCTACAAAAAGAAAACATATTTAACAAAAATATTTGTTGGAACGAAATCATCCTGGGACAAAAAAAAATGTGGGACCCATAGAGTTTTGTTATATAAGGATTTCATCAGTTCATAGGTTTCAAGAGCAGGTCACTGGCAAACTGAATTAATTTACTATGCACTTCTCACAGGTCAGAAGTAGTGTTATTGCAATAATTGTAGATTTTGAATAAAGACATATTTACCTTGACTAGTAGCTATAAAGATAGACTGAAACCTTTTTAAATCTCAAAATTAAGAGTGCTCTACTGACACCAGCAAGGGTGATTATATCACCCCGAATATCAGTAGGGAGGGGCTGTTTTTAATGAGAATTGATGCCATAAATTGACAATTCAAAAATGACTCAGCATTGAAAAATAGTACAATATATAATATTATTAAGAATAGTTTTAGTTTCATTGATGCAGAAACTGTTTGCACACAAAAGAATGCAAATTCTAAGATCTCTCTTTCTTCCAAGGATAAAATATACGCACACATATATATATATATGCAAAGAGAGTAAATGAAATCTGCCAACTTTATATTTGGAAGGAAATTCAGAGACGATTTTCCTGCCAGCAGTCTTGGGTGTAGACCAAGTAGATAAAGTTATCAGAAAGGATTAATTGGATCCTGATCCATATGTAATTGAGCTTCCACTTTGGTACACTGGCTATTAATGTTTTAGATGGGAGAGTATAGTGTCTCTTTCAGCTAGAATTGAAATATCTATAAGACGAACTGGAGAAAGCATTAAGAAAACGCCAAGACACCCAGGAATTTGCATATCCCTGATTGTGACTATAGGTAGAGGTCACATCAGTTCTATAAAATCAGCATTTACTTTGTACACCTGCCTAGGAAGCAAACAACAATGAAAATTCTCCAATTTCCAGGACTTAAGTATGTAGAAAAATTCACCTAGAGCTGAAATTTACAAAAGCAAAACTATAGAGCCTTCTTAATTTTTAAGATTTCGGTTAATAAGTTTTAGAAATTGTTTCAAAAAGTAAATATCCATTAAGTCATTTATAGAATGGTAGAGCTGAGTGTACGTGTGTCGTGAAGATCAGTGCTATGGTTTCCACAGCAACTACAGCTCTGTCTGCTTGAATCCTCGCTTTGTACTTTACTCAGCCTGTGCTAGTAAATTTAGGCCCATGGTGAGCACCTGTAGGCGAATATAGGTATGCACTCACCTATCTGTGATATTCTGTGTATTTCTTATAAGAACTAAGGTTTCCTTCTTACCATATCATGATCTACTTAACATTTAAGCTTGGAATAAACAAAGCCCTATCTGGGCTTTCAAATCCCATGAGGTATACTAAAATATTTTTGTAATAGAGATTGTGGGCCAGGTGCGGTGGCTCATGCCTAACACTAACCCTAACCCTAACCCTAACCCTAACCCTAATCACAGCACTTTGGGAGGCCAAGGCGGGCACATCACCTGAGGTCAGGAGTTCAAGACTAGCCTGGCCAACATGGTGAAACCCCGTCTCTACCAAAAATACAAAAATTAGCTGGGCATGGTGGCGGGTGCCTGTAATCCCAGCCATTCGGGAGGCTGAGGCAGGAGAATCACTTCAACTGTGAGACGGAGGTTACAGTGAGCCGAGATTGTGCTACTGCTCTTCAGCCTGGCCGATAAGAGCAAAACTCTGCCAAAAAGAAAAAAGAAAAGACAAGAAAGAAAGAAAGAAAGAAAGAAAGAAAGAAAGAAAGAAAGAAAGAAAGAAAGAAAGAAAGAAAGAAAGGAATTATGACCAATGACATATTTTTAAAAAGTAAAGGATTGCATATTGGAATAATCCAAATCCCCTAAATTTACAACTGAGCAACAACTCTGTCACTGATTCAAGAAAGGTCTTCTCTTGGGCTCATTAATTCCAGAAACTGGGCTAATAGAATAAGGAAATATTTCAGCTCAATTTGCCTTAAAACTACATATCTGGGGTTCCTGAAGCAGCACTTCAGTCCCTTCCAACTGAGCATCTCAATTACCTTATGATTCTCAATAAATTGGTTGATTGGGCTCAACGTATCTATCATACCAGGTCCCAATGCTTGACTGATTGCTGAGTAGTGCAATTAGTAGGCTGAGTTATTTAGAAGACTTGTCCCCACCATGGAAGACAAGCTCCACCCCAATTACTCTAGAGCTTCTTGCTCCAGTGTTTCCTATGGCAAGATTTTCTTCTGAATGAAATCATCGTCTGTATATTTGGTGTTCATTTATTAATAGATCCAACAAATATTTATAGAGTGCCTACCATGTGCAGGGGGCTGTGCTGTCACTAGAGATCCTATGCTGACCCTGTAACTAAACACCTTGAATGGCTTCTAATAAGGACCCAAGCCTAATGAACAGTGTTAGAGAAGATTTTCAATCAGGCCATTCTCAGTGACCAAAACCCTTAATGTGGCTATCAAATGCCCACCGCCAGGTTTTCCTCTTCCATTACAGGCTTTCATCTTACATTCCAAGATCCTACCCTATGATTGACCCTTCCTCCTATGTCTTCCCTACTCTCTTCTTGCATTGCTGTTAGCATGTAAATCGCCACTTGATTCCCACTGTCACTCCAATCCTGCGTTCTACCTTCTGACTCCTAGAACCACTTAGCTGCTCCATCTCATACCTGGTTACTTTTTTCTCCACCTTCATCTCTCTTCTCACTGAGGATTTTGAAGTGGTCAAGACTCAGGGAGAATCAAGGCACCATGTGGCTTTTGTCTTTGAACAGTTCAGGGCCTAACAGGGTACAATAAATCCATTTGGGACTTGGATTTCCACCTTGGCTACATACTGGTTAAAAAAACTTTGTAGTACTACTGTGAGGATCTAGTCACTATTTGTCCCATTGCTTCTAGTGGTAAATGTTTCCAAGTTCCATACAGCCCATTTACCTTCTTCATTTTCCCCCTAAGCCAGCCTGAATTCTCAGTGAAGAGACCACTATCCATATAATCACCTGAACCAGAAACCTACAGTTGATCCAATTCCCTTCCTGCTCACTAACCTTCCTCATCCACTCCTTCACCAAGCCTTATGGGCTTATCTTCACTGTCACTGCCTTATGTAGGTTCTTATCACTTCTGGCCTGACTTATTGCCCTACCGCACCCCCCACCACCTCATTGAGTAGTCAAACCTATCAACACCCATCACCAAACATCACATTGCTGCCGCCACTGGTACCCATCAAATTCATCTCTCCCTATGCAACTTATCACATTTTTTTCCAAAGCATATGTCACTTCGTGTTCTGAATCCCCTTAGCTTTCAGAATAATGTTCAAACTCCTTGGTTTATAACAAATGGTTTACAATCAGGTCCTACTCACATTTGTGGCTTCCTTTACCACCACCGTACCATCCATCCATGCAATCCCTGTGTCACCCATACAGGACAGTGTGTAGCTCCTGTAACCCCTGCTGCTGATTCACACCTCCATTATCTCACATACACTGACTGTTTTCTCTACTTGGAATGCCCTTCTTTCTGTGAATAGTGAAGTTAACTCTTACTGCTCTTATTAGTCCCTCAAACTCAGTTTGCCATGTGTCACCCACTGTGCTGAGAGCAGTACATGTATTCCTTGAACCCCACCTCCAACTTAGGCGCCCTTCATTTGGGTTCCATAGCTCTCTAGATACCTCTACTAGAGCACTTGCCATAAATAACATATTTATTTAGTCAGTTTCATTTATTCATTCAACAAATATTTATTCCCATGTGTCCTACAATAGTGGGCAACTTAGACAAGTTTTCTACTCTCTGGTTCTTACAGGATTGCAGGGAGAAAGACAATTGAGAAGTAACAATGATGGATCATAGGTGGTAAAGTAGAAGACTCTGTGGGTGTCGGGGTTCTTAACACAATCCAGGAGGTCAGGAAAGGCTTCCTAAGGGAGCCATCCTTTGGTTGAGCCTGAGGTATGTACCAGGAAAAGAGATCAGCCCATTAAAGGCCTAGAAATGAGAGAGCACATGCATGGGGCCTCTCTTCAGGTAACTGAAATAAGTTCATTATTAATGGAGAAAGGTAGGGCACTGGCAAGACAGCAAGATGGAGCAGTGACAGCAGTGCTGGCTAGTGGGGAGGGCTGTAAAAGCCTTGTCTAAGGAAGCCAGATTTGTTTATCCCTAAAGCAATGGAAAGGCCATTGAACGATTTTAAGGGTGGTGACATGGTCAGACATGCCTTTTAGAGTGGTCACTGTGGCTGCCCATTAGAGATGCAGGGAGGCTAATTGGGACACTGTTACTAATCCAAGTGAGAGATGCTAGTGGGCTGGACTAGATAGTACCAGTAGGAAAGCAGAAATGTAGACAAACTTTAGAGCTGCCTATGAGGTAGAATTAACAGGATTTGTTGACTTATTAGGAAAAAGACATGAGGGAGAAGAAAGACTAAAGGATAATCCCAAATATTTAGATTTAGGTAGTTTGGGGTGCCATTCCTGTAAAACTGGGAATTTTTGGATGGAGAGAGGAGCAGTTTTGACAGAAAGATGATAAGCTCAGTGGACACAATAGAGGCAGGTCTGGAAATTTGAAAGTCATTATCATATAGATTGTAATTAAGGCCAAGGGGATGGATATAATCCCATTAAGCTATAGGTCTAGTGAGGCAAGGACCATACATTATTCACCTCTGCATCTCCAGGGTCTGATACTGTTTCTGGAACAGAGTAGGTGCTTTGGTAATTTTATTGAATTTAATGAATATTAATTAATTAACTCTGTGAAATGCAATCACATTTAATTTGAAAATCTTCCTTAGTATAAAATATTGGAATACAAAAATTGTGGTGGTACTGATATGCATCAACAATTGAGAAGTAACAATAACAGATCATAGATAGTTTTTAGAAAAGTGATATTGAAATGGATAATCTAAAAAAAAAAGTTGGGCCGAATAATAACTACTTTGAAGACAAATGAAATGTATTTCACTTGTACAAATTAAAGCATAGTTACAGTCCAAAAATTACCAAAGCAGATTGCAAGTGCTATTTTATCA
The DNA here is from genome assembly GCF_000001405.40 of Homo sapiens. Lineage (NCBI taxonomy): Eukaryota > Metazoa > Chordata > Mammalia > Primates > Hominidae > Homo > Homo sapiens. The sequence continues at coordinate 159,697,881 of NC_000003.12, forward strand.
TCATTTGTACAGTGTGATGGAGCAATTAAAATTTGATATATGTATTTGTCTATGCATAATAATTAGCAAGAGACAAAGAGATTAAAAGGATAGTTAAAGAAAAACCAAAAATGAGCATCCTTTCAGCCATGCATTTGGCACCACACACATCTGCTTTCAGCAACAGCCTGTCATGGTGGCTTGCTTTTGATTTTCCACTGGTTCCCCTCACAGAACTTATATGTGGGGAGGCAACAAAACTCTTCTTGTGTATTATCATGGTAATTTTATAATTATATTCAAAGGAAATTCTTTGAATCTTTTTATTCTTTTATTGGAAATAACATTTAAATGTGGGAATACATTCCCTGAGACCAAACAGTGTCTGCCAGCAATGGTAATAAATATCAGTCCTACTCTTCAAAGAAAGGATATGTTCCCCAGTATTTTTCAAGCATGTCTTTTTTCCCCTCTTGAATAAATTTTTGTTGATTCTTTCATTTCATCAAAATATCTAGAAAGTACAGGTACCACTCAGAAATTTTACTTTTGAATTTTGGCATGTAGTCCATCATTTGTGCAAGGCCAAAAGATAAATTTCAAGTGAGTCATTACTACGAGTGCATTGTGGCAGAAAACATCCTGGCCAAAGGCAGACATGGGTTCGCATTGCAATGCACTTGCTTGATAGGTACAGAAGATCCCTCAACCTCTCTAGGTCTTATTTGTCTCAACTGTAAAATGAGGAATTGAACTTACTTAGTTCTTTATTTTTTTTTATTTTTTTATTTTTTCTTGAGGCAGGGTCTTGCTCAGTCACCCAGGCTGGAGTGCAGTGGCATGGTCTCGGCTCACTGCAACCTCCACCTCCTGGGTTCAAGCAATTCTCGTGCTTCAGTCTCCCGAGTAGCTGGGATTACAGGCTACAGGCGTGCACCACCATGCCTGGCTAATTTTTGTGTTTTTGGTAGAGACGGGGTTGCTCCATGTTGGCCAGGCTGGTCTCAAACTTCTGGCCTCAAGTGATCTGCCTGCGTCGGCCTCCCAAAATGCTGGGATTACAGGTGTGAGCCACCGCACTGGTCTGGGTTTAGTTACTTCTAAGACCACTTCTAGCTCTACGATCTTATTCTATCCTCAAAAACATTTTATTACTTCGTGTAGACTTCATTAAATTTGACTTTGCTTTATCATTTTATGTTCTCTATTAATTACCAAGATTTTATATACTATGTCTCTGTGCCCAGTGGAAGCTAAAGATCTAGGAACATAGCATGAGTATGGGAATATGCTAACACTCATAATAATGTTTCTATTCTTTGGGCATTTACCACATGTCAGTCATTGACTTAGGCATTTGCTCTATCACATTTAATCTTCATGACAACCTTATATAATAAATATTAATATCCCCATTTTACAAACTATGAAATTGGGACTTGTATATGTTAGTAACTTGACAGAAAGTGCTATTGGTGAATTTCAACCCTAGATCTACCAGCTCCTGAGCCTGTGCTTTTAACCATTATGTTACAGCTGGATTTCTGGCTGGGTCTCTCTCCGAGGGTTGGAGTGAACCCAGTAGAAGCAGGTAACACCCAGGAAGGAGTGTTGAGTGAAGTCATCTGGGATGTTTACCCACAAAATGCAGACTTGAGAGGTGAGCAAGGAAGGGAGAACCAAGATTATGCTGGAGGGCTGTGCAAACTGTGGTTGTAAGGCTGTGGGAAGTATCACATCCACACAGGGTGAGGCAAGGATGGATATGGGAAGATGAGCAGTGACATTGGTAGCCTGGAGAATCTTAGCTTCTTAGTACTGGATCTTAGCAGAATTCTCTCCAAGTCTTCATCACTAAGATGAGGTATGACAGGATTATGTGAAAATTCTCCTTCAAACACTACCTAGTGATGGCATAAGAAAATAGAGTGAGAATATCTTTAAGATACTCTTGAAGAAACAGGTGGCAAGCAGTTTGTGCTAGAGCTTCTCCCAGTGACTCATGAAAGGCACAATAGAAAGGATTTCCAAGTTAGGCAAAGAAGGAAAGGAGAGCTGGAGAAGGTATACTAGGAAGAGATCTCATGTGCCTGAAAATTATAACTAGAAAGATACAATGGGTGCAATTGGTGCTAATGTTCTATAATGCCAGGCCATCTCATTTCACAGGGTGCAGACCTCAGAGATAACCATACCCACCATTTAGAAACTTTTCTACCTTAATAAAATGGGATGTTGTCACATCAGAAGTACATGAATTGCTTTCACCAGACACAATTGGCTCTTATAAAGTCTTCTTGCTTAAAAGATTGACTCTAAACTTAATCTAACCTCCACATAATGATCGGTTTGCAGTATACACAGGAAATAGAGAAACAAGCTAAGTGACATGCAAATTAAGTACTCAGGCAAATCCTACATTCTATAGGACAAGTGATGCAGTTTCTCCAAAAATAAATTACCCAGTTTCTCCAGCAAATTAATGGCATGAAATAAGGGGAGATAGATTATAGAATAAAATACACTTAATAAATGTTAATGTAAAAATCAATAGTTGGTGTAATAATACAACTTCTAGTAATTTCTCCTAAGTAAACAATTAGAGAAGAGAGTACAGATGTATGTAGGTAAGTGTTCACTGCTTTATTGTTTGTAATGGTAGAAAAAGATGCAGTTTGGGCTGGGCATGGTGGCTCGTGCCTGTAATCCCAGCACTTTGGGAGGCCGAGGCTGGTGGGTCACCTAAGGTCAGGAGTTCGAGACCAGCCTGACCAATATGGTGAAACCCCATCTCTACTAAAAATATGAAAATTAGCTAGGCGTGGTGGCATGTGCCTTAGCTACTCAGGCGGCTAATACAGGAGAATTGCTTGAACCCAGGAGGCAGAGGTTGCAGTGAGCCAAGATCGTGCCACTGTACTCCAGCCTGGGGTGACAGAGTGAGAATCCAACTCAAAAAAAAAAAAAAGAGAGATGCAGTTCTGAGACAGAAAAATAAATTAAGGTTGGGGGAAAGGAAAGCAAGTTACAGGCAGTAGGTATGTATGTCATGTCATGGCATGGTGTGATGTGGTGTGGTATGGTAATCAGAAAACCTAGATTTTAACATGCTTGGGCAAATTAACCTCTATGAGACTCAGTTTCCTCAACTTAAAATGAGGATGATTAAAGTTCCTATCTGATAGGGATGTTATGCGATTAAATACAATAATATTAAGCACAAGGCCTGGCAGAGTAAACATTCAATATATCCTTCCAGAATATACACCAGACTTTCGAGAATGATCATCTCTATCTACAGAAGGAACTATGGTAAACTTTTTTACCCTTTCTGTTTTAAATTGCCTTTCATTGTCATTCAACTCTAACATTTTTGTCATTTTCATTATGAGTGTATGTGCATCCTTTTTTATGGTTAATAAACTTTATTTTTTAGAGCAGTTTTGTGTTCATAGCAAAACTGAGCACAAAGTACAGAGTTCCTATATACCCCTGCCCCCTACACGCACAACCTTCCCTACTATCAACAGTATATCCTTTTTAAACCATGAGTTTTTAGGTGTGATTTTAAATTTTCAAAGAAATAGGTACTTTTAACTGCTAATTTGATATTTAATTGCATAGTCATCAAAGAAAATGGTTTGGATGATCTTGATTCTTTAATAACTTATATTTAAACATTTATTTTCCTTTATAACCTAATACATGGTAAATACTTGAAAAGAAAGCATATTTTCTGTATACTGGTTCTATATATTTTCTATATGATCTGTTGTTTTTTATATATACTTTTAAATATTGGATCACAATCATGTATTTGTCCATTTTCCTTGTAATTTGTCTTATAATTTTCTTAGATTTTCAAGGCTATGTAGTGGCCTTCTTAATCCTCAGTGACCTTTTTTTTTCTTTGCTTTATATTCTATTTTCTCATGCAAATAGTTTACATGAGAAAAAGGCACCATGAGGGAAAGAGTAATAGGAGACATTGGGCAGACTTCAAGCAATATGAGTCAGAATAGTGTAGTGGTTACTAGCATGTTCTTTGAATGAAGACTGATCTACATTGAAGTCCAAGCTCCAAAGCTTGGTCTCAATTTACTCATCTGTAAAATGTAGATGATGATCATTGTACCTACCCCAATACAAATCTACACTTTTGAGGTACCCTGGGGTATAGGTTGGGGCATTGCAGAATCCTGACAAATTTCCTGAAAGTTCTAACTGGGAAATAAATCCATTTTGACATTGAATAATACATGAGCTTGAGAGAGTTTACTTACTTGTGGTAATGAAAGGGAATTATTTTTAAAACTTTTCTAGCTAAAATAAAATCTCCAGTTGGCATAGTGTAATTGGTCATTGTTCCTGAATCACTGCTTCATCACCCCAGTTTCCAGAGGCACTAAATGAGATGGAGATAAAGAAGAAATTCCCCAAATTCTTCATTTCATTACATGTTCCAAAGGCAGAAGGAAATCTCTCCTCAGTTATCATTTTGTGAGTAAATTTTGACTAAACCAAAGTAATCTATTAAGTCACTCATAATATTCCTAATACCCCAAGAAACTATTAATCGCAAAATTATAACAGAAATTTACTCAATGCCTGTTCCTTTCACTTTCCTATGTAAATTAAGACCCTCTGGCCATCTCTTTTTCCATGACAGTTCATAAAGCCAAGCCTAATCTTCTCCTGACAATACATCTAAAGAAGTGAGCTTCAAAGTCTAAGCGAAGAGCAAGAAGCTGAGATGAATTCTGTAAAGAAAAAATGCGCTCTGAAAATAACTTGTCCAGATTCCTCCTAGCAGGTTAATTTAGGATCTGATACTAGTTTCTCATTGAAATTTTCAGAAAATGAGTGAAGCATTTGAAACAGAAAGTGCAATTGTACTCATGCACTTAATTTTCCAAGGTTCAACTATACCAACTTTATTATACAAGGTTTGTACATTTCAAAACTTTAAAATATTTTTCCAGTTCAATGAAAGGGCTATTTTCAAGACCAAGAAATAGCAAAATTTTGTGATGACCTTTTGAAACAAGTAGACCTATCAGTTAAAAGGTCAATGATATCCTTTTACTTGCATTTCCATTTATAAAATTGGCAATTCTTCCTTAAACAATTGTCAGTATAATTGACATAGTACATACATTTATTCTTTATCTACTAGTCATCCTCTGAGTGCTGAGGTGTAAAGGAGGAGGCTGTTATTTGGGATCTTGAGCTGAATTCATAGCATTGATCTTAATTCAGCCGAGTGATTAGAACCCAGTGTGGTACCTTTCTGTTTAGACTGAAGCAGGTAAGAAGGGTCAGTCACAAGGAATCAAATGATTCAAGAACTTCATTTGCAGTACCAAGGAGCATCCCAGCGCACTTATAGATTGAATAAATAAAAACTCCATCAACCATTTACATTGAAGAAAATTGTTTTTCCAAACTGTCTTCCATAAATGTTCACTTTTCAAAAGCATTTCATCTTATTAACCTAAGAACACGTGGTAGAGGAAAAGTTGAAGTCATGCTTGACAGTAAGTGATATCTACCAATGCCTGGTATGGATTTTTCCCAGGATTTGTAGCTGATATACCATAGAGATATGGGTAAATTGTGTCACAAAAAAACTGCAGAATTGAACTAGAGGTCCCACAGCAGGACATACCATAATATTTTAGGGAAAAAAAATAGATTCCCAAGCAATCTCACTTCTAGAACCAACCCCTGACACTTCTCTGCTTTCTAGTGCGCTGAAGCATTTCTGAGGCACCAGTGTCTCAGCATGATACAGTTCATTCATACCAGCAAGCATGTGGATGGCTTCCACTTAGGCTGTCAAATTTTTATTCTTGTTAAGAAACAAGGAATACAGGGATTCAGAGAACTTAAATTCTTTCTTACATGGTGAACTATATTTGGACAAAAGTCATTCTGGTTGGTCTACAGGTTGTCATTCTCCAAACTTACTCTTCATTCTCTTGCCTCTGTGTTTTGCAAGTTCTGAAGCCTCTATCTCATATTTCCTCACTTGGTAAACTCCCTCTCATCCCCACAATTAAAGCCAAAGGCTCACATCCTCTGAGAAGTTCTTCTTGACTCAAGGCCTTCCTTGTCTGCATCAAATAACCTTAAAGACTCTTTAAAGTAATTATTGTCTTATTTATCTATTTTGTCCACTACAGTTGAGTACAGGTGCCATGTCTTTCCTACGTTGAGTGCCAGAGGCTAAGCTGGGGCTCAGAAAACATGTTGAATGAACACATGAATATATCCATACTAAAATTGCACTAGGCCAGGCACAGTGGCTCACACCTGTAATCCTAGCACTTTGGGAGGCCAAGGCGGATGGATTGCCTGAGCTCAGGAGTTCAAGGTCAGCCTGGGAAACACAGTGAAACTCTGTCTCTACTAAAATGCAAAAACTTAGCTGGGCATGGTGGCATGCACCTATAGTCCCAGCTACTCGGGAGGCTGAGTCAGGAGAATCACCTGAACCTGGGAGGCGGAGGTTGTAGTGAGCCAAGATGGTGCCATTGCGCTCCAGCAATTTTTTCTAAAAAAAAAAAAAAAAAAAAAAAAAAATTGCACTAGAAGTTTAGTCCATTAGAACAAAGACTATCTTGTTCATTATCAGAGTATATAGATTCTGATAATTCCCAGGCACATGCTCTTTAAATAAGGAAAGTAGAAAAGCAAACATCCTGGCATCTAGCAGTCACTTAATAAATGGTTCTTGAATAAATGAGCATTTTTAATGAAAGACTATATATCATATTAGGCAATTCCACTGAAAATTAAAATGGGAATTTCCTTTAAACAAAATAATCTCTTCAACACCAAGAAAACCTCCATTCAAAAGTGTTCAGATTATGTTATTGAGGCCAAAAGAATTCACGGCACCAATAGAGATATAGCTTAGCAGCAACACAATTGTAATAATACAATATTTTCTTTCTTTCTTTCTTTTTCTTTCTTGCTTCTTTTTTATTCCTTCCTTCCTTTTTTCTTTCTTTCTTTCTTTCTTTCTTTCTTTCTTTCTTTCTTTATTTCTTTCTTTCTTTCTTTCTTTCTTTCTTTCCTTTCTTTCTTTCTTTTTTTACTTTTTTCTTTTGTTTTTTTAGAGGGAGTCTCCCTCTTGTTGCCCAGGCTGGACTGCAATGGCACAATCTTGGCTCACTGCAACTTCCACATCCCGTGTTCAAGCGATTCTCCTGCCTCAGCCTCCTGAGTAGCTGAGATTACAGGCATGTGCCACCACGCCCGGCTAATTTTTGTATTTTTAGCAGAGACAGGGTTTCACCATGTTGGCCAGGCTGGTCTTGAACTCCTGACTTCAGGGGATCCACCTGCCTCAGCCTCCCAAAGTGCTGGGATTACAGGCGTGAACCACGGTGCCCGGACAACAATACAATATTTTCAAAAATTAATTTTGGGTTTTTCTTTTCCAGCTTCCTTCTATGTGACCACATTGTCTTCAGGAAAGTAGGATGGTTAAATTGAGAATAAAAGAGAATAAATGGTACATGTTTGGCTCTGTGACTCTGAAGCATGCTTTTGAGAACCAAAGCACCATCTTGAGGGTCCCCAGAGATCATAACATAGAAATAGAAAGAGATTAGATGAAGGGCCAGGACCTCAGCTTCCCCTCAAGGAGAAGTGACAGATATAGAGAGAGAACAGCACTTGGAGTCAGGGATAGGGGAGAGGAGAACCTGACCTGGAGTCACTCCACTAAGAGGTTTGGTGGAGGTGAAGATGGTCAACATCAGAAGACCATGCAGAATTGTTGGAGTTCAGTAGCAGGATGGATGTGAGAATGCCGCTCTAAGGATATGACTTTTGTTTGTTTGTTTGTTTGTTTTGAGATGGAGTCTCGCTCTGTCGCCCAGGCTGGAGTGCAGTGGCGCGATCTCGGCTCACTGCAAGCTCCGCCTCCCGGGTTCAAGCAATTCTCCTGCCTCAGCCTCCCAAGTAGCTGGGACTACAGGCATGCGCCACCACATCCAGCTAATTTTTGTATTTTTAGTAGAGACAGGGTTTCACCATCTTGGCCAGGCTGGTCTCGGAGTCCTGACCTCATGATCCACCCGCCTCGGCCTCCCAAAGTGCTGGGATTACAGGTGTGAGCCACCGCACCAGGCCTTAGGATATGACTCTTGATCAGGGATCCAAAGGATGTGTAGGAGCTATGTAGGAGCTTTCATGGGAAGCTGAGATAACTAATTATAGCTTGAAAGAGCACTACACATAGCATGGGTGGAGGGGCTATTTTGCTATTCCTTCTATCAATAGGTGTTCTCATGCCATCTGTGGTTTTTTTCAGCCTAAGAACATTCACCTGTATCTCAAGACTTTTTTTTAACTCCACCTATACTGCCCCATATGAATATCCCCCATTTCTCAATTGTCCAGGATACCCTTAAGCCTCTTGCCAGTTCTTTAAATAGGGTGAATGAGAATTTTTGGCTTCCAGTGTGTCAAGAGGAACAGAGTGGTGTGGAAGAGAGAGGCACAGCACAGGTACTTAGGAAACACTGGGCAGCGATCAAACTACCTCCATTATATGTATTTTAAATGGAAGTTGAAGTTGTCTGCAAACTCTGTATAAATTAGCAGTGAGATTAAATTAGCAGAATATCACTTCAGAATCTAATAAATCTGGTCAGACCATATCTAATGTTGAGATCTTTTCCCTGAATACCAAACATGAGGGGCACACATTCAGGAGAATACAGACAGGATGATCACAGGAGAGTAGTCTAAAGCAATGGGCACACACAGTCTAAAGAAGAAAAAACTTGGGTGAAGTCTTTCATGAGTTGTAGGGTAAGGGAGAACACTGGAGCTCGTTACTATACTCCCCTGAATAGTGGCTGCCACTAGTGGTCAGACCTATTCAAAAATGGAGTGTTCAAGATCAGTTAGTTGACCAGTTGGTTAAAATGGTGCTAAAGGACCTCTAAAGGGTGAGTGGGATGGGGTGACTTCTGACTCAAGGCATCTTTAATTCTATGAAATAAAGACAAAGGATTCATTTTATCAGTTAACAAACATTTATTCAGCACTCGTTATGTGTCAGACACTCGTTATGTGTCCAGCACTCTTAAGTGCTGGAGATGTAATGGAACAAAATGAGACATGGCCTCTCTCATGCAGCTCACAGTCTAGAGGAGAGAAGGTAGACAAAATAATCACACAAGCAAATAAAATTTCAATGGTGGCAAGTGTTACAAAGGAGGAATGCACAGTGCTATGATAACTTTTATTTGGGGTATACCTGGGCAGGAATGTGAGGATGGCTCTTTAAGTATATGACTCTTTATCAGAGATCCAAAGGATGTGTGGGAGCTACCTAGGAGAAAAGGGAAGAGCGGTCAAGATCATTGAATAAAATACGCCTCATCAAAAAGCAATATGGTATAATCATTAAAAGATAGAGCTGAATTCCATACCTTCCACATATGAGTTGTGTGTCCTTAGGTAAGTTATTTAAGCTCTCAGCACTTAAGAGTTCTTATCCGCAAAATTAGAAAAATATATATTTCACAGGGTTAAGATAAATGAAATAAGGGGTGCAAAATGATTAGCCCAAGCCAATGTGTAGTGTTTATTAAACTTTAGTGATAATCCATAAATGGACATGAAATGACAATGACAAGTTATTTATTGAAGGTAGAACAAGAACATTTTAAACTACAAAACAGTCCATTCTTGGATCCTGAAAATCTCAGCATTAAGGCTGGGATTATAAAATCATTAATAGTAGGTAGTGTGAACCATGGTCCACAAATCTGTTATGAACGAGATCCCATAATTTTTCATTTTTCTTTGAACCTAATTAAATATTACTCTTGCCTAGATCAGGGAAATTTTCCCGTAGATCAAAGAATTGTTCTAGATCAAGGAATGCAATCTTAATGATTATTGGATTCCTTTGTCCCCCCTAATTTTCAGTTCATCAAAGTGGTGCCTGATAAATTCACTTTCCAAGGTAGCTTCACCCCTTTACAGCAGGCAACTCACCTGACCAAGGTTTCTGTCCCTTTTCTCATCTGAAGCACTCTCTTCTCTCTGGTATTTCTCCTCCTCTTCCTCCTTTTTCTTATCTTTCTCCCTCCCACTTCTTTCTCGCCTTCTATTCTTCCTCCCTCTCTTCAAAATATCTCTGTCTCTCCCTATATTCCAGAACACAAAGCCAGTGTCTTTGATGACCTAGGCTAGAACAGTGCCTGACACAAAGTGGGCCTGAGTCTTCCCAAAACTCCTGAGTCAGGAAACACAAAAAGGCTGGGTCCATTCTGGCAAAGGGGAGAGGGGAAAGCACAGAGAAGAAAGCACAAGACAAGAGTTCAACACAAAACCTACACACTCACTCCAAATGTAGGCAATTGTGATGAGACAAATGGGTCCTACATTCAAGATGAGTCTCCAGAAATGACTTGTTGGATCCTTTCCTCCAAGGCCAAGGAAGAGAGATGGTAAGATAAAAGGCTAAGTTGGAGGTCCCCCAGGAGAAGCCTAAATTGCTTAGATTTAGCATTTGAAGTGAGGACAGAGGTCAAGAAGATAAAATGAAGAGGGATGGACAGAAGAAAAGAGAGAGGATGAATTTTTTTTAAGTTGCATAGGTGAATTGAAATAGGCACGAATGAAAGTTTCTCTCTCTTAAAAGCTTTAAACCAGGGGCAGATGTTTTTAAACCAATCCTTAGAATCACTCCATCAATGAGGACTTGACAGGCACCAATGGTCCACTCAAAGAATTTGGTTGAGAAAGGTTTTATGAAACCTTCACACATTTACAGAGGTATGGGCAGGGTTAAGGAAACCAATGTGAGATGGTGACGTACGCAGGAACTAGCAAGCATGGAGAGCTGTCACCCTTAGGCCTAAAAGGCAATGAACCAAGTGACCTGAGTCTAAAGAGAACCTCAAGCCATGGAAGTAGGACCACCTAACTGGAGCTGCAATCTTCCAACACAGCTAATGTAGCCAGTGCCCTAATCATGACAAGGAATTGGAGTGGGGAGGTGCACAGGGGGATGAATACTCTTACATCTCTCTTCTCCCACTCCCTCCATTTTCTGCGAGTTCCTTCAACAGCTGAACCCAATTGGAAGCCAGAGAACAGGGAGCCTGGGTCATGTGATCCTCAAAGGTCAGCCTTCTCAGGCATAGAGTAGGTTAAAGAAGAGCAAATAATGGATCAACATGGGGGAAGGGTGCTGGTAAGTGTAGTGTACTTACTGGTGATGAACATTTATGCCAGCCAAAGAGATTGGCTCATTCTTGAAACTTAAAAAGTATACAAATGAAGAAAATATTAGTGGTTTCCAGGGATTGAAGAGGGGGTGGGGTTGGTGGGGAAGGGAATATGGCTATAAGAGTAACATGAGGGATTCTTGTGAGGATGAAAATATTCTGTATCTTGACTGTATCTCTATAAATATCTTAGCTGTGATATTGTTCTAGTTTTGTAAGATATTTCCTTATGGGAAACTGGGTAAAAGTTATACAAAAGCTCTTGTATTATTCTTACAATAGCATGTGAATTATAATTATTTCAAAATAAAATATTTAATAAAAAAAGGAAAAAAAGGTTAGCTTAGGATCAGATGTTGGATATTTCTCAGTCTTATGTCATCAAAAGAAGTATAATTATTTGCTTCCCAAAAAAACTGAGTCTTCCATTTGATTTACACAGAAATCTGTAGCTCCTGTGATTCTTAGCAATAATCACTGAACGAATTGATTTCTGCTGAAAGTTTCTCACTCTTTGACTTGACCATATCTTTAGAATATTTGTTAGACTGCAAAATCCCAAACACACCCATGAATAGCCTTGGTCTGTTAAGACACTGGAGGAAATGCATGATTGAGCACAGGGAAGCAGAGGGAACTAAGGAACAGATGTCTATTAGAAATAATCAAAGGAATAGAGCAGGGGAAGTGAAGGCAGTTTATTAAAATATTCATTCTCCATCTTGTTACAAGAAGATTTAATAGGGGTATTAAACATAGTACAATAAAAATTGCACACCTTGTAGAATGGCTATTATCAAAAAGATGAGACATAAGTATTGGCAAAGATGTGGAGAAAAGGGAACCCTTGCACACTATTGGTGGGAATGTAAATTAGTAGTACAGTCATTTTGGAAAATAATATGGAGATTCCTCCAAAAACTAAAAATAGTATTACCATATGATCCAGCAATCTCACTTCTGGGTATACATCCAAAAGAATGAAATCTGTACGTTGAAGAGATGTTCGCACTTCCATATTCACTGCAGTTCTATTCACAACAGCCAAGATATAGAACCAACCTAAGTGACCATCCACAGATGAATTGCTTTTTTTTTAATACGCTAGATATACCTAATGAAATAACATGCAGCCTTAAAAAAGAACAAAATTTTGTCATTTGAAACAACATAGTGGAATCCAGGGAACATTCTGCTAAGTGAAATAAGCCAGGCACAGAAAAAACTGCATGATCTCTCTGGTACCAGAGGCTGGTTGGGGAGGGGAAGGCAGCAGGCAGAGCGAGGGGAAATGTTAGTCAAAGGGTACAAAGTTTCAGTTAGATGGAGGGACAAGTTCTGATGATCTATTGCACAAGGTAACTATAGTTAAAATAATGTAATGTATATTTCAAAATTCCTAAAAGTGGATTTTAAATGTGCTTACCCCAAAGAAATGATAAGTATGTGAGGGGACAGACATGTTAATGAGTCTAATTTGTTTATTCCACAAGGTATACATGTACTAAGACATCATATTTTGCCCCATAAATATGTAATTATTTGTCAATAAGAAACAAAAATTAAATTTAAAGAAATCAACTCAAAATGGGTTAAAGTCTTAAATGTAAGATCTGAAACTATAAAACTAAAAGAAAAAAGCACAATGGAATTTTTTTTAAAATATGAATAAATCTGCTAAAGAGAAAAACAGGATAGTAACCATGAGACCCAGTCAGGAGTAGGGCTAGTACACAACATAAAAGCCTAAATAAAGCCATGTACAGTGTGAGAAGTCAGCCCTTCAGGTAGCCTCTGGCCCTACCTTTCTAACAGCCAATGCAAAAAGCAAGCGTGACCTATTACGTGATTATAAGATAAAACTTGACTTGAAAGAAATCTCTTTGTTGTGTCCCTATAGAGGTGACATTACAGTTTCCTCAACAACACCCTTAGGATTAATAACACTAGTTTCATTGTTCAGTAAAAACAGTTCTAACTGGGACCTAAATAATGCAGTTTAGGTGTCCAGTTTTCTGACTTTTATTAGGGGACATTTCGGAGTATGTTCAAAATGAAAGAATAATATTCTTTAAGAAATTTAAAAAATTAGCCGGGCGTAGTGGCGGGCGCCTGTAGTCCCAGCTACTTGGGAGGCTGAGGCAGGAGAATGGCGTGAACCCGGGAGGCGGAGCTTGCAGTGAGCCGAGATCCCGCCACTGCACTCCAGCCTGGGCGACAGAGCGAGACTCCGTCTCAAAAAAAAAAAAAAAAAAAAAAAAAAAAAAAAAAAAAGAAATTTAAAAAAAAAATGTTTTCCACCAAGCTTCGGGTAGGTATTAGTAAGGATTCAAACTCAAATGCCTACCGAGTGCAAGAAGGTAAAACAATGAAGAGAAATGGATGTCTGTTAAAAACAAACACTAAAAAATACAATGATAAAATAGCATTTGACAAATGGTCTCCATTTGGGGGTTACAATAAGGTGTGGTAGGGACTATGTAACCTAGAGCCTATTGCTCATAACCAGCCTATTGTTATCAGAACTGAAATAGGGCCAGATGTTGCTAGGTCTCTTATTTTTCCTGTGTATTAGAGTTCTATTACAGAAAACAGAAACCACTCTAGCTATTTTAAGCATAAAGGGCAAAGGGCTTCAACACAGGGAATTAGGTGCTTACTATGTGTTGAGGCCAGGCCTCCAGGACTTGCTGACAGGGAACAATGAAGAATCGGCTCTGAAGGAAGCTGCCAACTCTGCCTGAGTCAGAGGACCGGAAATCAGTAAGCTTCCCCCTGAACCGTTTGCTCTGGGAACGACCTAGGGATTAGGAAGATATTGCTGCTGCTGCTGCTGCTGCTGCTGCTGGTTCCAGAGCCATGCTTCACCCATCCAGGGTCACACTAACAACAAAAATAACAACAGCTTAAAGATGCTGCTGACACCACACACCTTTTGACCCTTACAAAGCTGGTGGCAGGAACGCTGCTACAAAAAACCCCAAGGCAGGCTTGATCTGATCATGCCTACCACCAGCAGCAGCCAGGACTGCTGCCTTTTAAATCTCACTTGAATGCATCTCGTTGGTCAAAGTTAAAGCTAAATCACATCTGACTGCCCAGCTTAGAAATGTCCCTTTCAGCTATCCAGCCTCTGGGGGTGGGGAGTGACAATATGTAGAATGTATGCAAAGTAAAAATCCATTTTATTCACCATATTGTATTTTTACGCAAAGATCATCTGAGCTTTTTAATGCTGGCAATTAATTCAATTTTTAAAAAATTAATGGATGGGCAGGCCAATAAAGTTGATGTCAAGAAAATGCATCTGTGATCCAGTCTGGTGGCTCATGCCTGTAATCCCAACAGTTTGGGAGGCTGAGGCAGGAGGATCACTTGAGCCCAGGAGTTCAAGACCAGCCTGAACAACATAGAGAGACCCTGTCACTACAAAAAAAAAAATTAATTAGCAGGTCATGGTGGCACATCTGTGGTCCCAGCTATTTGGGAGGCTGAGGCAGGAGGACCACTTGAGCCCAGGAGCTGAAGGCTGCAGTGAACTATGATCATGCCACCACTTTCTAGCCTGAGTGATGGAAAAAGGAAAGGAAAGGAAGGGAAGGGAAGAGAAGGGAAGGGAAGGGAAAGAAAGGGAAAGGAAAGGAAGAGAGAGAGGAAGAAAGGAAGGAAGAAAGAGAGAGAAAGAAAAAGAAAGAAAGAAGAGAGAAAGAAAGAAAGAAAGAAAGAGAGAGAGAAAGAGAGAGAGAAAGAAAGGCAGGCCAGGCACGGTGGCTCATGCCTGTAATCCCACTTTGGGAGGCCAAGGTGGGCAGATCACCTGAGGTCAGGAGTTTGAGACCAGCCTCAACATGGCAAAACCCCATCTCTACTAAAAATACAAAATTAGACAGGCGTGGTGGTGCATGCCTGTAATCCCAGCTATTAGGGAGGCTGAGGCAGGAGAATTGCTTGAACCTGTGAGGCAGAGGTTGTGGTGAGCCAAGATCGAGCCATTGCACTCCAGCCTGGGCAACAAGAGTGAAACTCCATCAAAAAAAAAAAAGAAGAAAGAGAAAGAAAAAGGAAAGAAAGAGAAAGAAAGAAAGAGAGAGAGAGAGAGAGAAAGAAAGGAAGAAAGAAAGAAAGAAAGAAAGAAAGAAAGAAAGAAAGAAAGAAAGAAAGAAAAAAGAAAAGAAAGAAAGAAAAAGGAAATGCATCTTTGAACAGATTCAGCTTCAGAACAAGTAACAGGAGGGTAGACTTTGGTTCACTTCAGTGCATGGAGGAAGATATGAAGCCCCAACCCCTCACTCCAGTTCATATATGAATAACAGTGTCTATAGTGTGCTATATTCAAAGCACTTACAAAGGTATTTATTATTACAAAGGTAGTAAATTATTGATAAAATATTTCAACAATACATAAATGCATATAGTAAAATTTAGTTTATCTTCTTTTACTACCCAATGCCACTCCCCACATGTAATAACCAGGAATAACATGAAATAAGTCAGACTTCTCTGTGTTGGAAGTTGAATCTGCTAGAAGCATCCTTTGATTCAGGGGGTCTATACAGAGAAAGCTAGAGCCAAGATTTTGGACTAATAAGAGAACCTAGCCAATACATATGGTGGGGGTTTAATTTGGCTGGTGAGTTTAGTGACTGAGGAATAGGTGGCCTCTCCAAAATGGATAGCTCATATTCAGCTGGGAACAAAGGGAATTTCTTATAACATATTTTACAGCAAAGCAAACAAATACAATGTTCTGTATCGAGGTGTTTTACAAGCTTCGTGGTAATCTCAGACTTTGTGGTTAATGGTCACATTTATTGTTAATATTTAAATAACTGGGCAGGCACAGTGGCTCATGCCTGTAATCCCAACACTTTGGGAGGCCAAGGTGGGTGGATCACTTGAGGTCAGGAGTTTGAGGCCAGCATGGCCAACATAGCAAAACCCTGTCTCTATTAAAAATACAAAAATTAGCCAAGCGTGGTGGGAGGCACCTGTAGCCCCAGCTACTTGGGAGGCTGAGGGGGAAGAATAACTTGATGCCAGGAGGCAGGGTTGCAGTGAGCTGAGATTGCACCATTGCACTCCAGCCTGGGTGACAGAGCGAGATCCTGTCTCAAAAAATAAAAAATAATAAAAAGGAAGGAGGTTCCAAGATGGCCGAATAGGAACAGCTCCAGTCTACAACTCCCAGCATGAGCCACGCAGAAGATGGGTGATTTCTGCATTTCCAACTGAGGTACCGGGTTCACTGGGGCTTGTCGGACAGTGGGTGCAGGACAGTGGGTGCAGCCCACGGACCGTAAGCCGAAGCAGGGCAAGGCATTTCCTCACCCGGGAAGTGCAGCGCAAGAAGTCGGGGAATTCCCTTTCGTAGCTAAGGGAAGCCATGACAGACAACACCTGGAAAATCAGGTCACTCCCACCCTAATACTGCACTTTTCCAATGGTCTTAGCAAACGGCACACCAGGAGATTATATCCCGTGCCTGGCTCGGAGGGTCCTACGCCCACGGAGCCTTGCTCACTGCTAGCACAGCAGTCTGAGACCAAACTGCAAGGCGGCAGCAAGGCTGGGGAAGGGGTGCCCGCCATTGCTGAGGCTTGAGTAGGTAAACAAAGCAGCTGGGAAGCTCGAACTGGGTGGAGCCCACCTCAGCTCAAGGAGGCCCACCTGCCTCTGTAGACTCCACCTCTGGGAGCAGGGCATAGCTGAACAAAAGGAGGCAAAACTTCTGCAGACTTAAACGTCCCTGTCTGACAGCTTTGAAGAGAGTAGTGGTTCTCCCATCATGCAGTTTGAAATCTGAGAACGGACTGACTGCCTCCTCAAGTGGGCCCCTAACCCCCGAGTAGCCTAACTGGGAGGCATCTCCCAGTAGGGGATGACTGACACCTCATAGGGCTGGGTGCCCCTCTGAGAGGAAGCTTCCAAAGGAATGATCAGGCAGCAACATTTGCCATTCTGCAATAGTTGTGGCTCTGCAGCCTCTGCTGGTAATACCCAGGCAAACAGGGTCTGGAGTGGACCTCCAGCAAACTCCAACAGACCTGCAGCTGAAGGTTCTGACTGTTAGAAGGAAAACTAACAAACAGAAAGGACATCCACACCAAAACCCCATCTATACATCACCATCATCAAAGACCAAAGGTAGATAAAACCACAAAGATGGGGAGAAACCAGAGCAGAAAAGCTGAAACTTCTAAAAATCGGAGCGCCTCTAATCCTCCAAAGGAATGCAGCTCCTCAGCAGCAACAGAACAAAGCTGGACGGAGAATGACTTTGACGAGTTGAGAGAAGAAGGCTTCAGAAGATCAGTAATAACAAACCTCTCTGAGCTAAAGGAGGATATTTGAACCCATCGCAAAGAAGCTAAAAACCTTGAAAAAAGATTGGACAAATGGCTAACTAGAATAAACAGCGTAGAGAAGACCTTAAATGACCTGATGGAGCTGAAAACCATGGCACGAGAACTACGTGATGCATGCACAAGCTTCAGTAGCCAATTTGATCAACTGGAAGAAAGGGTATCAGTGATTGAAGATCAAATAAATGAAATGAAGTGAGAAGAGAAGTTCAGAGAAAAAGAGTAAAAAGAAATGAACTAAGCCTCCAAGAAATATGGGACTATGTGAAAAGACCAAATCTACATCTGATTGGTATACCTGAAAGTGATGGGGAGAATGGAACCAAGTTGGAAAACACTCTGCAGGATATTATCCAGGAGAACTTCCTCACCTAGCAAGGCAGGCCAACATTCAAATTCAGGAAATAGAGAGAATGCCACAAAGATACTCCTCAAGAAGAACAACTCCAAGACACATAATTGTCAGATTCACCAAAGTTGAAATGAAGGAAAAAATGTTAAGGGCAGCCAGAGAGAAAGGTCAGGTTACCCACAAAGGGAAGCCCATCAGACTAACAGAGGATCTCTCAGCAGAAACTCTACAAGCCAGAAGAGAGTGAGGGCCAATATTCAACATTCTTAAAGAAAAGAATTTTCAACCCAGAATTTCATATCCAGCCAAACTAAGCTTCATACGTGAAGGAGAAATAAAATCCTTTACAGACAAGCAAATGCTGACAGATTTTGACACCATCAGGTCTGCCTTACAAGAGCTCCTGAAGGAAGCACTAAACATGGAAAGGAACAACTGGTATCAGCCACTGCAAAAATATGCCAAATTGTAAAGACCATTGATGCTAGCAAGACACTGCATCAACTAATGAGCAAAATAACCAGCTAACATCATAATGACAGGATCAAATTCACACATAACAATATTAGCCTTAAATGTAAATGGGCTAAATGCTCCAATTAAAAGACACAGACTGGCAAATTGGATAAAGAGTCAAGATCCATCAGTGTGCTGTATTCAGGAGACCCCTCTCATGTGCAGAGACACACATAGGCTCAAAATAAAGGGATGAAGGAAGATCTACCAAGCAAATGTAAAACAAAGAAAGCAAGGAGTCTCTGATAAAACAGACTTTAAACCAACAAAGATCAGAAGAGGAAAAGAAGGCCATTACATAATGGTAAAGGGATCAATTCAACAAGAAGCGCTAACTATCCTAAGTATATATGCACCCAATACAGGAGCACCCAGATTCGTAAAGCAAGACCTTAGAGACCTACGAAGAGACTTAGACTCCCACACAATAATAACGGGAGACTTTAACACCCCACTGTCAACATTAGACAGATCAACGAGACAGAAAGTTAAAAAGGATATCCAGGAATTGAACTCAGCTGTGCACCAAGTGGACCTAATACACATCTACAGAACTCTCCTCCCCAAATCAACAGAATATACATTTTCTCAGCACCACACTGCACTTATTCCAATATTGACCACATTGTAGGAAGTAAAGCACTCCTGAGCAAATTAAAAGAACAGAAATTATAACAAACTGTCTCTCAGACCACAGTGCAATCAAACTAGAACTCAGGATTAAGAAACTCACTCAAAACCACTCATGGAAACTGAACAACCTGCTCCTGAATGACTACTGGGTACATAACAAAATGAAGGCAGAAATAAAGATGTTCTTTGAAACCAATGATAACAAAGACACAACATACCAGAATCTCTGGGACACATTTAAAGCAGTGTGTAGAGGGAAATTTATAGCACTAAATGCCCACAAGAGAAAGCAGGAAAGATCTAAAATTGACACCCTAACATCACAATTAAAAGAACTGGAGAAGCAAGAGCAAACACATTCAAAAGCTAGCAGAAGGCAAGAAATAACTAAGATCAAAGCAGAACTGAAGGAGATAGAGACAAAAACCCTTCAAAAAAATCAATGAATCCAGGAGCTGGTTTTTTGAAAAGATCAACAAAATTGACAGACCACTAGCAGGACTAATAAAGAAGAAAAGAGAGAAGAATCAAATAGGCACAATAAAAAATGATAAAGGGGATATCACCACCAATCCCACAGAAATACAAACTACCATCAGAGAATACTATAAACACCTCTACACAAGTAAACTAGAAAATCCAGAAGAAATGGGTAAATTCCTGAACACATACACCATCCCAAGACTAAAATAGGAAGAAGTTGAATCCCTGAATAGACCAATAACAGGCTCTGAAATTGAGGCAATAATTAAGAGCCTACCAACCAAAAAAAGTCCAGGACCAGATGGATTCACAGCCAAATTCTTCCAGAGGTACAAAGAGGAGCTGGTACCATTCCTTCTGAAACTATTCCAATCAATAGAAAAAGAGGGAGTCCTCCCTAACTCATTTTATGAGGCCAGCATCATCCTGATACCAAAGCCTGGCAGAGACACAACAAAAAAAGAGAATTTTAGACCAATATCCCTGATGAACACTGATGCAAAAATCCTCAATAAAATACTGGCGAACCAAATCCAGCAGCACATTCAAAAGCTTATACACCGTGATTAAGTGGGCTTCATCCCTGGGATGCAAGGCTGGTTCAAGATACACAAATAAATAAATGTAATCCATTATATAAACAGAACCAAAGACAAAAACCACATGATTATCTCAATAGATGCAGAAAAGGCCTTCGACAAAATTTCAACAGCCTTTCATGCGAAAAACTCTCAATAAATTAGGTATTGATGGGATGTATCTCAAAATATTAAGAGCTATTTATGACAAATCCACAGCCAATATCATACTGAATGGGTAAAAACTGGAAGCATTCCCTTTGAAAACTGGCACAAGACAGGGATGCCCTCTCTCACCACTCCTATTCAACATAGTGTTGGAATTCCTGGCCAGGGAAATCAGGCAGAAGAAAGAAATAAAGGGTATTCAGTTAGGAAAAGAGGAAGTCAAATTGTCCCTGTTTGCAGATGACATGATTGTATATTTAGAAAACCCCATCGTCTCATCCCAAAATCTCCTTAAGCTGATAAGCAACTTCAGCAAAGTCTCAGGATAGAAAATCAATGTGCAAAAATCACAAGCATTCTTATACACCAATAACAGACAAACAGAGAGCCAAATCATGAGTGAACTCCCATTCACAATTGCTTCAAAGTGAATAAAATACCTAGGAATCCAACTTACAAGAGATGTGAAGGACCTCTTCAAGGAGAATTACAAACCACTGCTCAACGAAATAAAAGAGGACACAAACAAATGGAAGAACATTCCATGCTCATAGATAGGAAGAATCAATATTGTGAAAATGGCCACACTTCCCAAGATAATTTACAGATTCAATGCCATCCCCATCAAGCTACCAATGAATTTCTTCGCAGAATTGGAAAAAACTACTTTAAAGTTCATATGGAACCAAAAAAGAGCCCACATTGCCAAGACAATCCTAAGCAAAAAGAACAAGGCTGGAGGCATCACGCTACCTGACTTCAAACTATACTACAAGCCTACAGTAACCAAAACAGCATGGTACTGGTACCAAAACAGAGATATAGACCAATGGAACAGAACAGCGCCCTCAGAAATGATACCACACATCTACAACCATCCCATCTTTGACAAACCTGACAAAAACAAGAAATGGGGAAAGGATTCCCTATTTAATAAATGGTGCTGGGAAAACTGGCTAGCCATATGTAGAAAGCTGAAACCCGATCCCTTCCTTATACCTCATACAAAAATTAATTCAAGATGGATTAAAGACTTAAATGTCAGACCTAAAATCATAAAAACCCTAGAAGAAAACCTAGGCAATACCATTCAGGACATAGGCATGGGCAAGGACTTCATATCTAAAACACCAAAAGCAATGGCAACAGTAGCCAAAATTGACAAATGGGATCTAATTAAACTAAAGAGCTTCTCCACAGCAAAAGAAACTACCATCAGAGTGAACAGGCAACCTACAGAATGGGAGAAAATTTTTGCAGTCTACCCATCTGACAAAGGGCTAATATCCAGAATCTACAAAGAACTTAAACAAATTTACAAGAAAAAAATCAAACAACCCCATCCAAAAGTGGGTGAAGGATATGAACAGACATTTCTCAAAAGAAGACATTTATGCAGCCAACAGACACATGAAAAAATGCTCATCATCACTGGCCATCAGAGAAATGCAAACCAAAACTACAATGAGATAGCATCTCACACCAGTTAGAATGGTGATCATTAAAAAGTTAGGAAACAATAGGTGCTGGAGAAGATGTGGAGAAATAGGAACATTTTACACTGTTGGTGGAACTGTAAACTAGTTCAACCATTGTGGAAGACAGTGTGAGATTCCTCAAGGATCTAGAACTAGAAATACCATTTGATCCAGCCATCCCATTACTGGGTATACACCCAAAGAATTATAAATCATGCTGCTCTAAAGACACATGCACACGTATGTTTATTGCGGCACTTCACAATAGCAAAGACTTGGAACCAACCCAAATGTCCATCAATGATAGACTGGATTAAGAAAATGTGGCACATATACACCATGGAATACTATGCAGCCATAAAAAGTGAGTTCATGTCCTTTGTAGGGACATTGACGAAGCTGGAAACCATCATTCTGAGCAAACTATCTCAAGGACAGAAAACCAAACACCGCATGTTCTCACTCATAGGTGGGAATTGAACAATGAGAACTCTTGGACACAGGGTGGGGAACATCACACACCGGGGCCTATCGTGGGGTGGGGGGAGGGGGGAGGGGGGAGGAATAGCATTAGGAGAAACACCTAATGTAAATGACAAGTTAACGGGTGCAGCACACCAACATGGCACATGTATACATATGTAACAAACCTGCACATTGTGCACATGCACCCTAGAACTTAAAGTATAAAAAAAAATTAAAAATAAATAAATAAGTAAAAATTGAATAACTTAGAGAACATCTTGCCCTTCTCAGTAAATATTAGAAGGAGCTATAATTTATTATATTCTAAACACTATAGCAAAAAATTTAAATTTAAATAAGACCTTCGTTCCCCTAGCTTATCTTTCAGCAATGTTTCTTGTTTATTTTGCTCTTGTTTTCTTTTTTTTTCTTTTTTCTCTTTTTGAGGCAGAGTGTTACTCTGCCACCCAGGCTGGAGTGCAGTGGCACCATCTCGGCTCACTGCAACCTCTGCCTCCCGAGTTCAAGCAATCCTCCCGCCTCAGCCTCCCAAGTAGCTAGGATTACAGGCACCTGCCAGCCAGCCCAGCTAATTTTTGTATTTTTAGTAGAGACGGGGTTTTGCCATGTGGGCCAGACTGGTTGCAAACTCCTGACCTCAGGTGATCTGCCCGCCTCTGCCTAGCAAAGTGCTGGGATTACAGGTGTGAGCTACCACGCCCAGCCTATTTAGCTCCTGTTTTCAGCAGAAAGTAAACATTCTTTATCTTTCATTTTTTAAATTCATTTTGTATTTAATAATTAAATTCTAAAAGTGATAAAAATATATACAGTTTTGCTTTTTCTTTCTTAATAAAATACTTTGTAAAAGTTAGAAAATACCAGTATTGCTTTGAATACTGATATTCTAGTATTTTTCTGCTGTCAGCTAGACCCACTCTAAACAATGAAGGATCGATTTCTGAACCCATTTCAAATATGTGAAAGTAGAAGACATGATTGCATATATAATGATAAAAGCACAGTCTAAAGGGTATTATTAATAGCATACCATGGACACATAGTTGCTTCCTTCTGACCAAGAACAAATGTTAAGAGAAAACCAATAAATACATTTACAAACAGGATTTAGGGCCCACAAGAATAGAGTTTGCTTTTTAAATAGGAAATCTATGCACTGCTTTATTTCAAAAAGTTACAAATTTAGTGCTTGAAAAATCCAGCAGGTAAGCAGCAGGAGTAAGAAAGTCTGTTTTTGGAACTGTCTAATGGCAAATGAGCATGCTTCTATCCAGGAAGCATTTTTCCATGAAAGGGATGGAGAGAGAAAGAACTGGTATTTACATTCCATTCTACACATCTCAGTACTGCCTGTTCGTCTTCTTGAACTTTTCTCATAGTGATAGTCATCAGGGGCCTTCTCATTAACAGGATGCTTGCCATTTGGAAAGGACCACTCAGGCTCTGGCTTCTCCCTGTCACCTGCTTTCAAGGCTCTTCTTTGTTTCTATGTATGAGGCTGTTGAGCTCCTAATGATAAAAGTCGGTTGTGCAGCATATATTCACAGCCATGTTGGTAGGCACGAAGGACGTCTCACTGTCTTTCTTCTTGTTCTGCTGTTCTTCCCCAGCTGGGCTTTGGCATCCTCCATGGAAATGATATTATTTTTTATTTTAGCATTGATGCTGAGGTCCACCTTGGGGATGCCACTCAGCATCTGGCTAGAAAGCATCTCCTCTGTCTTCTTTGCTGAGGAAACACAAATGTTTTCTTGAAGTTCATAAAGGCAGTCCTCTGTGTTCTTCAGCTTGACTTTCTGTTCCTTATGTTCCATAGTCTCTTTCCTCTTCTTCAGCTCTGTCTCAACGTACTTTATTATGTCTGCATTCTCATCCCTTCAGTTGGTTTCTGCAGAAAACAATGTCCCCAGTGTCTTCCTCTTCACTGATTTTATCTTTGTCCCTTTTGTTTAGTTTCTTTAGGAAACTATGGTGGATACCTGTATGGTGGGTACCATACCACCTATTTTCATATGAAAAGGATCATCCACTAGAGTGGTCTCTTCTTGTACCTTCTCTTCCACCAACAGGGCCACAGCACTCAGCCTGTTGCGCCTCTTCCTCAAGTTCTACACCCTCTTGTCTCTTCCAGTTTTAATCAAACCTCCTCTGAGTTCTGCTCATCCTCTTCTGACTCTGAGTTGGCCTGGCACCAATAGAAAGTCTTCTCTTTCTATCTTATAGAGAGAATAATAATCGGCACTTCTCAAAGTATTCAGGTCAACAAGACATTTCTTCTCGAGGCATCTCATCAAATCCACAGGATCTATAATTTCATTTACATTTAGCCAAGGTCTAATCAAGGATTTAGGTTTCTAATTTTTATTTCCCCAATTGTTTAATGTATACATTTGAGACGCAATATTTTGTGTGTGTGCATGTGTATGTGTATGTGTGTGTATAGAGAGGGTGTGTGTGCGAGAGAGAAGCATGTATGTGTGCTTGTATGCATATCATTTTTTCAAGTACTTTCACATATTGTCTCGTTAAATTGTTGAAACAACCATATAAATAAACAGGTTGCCTATTTTTTCTCCATTTTACTGTGGCTCAAAGAGGTTTCGTGGCTTCATGATGATTAACTAGTAAAGTATCAGAACAGATTTGAACCCTCTGTTTCTGAGTCCAATTTTCTTTGCCCTGAACTACATGTCTTCATATAGAAATCATAAAATATAGCTGAAGGGATTTAGAATTCCTGGAGAAAAGTGGGGAGCAGGAAGACTAGATGTGGTTACTCCTCTCTGTGGCATCTCTTCCTCCCCTGGCTATAGCAATTGGAACCTGCTGTGGCTGCTGAGCAGAGCCCATGTGTGCTCAGTGCTTCCAGGAGCTGGGTAGGTGTTTTGCAGCCTGTTTTCTGACTCCTTGAGCAGAACCTAATTATTAATAGCTCATCCAAAATTTGAGATCCACTTTGTTTCTTTTCAGTCCTCTTAGAGATTGAAGAATTCTTGCTGAATCTTAATGGTGTTTTTCTTATCAAAATACTTATACATGTTAACTGTAATTAAGTTAGAAAATAATGGTTTCATAAAGATAAGAAATTAATAATAGCTGATAATCCCACCATCCACATATTTTTATTACTACAGTTTTGCTACATATTGTTTCTTTACAAATATAAGAATTTTTAAATGAAATGATACTATATATTTTTTGCAATGTTTCTATGTTTTCTCCAGAAATAGAAAAGTATCACAAGTCTAGTCCCATGTTATTAAGTAGTCTTCTATAAGAATATTTTTAGTAACAATCTCACTGCATGATGTCAGTGTTCTTCCATAAGAACATTTTTAATGATATCTTATTGCATGATGTCAGAGTTTGCTTCACATACTAGGTCAGAATTTTAAATTAGTTCTGTTCTTCATCATTTTAGATAGGCTATGTTTATTTCATTTCCTGTTTATTGTGAAGAACCCAGCCCTAACCCCATATAGTACCTGGAAGAAGCAACCCTGTACATCATAAGACACCTCTTCTCCCAAACAGCTGCTAGGATGAGGCTAATCTATTGGCACTCAGCAAACAATCAGTCCAAATCAATCAAGAATTTTTAACTAAGAGACCCAGCAAAAGCAGTAGAGAAGAGGCATTTCAAATGAAAGATACTTTGCAACCTAATACTTACAACCAAAAGAACCTTGACCAAAACACTGTGATAAAGCTTGAGGCTGAATCTTCATTTTCCATATTCATAATTTGTTAGAATAATTCTTAGAATTGGGATTACTAGCTCAATTTTATATGTTTTAATACATTTGATGCATATTGCCAAATTGCTACCTGGAAGAGTTGAACCAGTTTATTTTCCTCCTAATCACCACTAGAAGTTCCTGTATTTTTTCCAATTTGATTTCCAGAATGGTATTTCATTGTCTTAAGTTGCATATCTATGATTTCTGAGTGAAGTTTTAATATTTTCTATAGGGATTGACCATTTGTATTTCTTCTCTTATTGATTGCCTTTTCATATCATTTGCTCATCTTTTTTGTTGGAGTAATCATACTTTTCTCATTGATTTAAAATAACTCCTTATATGTTACAGATTTTAATCCTGATCAGGACCTTTTTTACTGGGAGCTAATGTGAGTTAGGAGGAAGGGCAGGGAAAGATGGGCCAAGGGTTTGGGTGAAGGTCTGCAGCCAAAGGAGGATTAGGTCAGGAGACAGTGCAGCTCCTGACTCCTCTCCCTCTTCCCTAGACCAGCGTCTTTTTCCCCAGGGCATTCATAGAGACTTTCAAAGGGTATATTGATATAGATAGTTTTTAGGGAATTAATTTATGGATTTTCAAATTTCCTATAACTTGTTCATAAAATTGACTGCCTGAGAAATCTTTACCCACCTCCCTTTTCCAGTAGTTTTCTCCCATTTCACAAAATCTTGCTATGGTGATTTACAATGGGATATAAAGGACTCTGGAGCTCCAAAAAAGTGATAATTTGAAATATCGGGGAGGATGTCAAGAAAATGAGTGACTCGAATCCCTGGGTAAAAAAAATTCCTTTGCAAGTCAAGTGGTTGCTAAATCTTTGCCTTCAATAAAATTTAAAGAAGACACAATTCAGTTGTCAGTTGACAGATTATTAAAAATGTTTTCTTATGAATCACCTTGTGCATGTAACTCAATGGGAATTCAGTGACATTGCTATAGCTGCCTTCATTCTCATCTGCACAAGCAAGATTTCTCAATGTTTTTACTGAGATGCATTTTAAGAGTTTGATTTTTTTATCTTAATAATTACCTGTCTAAAGTTGTAATATATTCATCTTGTTTTCATCAGTTATGCCCCATAATCATCAGGACAGTATAAGCTACCTAACTGTAATAAGTAAACCTAAAATTTCAATGGTTTAACACAACAAACTTGATTGCTCATTCATCTCAGTTTGATGCGGATGAGGAGCCCTTCTTGGGGACTCTCTTCCAAGGGTGACCAAGATACCTCTGTTTCCATCTTGTATCTCTGCCACCAGAGTTTCTAGTTCCACTTGGGAAGATGAGAGAGAGAGAGAAACTAAATCCACTTTTTCTTTTCTTTTTTCTTTTTTTTTTTTTTTTAAGACAGAATCTCCCTCTGTCACCTAGGTTGGAGTGCAGTGGTGTGATCTCAGCTCACTGCAACCTCTGCCTCCTGGGTTCAAGAGATTCTCCTGCCTCAGCCTCCAAGTAGCTGGGACTACAGGCACATGCCACTGCACCCAGCTAATTTTTGTATTTTTAGTAGAGACGGGGTTTCATCATCTTGGTCAGGTCTCGAACTCCTGGCCTCAAGGGATCCGCCTGCCTCCGCCTTCCAAAGTGCTGCAATCACAGGCGTGAGCCACCACGCCTGGCCTCAATACACTTTTAACTGCCTAGGATTGGAAACAAGACTTCATTTCTGCCCACTCTCCCAGTGGAAAACTATGAAATAAAAACTTCCTGGACTTTCAAGAAGAAAAAGGTGTGGTGAGCACAGTACTGTCTCTGCCACAGGTACCACTGGCAATAATCGCAATGACAGCTCCATCCAGGTGCATTGTCTTTTAACAGGGCCAATGGTCACAGGAAAGAAACAAATTGTAATTTCACTTTATATTTATTATAGAAAACTAAGGTATAATTATACTAAGGTAAAATTTAAATACTCCTAAGCACAGAAAGATCTTTTATTAGAATAAAATTTTGTAAAAGAATGGAAATAAGAATTCAAAGGGAAAAAGAAATGATGTAAAATTCCCACCTCTTATCAAGTGGATGATGGTGCTATACTACTTATATTCCATTAGCTATATTATAACAAGCTGAGTAATAGTATTACTTTTGAAAGCCAATATTTACAACAGACCATATATTACACCCTTGCAACCTTTGAAGTTTTGATGAAAACTTTTAGATTATAACATAAAACTGAATGAAGGTATATAGTTTTTCAAAATTCCCTAGGAGATATTGAACAAAAATGTTGAAGCCCAGTGTCTTTAAGGAAATACTCAGTTTGATTTCATTATTTAAAAGCTAACAAAAAAAATCAACTGTTAGTAGGACGGCTTCTGCTGTACTGGATTTGCAGCTCCACGTGTTGCAAACCACTGTCTTTTAGGACACCAATTTCTCAGGAAGTCTAGGGATAAAGAATTCCAGGTGCAGAAATGTTGCATTTTTTGGCAGAGTTCATACATGAAGGTAACAAGCAGAGCCGCAGGCTGACACGCCCTGCTTAGCTTTGTGGTCAAGCTACCTTCGGGTTTAAGTCTTCTGTTCTGAAGTCTGTGAATTCTTATTGCCTTGCTCATCAGCTGATCATATTGAACCACTCTCCCAGTGAAATAAAAATCCTACCACTTTCCAGAAGAATCTAAAGCAAGCTGTCTTTTTGACTGCTGAAGATGGCAGTTTTAGACAGGGGTCTAGCTCTCCTCCCTAAAAAGGCCCATTGACCTTTATTGCAAGTGAAATAGCTTATGGGAACAGTAAATGGCTAACCTTACTGTACTATAAAATAGGGCCCCCTGCAGCCTCTCCTGTCTCTCAGCTTTACTGAGAGGCTTATAATAGCATTTCTCATAAAAGCCTCTGTGCCATTTCCCAGGTGCAAACCTTTACAGAGAAGTACAACTAGGGAGTTTCCAAAATTGCTCGAAGAGAAGATTGTCTAAGGATAATGCCAACTATTTAGCAGGTGTTTCTTGACCGGAACTTGAGATCACTTTATTTTTTGCATTTACTTTTATGTAACCTGTATAAGTGGCAATTGGCGATATGCTGGAAACATAGGAGAGGAAGCTTACATTAAAAGCCCATTGAGGACACCACCTGATTTAGAGATCAAAAAACAAATCCTCTATGAACTAATGTCATTAAAGCCATGAAAAAGAAACTTTGGTCAGGCTCCAAAATATATTTTTTAAACCATCCTATAATGCTTGTTGAGCATCAATCATTTGCAAGGTGAACTGGCTGGTAGATGCTGCAGAATCTTTTCTAAAAAGAAAGATGTGAGCAGCTTAAAATTCAAGAATTCCGAGTTTTTTCCTAATCAACACCCAGTCACCTCTTTCATGTATCCTATTTTATCTTCATCACAGAATTAATTACTACCTGACATTTTCTTTTTTATTTATTTACTGGTCTGCCTCCGCACAAGAACATAAGTTCCATGAGTATTATGATTTTGCCTATTTTTTTCCACTGCTGTATCCCTGGAGTTCTGAAGAGCCCAGCATGTTGTAGACTGTCAACAAATCTTGTCAAATGACTGAATAAATTCCCACCCTAAGAAGGTGCATAAACTCGCAAGGGTTGGAAAATGAAGCCCCAAATATCAATAATATTCATTAACATATTTATTCAATTTTTTTAAAGTGCTTAAGCATAGCAATAAAGGCCTTGGAGGATTGAGGGATGTTATCTTATAGGATGAATCAAGTTTCCTGGAGGAAGTGATTAGGTTGGACTTTGATTTCCTGAGCTAGTGTGGGTCTGGGGAACAAAGCAAAGTGTAGCCAACACACAGGGAATATACATTTGGTTTCCTGCCTATATTTTTATGTGAAACAAAGGGCTGCTAGCAAAGCCTTCATGATAGTCAACAAATTAATAAGCCCCTGTTCAGTATATCTAGGCTGCCTCATGCACTGGTCAGTCCTTCCTCTAAATGGGTGTCCAGATGATTCCTGTTTCTGCTCTTTCAGGCTCCAAAAAACTTTTTTGTTGTTTTTTTTTTTGGTTTGTTTGTTTGTTTGTTTTTTGGTCACAGCCATGGCATCATCAAATTTTAAAATCCTGTTTTTGTTTTTTTTTTTTTTAAAAAGGCAATCTGTAATTTAAGAGTAACTTTAATAAATCTGGACCCATTGTTAGCTCCCCAGGGCACATTTAAAATATGTAAGCTGCATGATGTCAGATTATGCTGTGATTGTCTTACTAGTACCTTAAGGACAGACCATATGCCAGTGGGTGGGTAGATTAGTACCTCTTAGAAGGAAGTGGATCTTTTCACCATCATTCTGGGAGTTGATCACACCTAGGCAGGGGATAAAGACTAAGGAAGTGGGCCTTACCTTTATGTCTGGATTATCCTTCTCCTCTCTCTGGGTAGGTGGCCAATATTGTCCAAGTTCCAAAAGGCAGAAATTCTCTTGACATCTGAAGGAGGATGGAGAATGAGGCAGGCAACCAGCTTCACAGGGGACCCTAAGACCAGTCTAGAGGGTGCTATACTACTTCTCCCCCACTCACTGCCAACTTCCAGTAATGTCTTGTTAAGTTGTTCCATGCCTAAGTAATGTCTTATTAAATTGGTTCCTGGCATCAGCTGTCTTATGAGATAAAGGGAAGAATCTGTCTCACATTGGTTGGAGAAACAAAAGAAGAGGAGCTCCCCTTTCCCTCTCTTTCCCAGTGAGGCTGGGATGGGTTACCTGCAGTGGTCACAGCAGAGCAATGCTATGCTCAGAAGCATCTTGTGAAAGTCACTTGCAGTAGTAGCAGCAGGGTAGAGAGAACAAACCAGACTTGGGAAAGCTCAGGTGAACTCTGAGAGGCCCTGGATCCCTGGAGAAATAGTGGGGGACAGTTAGAAACAGAATTATTCCTGGCAGTCAGGCCAGGGGGTTTTGAAGCTCTCAGGTTTACTCATTAAAAATAGATGTGTTCCGGCCAGGCGCAGTGGCTCATGCCTGTAATACCACCACTTTGGGAGGCCAAGGCAGGCAGATCACCTGAGGTCAGGAGTTCAAGACCAGCCTGGCCAACATAGTGAAACCCCATCTCTACTAAAAGTATAAAATCATCTGGGCATGGTGGTACATGCTGTAGTCCCAGCTACTTGGGAGGCTGAGGCAGGAGAATCACTTGAACCCGGGAGGCAGAGGTTGCAGTGAGCTGAGATCACACCACTGCACTCCAGCCTAGGAGACAGGTGAGACTCTGTCTAAAAAAAAGAAAAGAAAAGAAAAAAAGAAAAGAAAAGAAAGAAAATAGAAGTGTTCCAGATAAAACTCTCTTTATAATATTGTGGTAGTGGTAAAAAAATTACCTATTTTTTCCAAGGCAGCATGTTGTTTAATGATGAAATACAAAAAGCCTTCCCAATAATGTGAGGAAATGGTGCCATTGTTTAACATATGTAACTAATATTGTTTAAGTACTACCCAATTAAATAAGAGGAAATAAATGTATAAAACAATGAAAAGGATGAGCCAAAGTGATAATTATTTACAGATGATATGATCGCATAGCTAAAAGAGAGTCACATAGAAAATTATTGGAAACAATAAGATAATCCAGTACAAAAGCTGGTTATTAAATGCAATAATCAATAACTTTCCTGTATAAAAACAAGTTAGAAAACATAATGAAAAAGTTCCCATTTAAAATGGCTTCTAGAATAATAAAATACATTAGAATAAAAATAACAATAAACATGCAGAATATATGTAACTGAATCTTGATAAAATGAAATGGCATTCCCTGTGTTTAGATAAAAAGACTAAATATCATAAAGAAGTCAACTTTCCCTAAATCAAATGATTAATTGAATGTAATAGCAACAAAAATAAGATTTCTTGGTTATTGTTGAAATCACATATGGCAAATAAAGATATTCATTACGCAACTATTTTAGCTGCAATAGACTAGAAACAGTCTGAATGTACATCAATAAGACACTGGTTAAATTGTGGTGTATTCCCAGAAGACAGCCTTGTATTCTGCCATTTAAAAAGTAAAGGAGATCTGCAGGCCTGGATATGGAATAATATCCAAGATATGTTGTTAAATAAAAAGATCACAATTTATATCTACACTATATCTATCCATATGAAATAAATGGCATCATAATGTATCTATAAATATGTATGTCCATATAAATTAGCATGTTTCCTTATTTGTACATAGTTTTCATAATTGTTATCTTTAATGGCTATATGAAGTGGAGTCCTTTCTGTTTCATAAATCTGTCTGTCCCTAGTGCCTATTATAATGTTCAGGAAGTCCTAATGAGAGCAAAGAATGATGCTAAGACTGTAAATGCTGGTGCCAAAATACCTCAATCCAAATGGGAATTTTTTAACCTCTGCGCCTTAGTCTTCTGGCCTATAAAATGGGGATGATGACCATTTTTACCTCATAGGTTTGACATGAGAATTGAGACAGATTAAGTGAGATTACAGATTAAGTGGGTTAATCTGCATAAAGCTTTTAGAGCAGTGCCTGGTACATGATGAGCAATCAATCAGCATGAGCTATTATTATTACTGTATGAAATAACCTTAGAAACTTTAAGTCATTTCTTGTTATGGCTGTTATAGATAGTAATGCAATGAGTAGCTCTATTAATATAATGTTTTGCCTCTTTTTAATTATTTCATTAGATTAAATTCCTAGAAATTAGATTGCTGGATCAAAGAGTAATCACAATAATTACCTTTTAAAGATATTCCTTTGACCTCTTCCCTTAAAGAAAATTTAATGATATGAAAATTACTAGTTGATATAAAAGAGAGAGTAAAGCAAATAAATCATGTATTTATTTGACCACAGCAAAAGGGAGAGGAGCTCCCCTTTCCCTCTCTTTCCCAGTGAGGCTGGGATGGGTTAGCCATTTACTAAACAATTATTTAGTAAACACCTATTTTATTCATAAAACTATCTAGACATCATACAAAAACCCAGGGTTCCATTCAGTTGATTAAATCCAACAAAGATTTCCCACTCTACTACATGCTTGTTCCATGCTGGGAGTTAATCAGAGTAGGAGGAATATGGAGTGGCCTTTGTCCTTAAAACTCAAAATTTATGCAAGAAAGTAAGATGTGAAGATAGTATGAGACTCTATAATCAAGCGCCAAATTCCGTTTTTAAAAGATCCCAAATCTGTGATTCAGACACTGGATATTAGGCATAGTAAGCTAAGCAAAAAAGAGTAGGTGCTGGCTGGAGCCACCTGGCAGACGTCAAAGCATTTTCAAAGACAATATCCAGTTAGCAGCAAAGAAAGAAGTATGTTACCACAAAAGTGATGACCAAATTAGGCTCTACTCTCTTCTTAGAATCTAACATTTTATAATTACTTTTAATCCACCCCCAAATCAACAGGACAGCTTTGCATTTGAATATTATCAGTAGAAAATCTTTGCTCTTGCTAAAGCACATCCTCGTCCCTGCCAGCTGGAAGGTAAAAGGAACCCTCAAGCTTCAGCTGTGGGCTTTAGCCAAGGGAGTCCAAGAGGTGTGCTCAGGAGTAGACGAGGCCGGTAGAGGGCCTCCACTGAGGACTGTGCGTGTTTATCTGTTTCGGAAGGGCTCTCTATCTGCTGAAAGAGCAAAATCATCTCCACTTCACTGTTTTCAGGATGCAGCGCAAATGTGTCTTACAACAATCCAAATCTCACACCACAAGCTTTACCACTCTTCAGTCTTCTCTCTTTTGTCTTGGAGTCAGGAGGAAGGGGGCAAACTGCCCTCCTCTTTGAGGCGAGCAAGATCCTCTGTCTCAAGGAAGCCAAACCTGAAATAGAAGCAGAAGCCCTTTCATATAATTGAGGAAGACTTCACAGTTGCCAGAAACCATTTTTGTAAGAGAATAAGTCCCACATAAAGGGTTTTCTGGCCTTTAAAATTAGCCCACCAAATATCTTTCTTGTGCCTTATCCAGGAATTTTTTTTTTTTCTGCTGCCGAGGCTGGAGTGCAATGGCACAATCTTGGCTCATTGCAACCTCTGCCTCTAGGTTCAAGCATTCTCCTGTCTCAGCCTCCTGAGTAGCTGGGAGGCCGCCAACACACCTGGCTAATTTTTGTATTTTTAGTAGAGACTGGGTACTGGGTTTCACCATGTTGGCCAGGCTGGTCCCGAACTCCTGAACTCAGGTGATCCACCTGCCTTGGCCTCCCAAAGTGCTGGAATTACAGGCGTGAGCCACCACGCCTGGCCCCTTATTTAGGAATTATTAAATTGCCTACTATGTGCAGAAACTTGTGAATTGTCAGGCTCCAAATTTCCTCAAAAGGCTGAAGCCTGGCAGGCAATGTCAAGAGGAGCTGCTTCTTGCCCAAACAGGTTCCAAAGCAGTCAAGTGAAATTGTCTTCCTTATATGGTGAAAAGTGCCCTGTCCCTTTAAGGCCAAGAGATTTGGCTGCAGACAGTCCCTGGGAAGTTTGCGGGCAGCCCCATCCTGTGTCTGATCCTTGCTGCTGTGCAGGTGAGTTCCCAAACCTTCTCTCCGCAATTTGCCCTCTATAATCGTTCTCATGGCGGGTTAGAAAGACTGGTATGAAAGGGCTAGAGAATTTCAGGGTCAGCAGAGATGGTGCTGTTTGGAGAAGTTTGAGTTGAAGGAAAAAACAAGGTTACAAGGGAAATGTGCAGTAATGCAGCCAGTGAGGATGCATCTAACTTCCTGTGGGGAGAAGGCAGCAAGGTTACAGAAGGCCCTGAGGCATTTCCAGGGCAGGGCAGGGCAGGGGAAACAAATTCAGCTGGGGAAGAGGGACAAATTATAGATAAGACCGTGGAGGGATAAGTTTAGACTCTTGAGCTATATAACCTGGTGAACCGCAAGTTAAAACCAAACATAGCTGGTAGGAAATACTGCTTCTGCAAGTGCTGAAGGCTTTCCAGGAGCTGGAGCTACAGGACCAGACTGCAGAGGAGAAAGTACATGAATGTTTGGAATGTCTATAGGCCTGGAAGGCTGCAGCCTTAACCCTTTTTGCAGCCTGGCTTGTTAGCCATTAGGGTTTGGCTGCCACAGAGCAGGAGGTGGGGGTGCATGTGTGAAGCACTGCAGTAGGAGACTAAATAAATAAACAAGACTATGATTGTGGAAATGCATCTCTGGCATCCTCATAGTACCACATGCAGAGAAGAGAGATTTTCTAAGCTCAGATTTTCTGTGTCATCCACAGAAACATCTCAGATTTTCTGTGTCATCTTTCTTCCAGCAAAGGGCTGGAAGAAATCTCATTTAAGCTAATTACTGCTCCGTCATTTACTAACTCAGCTTCTTGAATTTTTTTCCTCCATGGTCTGGAGCCTGGTACAATATTAATTTGAAATTAACTAATAAAACTTTTTAATAGCTAAAGATTTCCTAGCAGAAATGTGTTTCTCTCTAAGATTGAGATGTATATACAGCTGGGGTTGGGATTTTACTGAGAGCTTGAAAAGAGATGGGTGTAGTATAGAAGGAGAAACACTTGATGGTCATTTTACGTAATATCCAAAGCCGTTTAACTGAGCCTACAGCCAAAAAAGGAGTCCACCCAGGAATTTAAAAAAAGAGATGCTAAATTACAGGGCTTGGGGTCCTCTTTCCTCCTAGTTGAGTCAAGGTCCATTCATCATTCAGAGGCAGTGGTTTCTCTACAGTTGTGTGGGGGAGTGAACAAGAAGGCTGGATTAAAATTCCTTACATACTCCATGCCTTTTAAAAATATTCATTCATCTGAGTAGTCACTGAAGAATTCTTCTTATTATTAACTAACAAGTGCTCTATCCACTTGTTAGTGCTTTCTAAAGACAGAATGTTCATGAAAAAAGATTTTGTTTTATCACGAGGGATTTGTTAGTATAAGGGTTCCTCTCTTCTCCTCCGACTTCTGATGGATGGGCAAAGTGGTGATTATTGGTTACTGAAAAGAAAGATCTGTTCTTGACTCTAAAATCACAAAGGGCTTTACTTTGGACCTTTCTCATTCAGAAACATTGGTGTCCCAAGCAAAAAGTTAACTTATGCATTCACAATGTGGAAGACAGCAGAGTGCATGGGTATAGTTTTGCTTCATTTTGTACCAAGCAAATCCAGAAAGCAGTGTCAAATACATTGCTTTCAAATATAGATGCACAAAGAAAAACAAAATTCTATCCTTAAAGCTGAAAAATCTCTAAAAGTACCATATTGTTATTATTATTATTGTTTACTTTTTTTTTTTTTTTTTTTTTTTGTGAGAGGGAGTCTTGCTCTGTCGCCCAGACTGGAGTGCAATGGCGCAATCTCGGCTCACTTCAACCTCCGCCTCCCAGGTTCAAGCGATTCTCCTGCCTCAGCCTGCTGAGTAGCTGGGATGACAGACACGTGCCACCATGCCCAGCTAATTTTTGTATTTTTAGTAGAGACGGGGTTTTACCATGTGGTCAGGCTGGTCTCGAACTCCTGTCCTCATGATCCGCCCACCTCGGCCTCCCAAAGTGCTGGGATTACAGGTATGAGCCACAGTGCCCAGCCCATACTGTTATCTTTTATAAGATAAGTCAAGGTATTTCCAACGAAAAAAAAGATGTGTCTTCCCAAACATTTCACTCAATGACTCTCCCCGCCCTCAGTCACATATGGATCTTACAACTTCACACAAGCCACTTACTTTATCTGTGCCTCAGTTTCCAGCCTAGAATTGAGCAGATCTGAGTTAAATTTCTAGTTTCTTCATTTATTTCCATAACCATAGGCAAATTACTCAGCCAGTCTAAACTTTAGCTTTCTTATTTGTAAAAAGAATGAATGTTAATTAGGATCAGAAGACCCCAGAACTCGGCATAGGCTCCATAAATGCTATTTCTCATTTCTTTTCTTGTCTTTTTTTTTTTTTTTTTTTTTTCTATTGCCTGGGAAATTACACTGTTCCTTGGCAAAGGAAATAAGTTTTGAAAACGGAAACCAGCTGTGTAGCTCAGCTTTAGGACTACAGTTACTTCATCCCCTGTGCCCATTCCCTTCACAGAAGGATGCCCAACTCACTGGGAAACCCATTCCTAATCATCAACCAGTCTCACTGTTTGAAAGCTCTTCCTAAAGCAAACCCACTTCCACTTATTTTGTGTTCAGAGACGTGAAGAATTGTTGATTGTTTTCTTTTAATATAAAATTACTCCATAGTCTTAAAGAACAATAATAAGTTATCTTAGAATCTCTATAAAGGTGGTCTATTCCAATAATAAGCTTAAAAAGCATTTTTAAAGGAACTTTTTTGGTTCTCATAAGGCACCTCTTACAAGTATTTCAAAAATAACCAATTGCTACTTTTTTTTTTTTTTCTGAGATGGAGTCTTGCTCTGTCGCCCAGGCTGGAGTGCAGTGGTGTTATCTCAGCTCACTGCAACCTCTGCCTCCCGGGTTCAAGTGATTCTCCTGCCTCAGCCTCCCAAATAGCTGGGATTACAGGCACCCGTCATCATGCCTGGCTAATTTTTGTATTTTTGTAGAGATGGGGATTTTACCATGTTGGCCAGTCTGGTCTTGAACTCCTGACCTCAGGTGATCTGCCCGCCTCAGCCTCCCAAAGTGCTGGGATTACAGACGTGAGCCACCACACCTGGCCCCAATTGCTACTTTTCTATAAAACTCCTAACCCATTCACACAGCTGTCTTCAAGAACATGATTATCCTTACTTTCAGCACTTTCATTGTTTAGGTCACTTTAAGAGTAGGTTTGCCTTACTTGCAATGAGTCTGTGTATGACCCAAAAAAATTCTGTCACCAGTTTAGAAAGGTGGTGACAAATTTCAGCAACAGAAATATTCCACTGGAAGTTCACATCCCAGCCTATACATAAGCTGGGAATCAAGTATGCCATTTTTAACTAAACGAAGAGCAGGTCACACACATAGCCCATCTTCTAGTCATGGATTAACACAGCCTCTGTCAGGAGACGTGTTGAGAGTCCACACTTGTCCACTTAAAGTAGCTTTGAAACTCTGGGCTAGTTCCTACATGTGTCTGAGCCTCGATCTATGGCCTGCATAATGAGAATGATAATAACACTTATGCACGTGGTTCAGGGAAAGCATGAAATGTGCCAGGACAGGTGCTCAGTAATTATGTTGGATCTGAATGCCCAATAGTCTAACAAAGTCTTGTACCTTAATAATAAGGTAATGGCCCCAGATCTTGTCTACACACTTTAGAACAATCTGCAAGTATGGATATGTTTCTAAGGATGTGTAAATTTAATGTTTAATAAAAATGTAAGTTATGTTTCTAATTAGGTGGAATCAAAAAGAAGTCGATGCTGAGGCAACCATAGACCTGCTACAGGGGTTAACTGTGGAAACAGCCTACAAATGCAGATGTGGCTTAAAAGCTGCTGGTTCTCAAAGAGTTTTGGATTGGCTGTGTTCCTTAAAAATATTTTTTAACTTTTTACCCCAAGGCAAGTGTTTCTGTGTCTGGTACACTGGCAGAAGGAGTTAGAATGGGGGAAAGCATTAAACAGATTGAAATGAGAGATCCTAGTGCAGTTGAATCTCTTGATACATCTTTGACTCCCTTCTTCCCCAACTCCCCAACTATTCTCCTTAAGCTTTTCAGATGTAATTCATTCATGAAACCACCAAGCTGGGGAAGCTTGAACAAGTCTACACCAGCTTCTTGCCTTCATTCAAAGCTGCACTTGAAACAATCAGGAACCATGGCTACCTACCCTTCCAAGGGAGAGAGACTGAAGTTCAGTCTACTGCATGCCTGCACCGGGGCTGCACTGGGGACGTTCTCCCCACACCTACCCTTGTAATACAAGCCCATATTCTTTTTTTTTTTTTTTTGAGACGGAGTCTCGCTCTGTCGCCCAGGCTGAAGTGCAGTGGCGCGATCTCAGCTCACTGCAAGCTCCGCCTCCCGGGTTCACGCCATTCTCCTGCCTCAGTCTCCTGAGTAGCTGGGACTACAGGCACCCGCCACCACGCCCGGCTAATTTTTTGTATTTTTAGTAGAGACGGGGTTTCACCATGTTAGCCAGGATGGTCTCTATCTCCTGACCTCATGATCCGCCCACCTCGGCCTCCCAAAGTGCTGGGATTACAGGCGTGAGCCACCACGCCCGGCCAAAGACCACATTCTTTTAGTGTGCTCTGGGTCTGTCCTTTGTGTTTATGGCAAATTGATATCCTGTCTATGGGAAATTTCCACTAAAGTGGGGAGTGATGATATGGTCATAGCCTCTGTGAGGGGCAACACTTCCTTGTTTTCGGCCTGATTAATCATCAGGTGAGTAGACATCCTTCTCCCCTGACTTTATCACTTCTATTATCCACTCCTGCTTGCCCCTCTGATGCAGTGGCTCCCAAACTAGAAAGCATACATCAGAATTACCTGGAAGCTTTGTTAAAACACAGATTGCCAGTCTCTATCCCCAGAGTCTCTGATCTGTAGGTCTCGACTGGGGCCGGAACACTTGGAATTTCTAACAAGTTTACAGGTGGTCTGGGGCTACACTTCAGGAACTGGTCCTCTAGTTCAACAATAAATCTCACTGTAGTGTTCCCAGTAACTTGTACTTACTCTTGCCTTTCTATATAATACCTCTTCCATTTTTGGAGGTGAAGTATAGCCATCTCACCACAGTTATGTGCTACTATTATTGAATTCTAATTGTAACAGGCACTGTGCTAAAGACACATGTTATTTCAACTACAAATTTGGTATCATTAAACAGAAAGAGGTTAAGTAACCAAGATCTCACAAGTGATAAAGAAAAGATATCAAACTCAGATTTATGTGAAAAGTGTTTACTCTTTCCATGATTCCAGGGCTGGCAAATAGATTTTTAACTTGTCTGTCAACTCCAATTCATTGGCAGCAGCTGCCTGGAGCACTGGATTGAGGAGTCCCAGGTGGGATGGGTGCTCGGTGGGAGAGAGCTCTAGAACTGCTAAGCTACACTGCACGGGTGCGGGAGTGGAGAGCGGCAATGGGTATGTGTTGTATTTGCTGTCCCCACATGATGCTTTGCCTTGTTCATTGATCAATTTTGTTAGGACCTAGAATCAGTTGAAAGACATGTATTTAAGTTTGTTCCAGAGGAAACAATAAATTTATTTCCTTGTCTCTTCCTTTCTCTGGAAGGTAAAGTTAAGTTTTTGAGCCTATATTTGAGAAGGTGTAATAAACTATAAAGTGAAATGAAATATTTATGGTTTTTGTATTTGTGTCTAATGCATGTTTTAACATGATTGACACAATGCATTTTGTAGGTATTTTTCTGGAAAAGTCAATCTTTTAGAAATTGTTTTTCAGATCTTCAATAAATTTTTTCTTTAAATTACAAAAAAAAAAAATAAAGAAATGCAACTGGTATATAGATAGTAGTAACCAACATAAGCATGTTGCTCTAAAGTGGCTGGGACAAAAGAGTTATGTTAATTATAGTCTTTGCATATTATGTCTTTCAATGTGACCTATCTAATGGATTGCCTTATATTGAAATAATCCAGCATGACTTAGTAAGAAGGTAATGACATTTCTAGTTTAGTTCCTCTCTCCATGTTAATATTCACTGTGGGACTTGTTATTTTTAGCGTCTTAGTGCTTTATATGAACAATGAATTAAATAATGTTTTTCTGCTGCATCCTAACATTTATTATAAATGTGATTAAATGACATATAACTTAATGGCATCTATTTTATTTGATCAACAAATATTTACAAAAATGTATCCCCAGGCAATGGGGGTATAACAACAAACAAAATATATTGTTCTCATGGAACTTACATTCCAGAGAGGAGAGAGAGAGACAATAAATGAGTAAACAAGGAAATTGTATATAGTGATAAAGCGTGTTCAGTGAGAGAGAGAAACTGTGTGTATTTGTGTGCACAAGTGTGCGTGTGTTTTGCTCTTTTTTAGGTGGTCAGGGAAGGCCTGACTGAGGAGGTAAGATCGAATATGGAAAAGAAGCCAAACATGGGTCGGTCTGGGAATGGAGCATTCTAGGCAGAGAAAATAGGCAATGCAAAGATCCTGAGGTTCAAAGTCCATAGGAGCCAGATTGAGTAGGCTAGTAGGGGTTTCAGCTGGGGGTGCTGCAACCTCTCTATTTCTGCCTAGAAGATGTTTGAAGATGTGCAGGTGGCAATTTGCATATACAATGCTAGAGTTGAGGGCAGGACACCATT
The DNA here is from genome assembly GCF_000001405.40 of Homo sapiens. Taxonomy (NCBI): domain Eukaryota; kingdom Metazoa; phylum Chordata; class Mammalia; order Primates; family Hominidae; genus Homo; species Homo sapiens. Next base: position 159,739,104 of record NC_000003.12, read on the forward strand.
GGCTTCTAGTGGACAGGGACCGGGGATGATAAACATCTTGCACTGCTCTTGATAGACTCACACAAGATTTGTCTTGCTCATATTGTCCTGGAAAAAATGTCTGTATTGAGAAATCCTAAAGAGCCTTTAAAGCCAGGCTAAGAAGTTTGATTTTTATCCTAAGTACAGTGGGAAGCTATTGGAGAGTTGCAAGCTTTAAAAGACAATCTCTCAAAGATCACTTTGGCTACTGAGTGGAGAGTAAATTGTAAGGGACAAAGGTGAAAGAGGAACATTCAATAGGAAGCTTTTTCAGTGTCCACAACAGAGATGACGGTGGCCTAGACAAGAGGAGTATTGGTGAAGGTTTTGAGAAGTGTTTTTCCTTCAAGAAGAAGGCTGCTAAATAACATATAAAATGCTGTTTCCCATGAAACCTCTATTCTATCTTTTTCTTTTTCCTTGAGAGATTTTTTTCAGTTTCAGAATCCTCTGGTTTCCTCTACATTCATTTAAGAGAATTTTGTGGCACCAAATTACAGAAGACCTTGCTCTTTCAAATGCAAGTCCTTATCTTCTTGCTCTTTAACCTTGCATATCTATCTGCATTTCAAGTTGTTCATTGCTCAGAAAGGTAATCTATTTGATTTGGGTTTGTAAAAAGAGACAAAATTACTTGTGCTTCTTGAATAACAATATGTGATTTTTTTCTCTGAGGGTCAATATGAATTAGCCTACATAAATCATTTTACTAAACCGGTGCCTAATTACATGAACAACTGCGACCAAGTCTACATTTATTCTGTTGAAAGAGTAACATTGAACATCAAAATCTCTTGCAGAGATTCAGGCATTTCAGTACAAATGTTACTTAGGCATTAAAGCCTCACAAATACTTTCCAGGTGCATTGGCTCCTCCCTGACAAAGGCAACTCAGCTTCCAAGACTTCAGAAAATTCTTACTGTTGTCATCTCGTCTCTCCTCATAGCCAACTCTTCTTTCTGCACCTCCACAGCAAGTGGCCCCCAGACTGACCTCAGTGTGTCTCTGCAAATGCAGAGATTCACAAAGCAGCAATGTGGAAACTTGTCAGTTCACTTGGAGAACAACTCAATTCTCATTTGAGGGGAGGAGCATCCTGTCCCCAGGCTGAGCTGAAGTGGGTGGCGAGAAAAGAGTGGGGAGGAGCTGGCTGCAGGCCATACCCACACTGGTGAATGGTTCCACTGAGTGGTAGGTGCCTCTGCAATCAGGATGAGGTCTTCCCCAAAAGGTTGTTGTGTCCTGAGAGGAGAGTTGGGGAGTCACCTAAGGAACACTGGAGAATGGATGCTGGGCAGGTGGAACAACACACCACAGCTTCCAACTAAGCTGAGGAAAGCAGGTGCTTGCCAACCCACAGCCTGTCTTCCAGTTTCTGGATGAAACTGGAGAAGAGAGACAGAAAGGAGATAGAGTCAGCCCCCTGCCCCCAAAAAATCCAATGAAATCTTCTTTAATTTAAATCCATCACACAAGCTACATAAGTCAAGATTCCAAGAATTAAAAAAGCAAGTGGTCTTATTTTACTATAAAAATGAATCTCTGCCTTCATCTCTGGGCCACAGGTATGCCCCTAAGAGAGACAGGCCACTTCATTGTGTAGCCAAAAAAGGAAGGAAACCAGAATTGTATATTCAAAAAAAAAGAAAAAAAAAAAAAAAAAAAAGACCAAATGCTTTGCATTAAGATATCCTATCTTAGCTATTAATTAGGTATGCACATTTGAACTAGGTCACCTTCCTGGGCTTCAGAAATAAGGAGCTGAATCAAGTTTTTTCAGACCCTGATGTGCTCTGAGTGGATTTATAAGTTGGCTCAAGCTCTTCGACACTCCCCTAAAGCCTCTTGCAGACCAAACCAAGTCATCCACCTCACCCAACTCCCCTTTCCCAACACTGTATTTCCTTTTTTCTTTGAATATCCCTCTCCCTCCACTAGCTCTTAAGCTCCCTGAAGAGAGGTATTGGTATCATGGCTTTTTCTTTGAATCTCCAGTGTCTGGAGAGTACCAGACACTCATTAGATGTTCAATAAATGTTTATTGTTGAATGAATGGATAATGTGAATATAAAAATAGAGAAGAATGAGCCCAAGCTAATTCAAAGCTCAAGAGCAAGCTTTGCTTAAAACCATATATTCTGGCCGTAAGATTCTGGACTCCTTAAAATTAAAAAAAGGAGAGAGAGGAAAGAGGGATTTCAGATATTATAGCAGTAATTTTCAGACATCACAGTTTCTAATACCCCGTGTCTCCACTGACATGCACCAGTTTCATGGAATTTTAGAAATACTAGAGTTTTACCTAGCTTTTATGGAATGTCTTATATTTATAAAGAGCTAGTATAAAATTGCTGAGTAGACATTTCTAGATTCCTTACTCTCAAACTGCATGCCTATTTAAGCTCTTCCCAGAATAAAGAAAACAGCAAATCAAAAAGTTTAAAGCTGCCTTCACCTTTTCTTCATAAGCTTTGATCCTTTAATTTATTTAAAATATGTAACCATCAAGGCCTCATTAGAATTGCTAAAGAACATAGAAAAGGCCATATGGGATCAAACTTCTGGCCTGTCCAGCCAAGTTACCAAAAATGGCAAAGTCTTGCTGGTGTGGTGCTGAGAACAAGGGTGGAAACCCAGAGGGCAGCAGAGGTGGCAACCCCAAACAAGGTCTGGTTCCAGGAGTATGGATTTGAGGGGACTGAGATAGGGTGCAGTGTCAGAACTTTTGGGTAGTGGCCAAATATTTGATCAGTCTTAGACTAATCAGGGAGCACTGTGCATGAGGGATTCCAGCCTCAGAAAAAGAGTCAAAAAGAAAAAGGAGGCTGGGCACGGTGGGTCACACCTTAATCCCAGCTCTTGGAGAGGCTGAGGTGGGCGGATCACTTGAGATCAGGAGTTCAAGACCAGCTTGGCCAACATGGTGAAACCCCATCTAAAAATACAAAAAATTAGCCGGGTGTGGTGGCGGGCGCCTGTAGCCCCAGCTACTCGGGAGGCTGAGGCAGGAGAAGAGTGTGAACCCAGGAGAGAGAGGCTGCAGTGAGCCGAGATTGTGCCACTGCACTCCAGCTTGGCAACAGAGTGAGACTCCGTCTCAAAAAAAAAGAAATGCAGTTGATTGCGCTTCTTCCTGTGCTAGGGCTGAGCAAATGCTGCCACTGGGAGTTATCGCAGGACCGGGACAAGAAGACACTGCCCCCAAAAGTGTGGAATCTCCAGTGGTATCCCCTGGGGATTTCTTCAAAATATTGTCCATGAAGCAAGGAATAACAAATGCCTCTAACTTCATCATTGTGATGTGCCATATAAGGCTCGTCCATCCATTCTTCTGAGCTCTGTTTGCAACTCAAGTAGCAAGTGTTAGGAACTCACTTATTTTTATTTTTTTTGCCCACTGTATACAGAAGCAAGTCCTTTGGACTCTTCTTCATGCTGTCCTGGTAGTGAGGGAAGGGACAACCATGAGACCACGGTATAAGTATGGGGTTAATGGCAATAATAAACCTTATTCTGATTCATTTTGGATACACTCTTTTTTTTCTTTTTCTTTTTTTTTTGAGACAGAGTCTCGCTCCATCACCCAGGCTGGAGTGCAATGGTCCGATCTCAGCTCACTGCAACCTCCACCTCCCGGGTTCAAGCAATTTTCCTGCCTCAGCCTTCCAAGTAGCTGGGATTACAGGTGCCTGCCACCACGCCTAGCTAATTTTTTTTTTTTTTTTTTTTTTTTGGATTTTTAGTAGAGATGGGGTTTTGCCATGTTGGCCAGCCTGGTCTCAAACTCCTGACCTCAGGTGATCCACACACCTCGGCCTCCCAAAGTGCTGGGATTACGGGTATGAGCCACCACGCCGGGCCTTGGATACACTCTTTAGAGGACTAGTGAATTCAAGTGCATTCCTCCTAAAACTGACTATCTTCTTTCTAACTGCTGTAACTGTAAAAGATGAAGAACAAGCTAATATTCTCCTGCCTTTAGGCTTCAATCAATTCCTTATGAGCCTTCATCTCTCCTAGGCTGAATGGATTCTTAATCTTTCCCTAAAGGGTAGTTGCTCTAGTGTTTGTCATTTTAGTTGGTTTTTCTGAGTCTGGATTAGAAACAGAACATTAAGACATTAAAAATATCCATACACATTAAAAATATCTCTATGTTTTAAAAAATAAAGAGCCTGCCAAAATCTGGAAACAACACCCATGTTCTTGAGTGGGTGAACAGTACAACAAACTGTGGTACATCCATACCATGGAATACTAGTCAGCAACAAAGAGGAATGAGCTATTGATACTTAACAACAACCTGGATGAATCTCCAGAGAATGATAATCAGTGAAGAAAATAATCCCAAAATGTTACATACTGTATGATTCCATTTATATAATATGCTTGAAATGGCAAAATTACAGAGTTAGAGAACAGATTAATGGTTACTTGAGTTTACACATTTTAAAATTGAATTTCCTTTTATTTCCTGCTCATATACTTAAACTCATTAGTTTGAATCAAGTTGTAAAGAGCTGGAGAACGGATTAGTACTTAGAGAATGGGGGCAGAAGAGAACTGGTGTGACCATGAACGGCAACATAATGGGTCCTTGCTGTGAAGAGAATGTCTTATATCTTGACTGTGTCGATGTCAGTACCCTGGTTTGATACTGTACTGTGGTTTTGCAAGATGTTACCATTGGTAGGAAAATGGGTAAAGGGCACAAGGGATTTTTCTCTATATTATTTCTTAAAACTGCATATGAATGCACAGTAATATCAAAATTAAAAGTTTAATTTAAAAAATAACTAGTTAAATGAACATAGATGAACCCCTAACTCACAGTCTCAAAAGAAGAAGCACCCCCCAAATTTTTAAACAGTATATATACTGTACTGTATAGTAAAACTATGAGGAAAAGCAAGGAATTAAGGTGAATTTTAGGATAGTACTAAGAGGGAAGAGGTAGAAAAGGAAATGTCATCAAGGTGAAACACCCAGAAGGCCTCAAAGGTACCAAACAAAATATTCTGACTTAAAGTGGAGAGGTGAGAAATGCAGACATTCATTTAAACATTATTCTTTAAACTACACCTACATGTTTTTATATTTTGCTTTGTATGTATATTTAAAAATAAAAAGATAAATTTTAACTCTCCCTAAAACATAAAGACCCAGTGTCTGAAAGAAACTGATCAAAAAACTTTAAAATGTTGCCAAAATGAGGTCAATAAGACCTTAGGCAAAAATTTAAAATATAACCCATTAAAACCAGTACAGACAGAATCAATCTCTTTCTTTCTCTCTCTCTGTCTGCCTTCACTGGTAAAAATTTTGCTGACTAGAAAAAATTCTGTAGGAGTGAGGAGCACTAGAACTTATCTATAAATTACATTTCAGAGAAATACTTTTCCCCCTGCCTATCTTGCCTGCCAAAGCAGTACTGATTTAGCACATTTTCCTGTCCAAAGTTGAAAGGTTAAAAATGATGCCTACCTCTCTGGAAGCTGGCATTCTAATAGCTTGGTGTTCATGGTAACCATTGGACAGAAGCCTGTTGAACATCAGAAAGTGTTCAATGGGGCCAGGCGTGTTGGCTCACGCCTATAATCCCAGCACTTTGGGAGGCCGAGGCGGGTGGATCACGAGGTCAGGAGATCGAGACCATCCTGGCTAACACGGTGAAACCTCACCTCTACTAAAAAAAAATAATACAAAAAAATTAGCTGGGCGTGGTGGCAGGCGCCTGTAGTCCCAGCTACTCGGGAGGCTGAGGCAGGAGAATGGTGTGAACCCAGGCGGAGCTTGCAGTGAGCCGAGATTGCGCCACTGCACTCCAGCCTGGGCGACAGAGCAAGACTCCGTCTCAAAAAAAAAAAAGAAGAAGAAGAAGAAAGTGTTCAGTGGGACTGCTGTGCAATCCTGTGCCAGGTGAGCAGCTTGTCCTGCCCTCAGCCTGCCTTTCCCTATGTGTATGTCTATAACAGGCCTGTTCATTACACTCTGTGCACCAGCTCCATATTTCTTATTTACTTCACTGTTTACATGCCTCAAATAGCTCATTTTTCCTGAGCTCTTGCTTAGCCAAGTTCCCTGCATTTGGTTCCTTTGATCTTTCTGCTAAAATCAATATCTTCCTCTAATTATCTTCTGTTCCACTTCTTTGAACCTCTTCCAGTTGCCTCCATTTCTCAAGGAGCCGGGTGTTTAATAAAGAATCTGGATAAGACTCAGGCAGAGTCAGGTAAATGCCCCTGCCTGCTCCCAGGTAGAGTGTTGCCTCTTCTTTAAGCGGGAGAGATGGTTTACTAAAAATTCCAGAGCCCAGACAGTGTCCTACTATGGCAGATGCCTAGTAATAATCACCAAATGGAGGAAGTAATTGGAATCTCTTTTAAATGTGTTAGGCCATATTCTAACTTGCACTTCATTTGCTTTCCCATTCCACCCTCAGCCCAAGTCTCTTTCTGCTTTCAGGTTTTTCACTGCAGTCTAATAGTTTATTTCATAGCTTATGTCATTGATGCTTTAGTTTACACATTTTAAAATTGAATTTCCTTTAATTCCCTGCTCATGTATCTAACCTTATTAGTTTAATTCATGTTGTAGGATTTTCCTAGTGACCTTGTTTAGTAGATTACTATTATTTAGAAATCATCCTATTTTATCCTCTTCTCCAAATGACTCACAGTCATGTTAATGTCTTAGTTTTTATTTCTCTTTATTAGAGAGTAGATTTTGCCTCTATATTTGTTAATTTTTGGTGTTTGTCTAATTAGTCACAGTGCAAGGTTTATCATATCCTATGACTCTGATACAGGTTTGGGCTGAGAAGAATAAAGACCACTGTCTTAAAATGATATGATATCTGGGACTTGGGCTGTGGGGGTAATTACAATGAGCAAATAGGTGAAATAAGATTGCCATGGGGTGATAGTCTCTAGAGTGAGGTTATAGGAACATGGGGTTCATTGTACTATACAATTACGTAAATGCTTGGACTGTTTCCATAATGAAAAATTATTTTTAGAAAAGCAAAAAATATAGAATTATAGATATAAAATTGGCCCTATGAATTCTTCCCTTAAGATTTACAGAAGGGGAATTCCTCCATCCTTCTCTACCTCATCCTATCATTGTCTTGTCATTTATCAGTGGTCCAGCCATTTCTTTTCATTCACTGAGAAGTTTAGCACTTGCTTTTTCTCTTCCTTTCTTTTAAAACTCTAGTTCTCACGTGGGAGAGTACATTGTCCTGATGTGTGGCTTATCTAGTGCTTTATATCCACAACACTAATGATCTGCACTCTCACTCCCTTCCAGTCACCACTACTCCTTGATTAGACTCTAAATCATTTTATAAATGGTGCAGATCTATACTGCTGACTGTCTGGCACTCTGGCTAAGGCCTTTAGGTTATGTTTTGATATAAAATTTAGTTTTTTTTCAACATCAGTCAACACACAAAACACATATAATCCAGAGATTTCTGTCTTAAAATCCTTCAGATGTCTTTATCAATTTCAGGTTGAAAGCAAAGTTTAATATTCTTCACATCCACTCTTGCTTTTCCTACCATTTCCAGCCTCTTTCCCTATATCCTGCAATATTCACTCTCTTTCCAGCTATTCTATACCAAACTGCCTTCACTTGCGGGAGATGGACCATGGTTTCTTACATCTCCAAGCTTTTGACCATACTGTTCCCCCAAATTGGAATATCCTTCTGTCTTTCAGCCTTTGGGGAACTTCAGCAACTTTTGATTATACCTCAAGACCCAATTCAAGTATGATTCCTTTGGGAAGGCTTCTTTGAGCTGTCCACATTGAGTTAAACACCTCTCCAATACCTTTTCCATAGCACTCTTTTACTATGCCCACCCTAATACTTTGAAACCCAACTGTTAACTGTGAGTACTTTTTGTTTCCTTTATGGGCCATGAACTCTTTGACCTCTTTCAGCTCTCTCTCCCCAGATATCCAACCCAGTACCTGGCACATAGTAGATATTTGGATGAAACAGTAACTGCATGAATAGAGAAATGGATAAATGAATACTATGTCATCTCCTTAAAGTAGCACCTCCCTACCAAGGGACTTCTCTAGAAGTCTGGGCCAACAGTCTTGGATCTGAGAAGCTCCTCCAGTCTTTTCCTCTAAACTCCTCTCCTTAACCCACCTGATGCATCTGGCTCCAGCTACATAACCCAATCTTCCTTGTCTCTGTGAGTCCTTCCTATTTAATGCTTTATCTAGACAAATGTTTCCCAGAGTGTAGGAGAGGGTAATTTTTAAGTGATACTCAGATAAATGTCTTTTGGCAGACTTGTATTTACATTCATTTATATTTGGGCGAAAACTTAGCACATAAGACCTGTGATTTCATGCAGAATGTTGTTTAGGATGAGACAAATATAGGTAGGGCCAAGGTAATCAACCTTACCCTAACTTCATAAAGCAGGGACGACGTGCCCAAGTATATTCACAGATGTTCCAAGCTCTATTAGTGATCCTGGCTGTCTATGCTTTTCATGGGTATGACCACGGGTTCAGTACTCATGGCCATGAGAAGCATAGACAGCCAGGACCACTAACAGGGCAAGACTCCCATACACTGAATTCCACAGGCATCTGTGTGTTTTATTCAGTGATATGTTGAAATGTCACTGCCTGAAGTTGCAGAATATATATGTGTATACTAAATTATAACACATAAAATAGTCAAATATCTTTTGAGCTTTCCAACCACATCCCCATGCAAGTTCAGATTTTTAATGTAGGTTAATATAAAAATGGACAGATTTGTCTCATTAAAGTGGATCCTCAACTTTGTCTGAAACTATCAAGTAGAATATCCAACTATTTTGATCATAAAGTTTCATCCTTCTAATAAGAAACATCTTCAGCCATACATTTTATGTCCATTTTATTTGTTCCATTTTTTGTTTACTATTTTTACCTTTTGTTTTTAAAAGTTTAATAACATCATTTTTATAGTTTGTCTCATCAAATCTAATATGCCATTTATGTGTAAAGCACATTATTTTATATGCCACTAAGAACAAGAGAAATGTTGCCAATTATAATTGCTAGATGCCATTGATTGTAAGTTCCACCCCAATTTCAGAGATATCAAAATTATTTTTTAAAGTGTGTCTCAAAATTGATGAATCACAGTATATGTGTTTACTGTGTAACGTAACTCTTCTACGTTAGCAAGTGATATTTATATTTCATTGATAGTACTAATGTAAAGTTTCCCTTTTGAATAAATTTAATTTAAAAATGAGTTGATTCAAAGAAAAGAATTATATAAGAAGTAGAGATGGAGTATAATATGGCAAAATTATGGAGGTGTACCAACATGATAATGACTTGGCCTAACTGCCTAGGCCCAGATATTGCCCTTTGGCCCCATGTGCCAGCTCATGCCAACCCCTGCCACCCTCCTTCACTGTGCCCAGCTCCTACCTGGGCTACCAAGCATGGGAGCAACGTTTGGGCAATTATACTAATGCTCAGGATGAAGAATGTGGCTGTAACTCACCAAAGTCATTTTATGAGAGTCAAAAGGAATTCCTAGGTAATAGACTCATTTCAAGTATTGGAATAATCTGGACTTGCCCCTATTTAAATAACAAGATACTCAGAGGTTTCTGTTTTGACCCTGTTCTCCAAGAAGTAAAGAAGGCAAAAAGAGCATTTTAGTCTCTGTTGCTGGATAATCTAGTTACTAAAAATGGGTAACCAAACACTAAACAGTTCAGTGATTATGAAACCAAAGAATGGTCTACTTTATTTTTTACAATAGTTACCAATGAAAATGATTAAGAATAACTTGAAACAAAATGTGTTTTACTGGGAAAGTACAAGAAGCAGCTGGGTACGGTGTCTTTCGCCTATAATCCCAGCACTTTGGGAGGCTGAGGTGGACAGATTGCTTGAACTCAGGAGTTCAAGACCAGCCTTAGCAACATGATAAAACCCCATCTCCATAAAAAAAATACAAAAAGTTAGCCGGGTGTGGTGGTGCACTACTGTAGTCCCAGTTACTGGGGGAGAGGAAATGTATGCAACTGTAGTCCCAGCTACTGGTGGGGTAGCGGGGAGTTGGGAGGCCAAGGGCAGCTGAGGTGGGAGGATCACCTGAGCCCAAGAAGGTCAAGGCTGCAGTGAGCTGAGCTTGTGCCACTGCACTCAGCCTGGGCAACAGTGAGCAAAGTGAGACCCCCATCTCGAAAGAGAATTTAAAAAAAAAAAAAGAAGAAGCAACAGCAGCTAATTTCCTACTTCCAAAATAAGAAAAGTGAAGAGAGAACCATTTTAGAGGGAGTTGAGGAAAGCTGTGAGGTTTCCATTGGGAAACACCATCTCCTTGGCCATTGCTGTGGATTTGTGTTCATCATGCTCCCAGCTCCCATCTTGCACTAGGTCGCGCTTTAGGTTGCTGGGCATTGTGTGCAACATTCCTGGAGAGCCATGCAGAACCCCTTGATTTACTCGGTGCTTATTCTTGAAGGTTATTGTGAATCATTAACCAGAATGCAATAGAGCAGAAGGTCACAAGTCATAGAGGCTCCGCAGCTTGCACATAGCCTGTTTTTGCAAACTTAATTTTGAAGGTTTTAATGTAGGTGTAATTGAAAAGATAAATTGAACACATATGCATATTCTAATAAAGGTATTCTTTGGAGTCAGCAAACATTCACATCCTATTAAGCATCAATGAACGTATTATAGTATAATAAAGTGGAAAGGTCTTAGAAGATTATTTATAGGCTATTAGTTATTAGTGTAATTTTAAAACATAATCAGTAACAATTAGCAAAATTGATAATATTGGATATACAGTGGTTTCCACTCACTAGTACTAGTAATACTAGCAATAATTCTATATAGTAATATCAGTTGAAAACTAAACCTCTTCTAAGTTCTTTGTTATCCTTATGGGAGTTCTTGTTTATCAGATCATTGGGGCATCACTTCACTGAAACTATTTCCTTATATTCATAAACAGTATTGACATCATATACTAAATTTAGAAGTTTATTCATAGAGTAGAATAAAGTTATAAGATTACTTCAATACCCTTTGTCCAAGCAGATGCACTGGTCAAAAAGCCAAATATATATAGGTGTGTATGTGTGTGTGTATATATATATATATATATATATATATATATATACACACACACACACACACACACACGTATACATATATATGCACATATATAATTTATATGTTTGCTTTTCAGTTTTAATTTTTGTGGGTACATAGTAGGGGTATAGCCAAATATATTTAGAAGGTGGAATCATTAGGACTTGGTGTCTTACATCAGGTCCCCTACAAGCAGATCCTGAGATGGGGATTTGGGTGCTGATGCTTTATTGAGCGATAAACTTGTGAGAAAGTGAGAGAAGTAGGATAGACAGGGAGGAAATGCCAGGTAGGATGTGGAATCAGATAGTCTATCCTTGGCCTGATGAAAATAGAGGAATAAATTTCACCATAAAGGACACCTGTGTGTCCTTCACAGCTAAACACTCACAGCAGCTGGGGGTAGGGTTGGGTGTATACAGCAGCCAGGAACAGGGATCTGCTTGAAACACTACCAGCATTAACCACATTTGGTGATGGGGCAGTGGGTGGAGGGAGACAAGGATGGCTCCCAAATTTGTGGTATGAACAACTGAATAGCTTCTTGTATATAACAGCAACACTCCCCTCATAATATCAAAAACCTAAGATTTTAGAAGAACTATTAAAAGACTCTTCATTTTCCAAACAAACAAAAAAAAATTCCCCTTAGCTTTTACTTTTCTAGGTTAAAAATAACAACTCTTTGACATAATTGCATGGGATCAATTTCCCATTAAAAACACATAAACTTTTTTTAAAGTATTGCTCTTTTAGACTTTTTCCATTTAGTCGGCTTCCTGTTGAAAATAGATACAAACTGGTTCTAGTACTCTAATGATCGAAGATTCACCTACAGTTCCAATATTATGTTAGCTTTTTATTTAAAAAGTACGTATGCATTGTTGTGCATTCATCCTTTAGTCCAGGGGTCAGCATACTGTGGCCAGTGGGCCAAATCTATCCTGTCATTTACTCTTTATGGCCTGAGAGCTACAAGTTTTTACATTTTTAAAAGGTTGCTTTAAAAAAACAAAAAAGAATATGCAACAGAGACCATATGACTCACAAAGCCAAAAATATTTACCATCTAATCCCTTACAGAAAAAGTTTGCCAACCTCTCCTTCAGTCTGTTATGACCCCATAGTGTGCTGATGCAGTCTATATTTGGAAAGAAAATCTGATATTCAAAAACTTCAGATTAGTGGATGATTTATGGAACTATAAAATTATTGTTTTATAAAGGGATTCATCACAGAATTTATAGAAATTAATTCCAGCTCTTCTGAACAATTATTTCTTTTTTTTTTTTTGAGACGGAGTCTCACCCTGTCACACAGGCTGGAGTGCAGTGGCAGGATCTCGGCTCACTGCAAGCTCTGCCTCCCAGGTTCATGCCATTCTCCTGCCTCAGCCTCCAGAGTAGCTGGGACGACAGGTGCCCGCCACCATGCCCAGCTAATTTTTTTGTATTTTTTAGTAGAGATGGGGTTTCACAGTGTTAGCCAGGATGGTCTCGATCTCCTAACCTCATGATCTGCCTGCCTTGGCCTCCCAGGAAGTGCTGGGATTACAGGTGTGAGACACCACGCCCAGCCTCAAATCTCATGTTGAATTGTAATTCCCAATGTTGGAGGTGAGCCCTAGTGGGAGGTGATTGAATCATAGGGGTGGATACTTCGTACATACTTCATGCGTGGTTTAGCATCATCCCCTCAGGGCTATTCTCGTGACAGTGAGTGAGCTGTCACAAGATCTGGTTATTCAAAAGTGTGTAGCACCCTCCCCCACCCACCCACAACCCAGGCCCAGCTCTATTTCTTCCTCCTGCTTTGGCCATGTAAAATGTGCCTGTTTCCCCTTCACCTTCTGTCATGATTGTAAGTTTCCTGAGGCCTCCCCTTCTGTACAACCTACAGAACTGTGAGCCAAATAAACCTCTTTTCTTTATAGCGGTGCAAGAACGGACTAAAACACCACCAATCTTGTGATTATTGCAAAGAAACTAAAAAATACAAATAGATACAAAGGTAAGAAATCATTTGCAATCTTACCATCCATAGTTAACATCTGTTAACATTCCACTACATTTTTTTTCTAGGCATATAACCATTTAATTTTTTTAATGTGATCATGTTGTATGTATAATATTATACCCTCTTTTATTCACTGTACTAGTCTGTTCTTGTATTGCTATAAAGAAATACTGGAGACTGGGTAATTTATAAGAAAAGAGGTTTAATTGGCTCACAGTTCTGCAGGCTGTACAGAAGCATGACAGCATCTGCTTCTGGGGAGGCTTCAGGGAGCTTTTACTTATGACAGAAGGTAAAGTGGGAGTGAGGTGTCTCGCATGGTGGAAGCAGGAGCAAGAGGGAGTGGGGTGGGGAAGTGCTGCACACCTTTAAACAACCAGCTCTCTCGAGAACTCACTATTACGAGAACAGCACCAAGGGGATGGTGCTAATCCATTCCTGAGATATCCACCCCCATGATCCAACCACCTCTCAGCAGGCCTCACCTCCAAAGCTGGAGACTATAATTCAACATGAGATTTGGTAGGGATGCAGATCCAAACCGTATCATTTCACTTAATGTTATAATTTTCAAAAGCATCTTATTTGACTTCATTTATTCCCCAGAATTAATGTGTCACAACGTATGTAAACATCTATTTTTTGACATTTGAGGTTGAAGCTAATTTTTCACTACGGTAAATGCTACAATGAGCCTCTTCGTGCATAAATCTAGATCCTCATTTCTGTGTCCCTAGGCTAGATTATTAGAAGAGTAACTATTGGCCCTTCCCCACTTCTGCTCCTCATCTTCCTTACAAACTCATGCTTCTTCTCCTAGTTCTATAAGTGCTAGAATCCGTTAGGACTAGAAACTTGGCCTTCTTTTCTCACTCCATATTTGTCTCAAGATCATGTCACCTAAAACCAAGCTTTCAAATACCATCCATATGCTATGATTCCCATCTTTATATCTTCAGCCCCAGATCTCTCTGCTAAGCTCCAAACTTACATAGCTAAATATCTACTTGTCATCTCCACTTGTATGTCTTATAACATCTTAGATATAGAACGTCCAAAAAGGATTCACTGTCTTTCCTGTTTTTTTCTCCCCTACCAAAACCTTCTCCTCCTACTGCCCATTTCAGTAAAGTGACACCATCTTTCCACCAAGTTGCTTATGATACAAAATTGGAACCCATCAGTGACATTTCTCTCCCTCACCACCCCCATCTATTTAGTCACTAGATCCTGTTGATTTGACTTCCTAAATATCTTTAGTATTTCTATTTCTCTCTGTCTTCCCAATCTTCATTGAATCTACCATCATCTCCTTCCTGGACTGCTGTATGTATTTCCTAATTAGTCTCTGCACCCAGCCTTGTCCTGACCTATTCATTTCTCAGTTCTCCACCATGCAGAAAGTTTCAAAAATACCAGTCTGCTTTCACAATCCTTGAGTGGCTGTTAGGATAAAGATCTTAGTTGCAACCCCTCCTCACTCTCCACCATCAGCTTACCACTGTTTCTTACTCCAGCTTAGTGATTCCTTCCCGTTACTCCAATGTGTTAAGCTTCTTCCATCCTCAAAACCTTTATTCAAGCCTTTATTCAAGACTTTATTCACCTTTCCCTCCCTCTTCAGCTGCTCAACCCATTTCCTGATACCTCCCCCAGTGCATGCACTAACCACATGCTCTCTTAGCATCATTTGAGTCCACTTTTTGGGTACTTATTGCAAACTGTAATTTAAATTGTTGTGTATTTTTTCCCTGGAATGTCTGTTCCTCCACTAGACTTAAATCCCACTTGGAGAAAATAGCATTTGTCTCTCTTACCACTTTATCCCTCAGTGCCTGACACATAGTAGCTGTTCAATAAGTATGTGTTGAATTAATAACAGGTTATGGGATATAAACTTCATAAAGACGTTTAAAACATGTTATCAAATATCATTCCAGAAAGTTTGTATCAGTCAATTTATAAACCTATCAGCGGTATATGAGAGTTCCTTTGATCACACCTATCCTGACACCTGGTATTAGAGTTTTAAATAATTTTTAAATACTCTGGTAGGCAAAATGTTACCTCATTGTTATTGAAATTTTTCTTGATTATTAGTGAATTTCAAAATTTTTCACATATTGATAGCCTTTCCTATATTGTCTATGATTTTAAAATTCATGACATACTGCTTTTATTGAACCGTTCTGTTGGGATATTTTGGAAGTTTATTTAAATATCTTTATACTTACAAAACAATGCCAAATCTACTTAGCTTCATCTGAAGGCTTGCACAAACTTGAATAAATGAACTTGCTCCTAAAAGTTTGTGTTTAGTCACTGATTCCCCCTGACTTTGGATGGCTCTAAGACTTCTCATGTAAACTAGGACACTTTTGAGAGTGAAGGAGGGTGCCATTAATAATTATGCCAGGACAACAAGTATAAAGCAGGACCATCCTGCCCAAGCCAAGATGTACAGTCTCCCTGACTCTTTCATGTTCATGTAGACTTGGAACTCTGGAAATCTGGAGCTAAGAGCTGGGGTCCAAGTGGTGATCTAGGGATGAATTGAGGATGAAACCTGCTTTTCATTCCGATTTTTAATTTGGATGCTGTATTAGTCCGTTTTCACACTGCTGACAAAGACATACCGGAGATGCGCAATTTACAAAAGAAAGAGGCTGGCCGGGTGCGGTGGCTCACGCCTGTAATCCCAGCACTTTGGGAGGCCTGAGTGGGTGGATCACAAGGTCAGGAGATCGAGACCATCCTGGCTAACACAGTGAAACCCCGTCTCTACTAAAAATACAAAAAATTAGCCAGGCGTGGCGGCAGGCACCTGTAGTCCCAGCTACTCGGGAGGCTGAGGCAGGAGAATGGCAAGAACCTGGGAGGCGGAGCTTGCAGTGAGCCAACATCACGCCACTGGACTCCAGCCTGGGCAACAGAGCAAGACTCCCTCTCAAAAAAAAAGAAAGAAAGAAAGAGGTTTATTGGACTTACAGTTCCACATGGCTGGGGATACCTCGCAATCATGGCAGCAGGGAAGGAGGAGCAAGTCACATCTTATATGGATGGCAGCAGGCAAAAAGAGAGCTTGTGCAGAGAAACTCCTGTTTTTGAAACCATCAGATCTTGTGAGACCCATTCACTATCATGAGAACAGCATGGGAAAGACCTGCCCCCATGATTCAATCACCTCCCACTGGGTACCTCCCACAACACATGGGAATTATGGAAGCTACAAGATGAGACTTGGGTGGGGACACAGAACCAAACAATATCATTCTGCCCCTGGCCCCTCCCAAATCTTGTATCTTCACATTTGAAAACGAATCATGCCTTCCCAACAGTCCCCCAAAGTCTCAACTCATTTCAGCATTAACTCATAAGTCCACAGTCCAAGTCTCATCTGAGATAAGGCAAGTCCCTTCCACCTATGAGCCTGTAAAATCAAAAGCAAGTTAGTTATTTCCTAAATACAATGGGGGTACAGGCATTGGGTAAATACAGCCATTCCAAATGGGACACATTGGCCAAAACAAAGGGTCTACAGGCCCCATTCAAGTCTGAAATCCAGCAGGGAAGTCAAATCTTAAAGCTCCAAAATTATTTCCTTTGACTCTATGTCTCCTATCCAGGTCACACTGATGCAAGAGGTGGGTTCCCATGGTCCTGGGCAGCTCTGCTTCTGTGGCTTTGCAGGATGCAGCCTCCCTCCCGGCTGCTTTCACGGGCTGTTGTTGAGTGTCTGTGGCTTTTCCAGGTGCACAGTGCAAGCTGTTGGTGGATCTACCATTCTGGGGTCTGGAAGATGGTGGTCCTCTTCTCACAGCTCTACTAGACAGTACCTCAGTAGGGGCTCTGTTTGGGGGCTCTGACCCCACATTTCCCTTCCACACTGCCATAGCAGAGATTCTCCATGAGGGCCCCACCCTTGCAGCAAACTTCTGCCTGGGCATCCAGGCATTTCCATACATCTTTCAAAATCTAGGTGGAGGTTCCCAAACCCCAGTTCTTGACATCTATGCACTCACAGGCTCAACACCACGTGGAAGCTGCCAAGGCTTGGGGCTTGCACCCTCTGAAGACACAGCCTGAGCTCTATGTTGGCCCTTTTCAGACATGGCTGGAGCGGCTGGGACATAGGGCACCAAGTCTCTAGGCTGCACAAAGCACAGGGACCCTGGGCCTGGCCCACGGCCCACAAAACCACTTTTACCCCCTAGGCTTGCAGGTCTATGACGGGAGGGGCTGCTATGAAGACCTATGACATGCCCTAGAGACATTTTCCCCATTGTCTTGGGGATTAACATTCAGCTCCTTGTTACTTATGCAAATTTCTGCAGCCAGCTTGAATTTCTCCTCAGAAAATGGGTTTTTCCTTTTCTACTGCATTGTCAGGCTACAAATTTTCCAAACTTTTATGGTCTGTTTCCCTTTTAAAACGTAATGCTTTTAACAGCACCTAAGTCACCTTTGGAATGCTTGGTTGCTTAACATTTCTTCTGCCAGATACCCTAGATCATCTCTCTCAAGTTCAAAGTTCCACAGATCTCTAGGGCAGGGGCAAAATGCCACCAGTCTTTTTGCTAAAACAACAAGAGTCACCTTTGCTCCAGTTCCCAACAAGTTCCTCATCTCCATCTGAGACCACTTCAGTCAGCCTGACTTAATGTCCATATCACTATCAGCATTTTTGGCAAAGCCATTCAACAAGTCTCTAGGAAGTTCCAAACTTTTCCACATTTTCCTGTCTTCTTCTGAGCCCTCCAAACTGTTCTAACCTCTGCCTGTTCCCTAGTTCCAAAGTCCCTTCCACATTTTCTGGTATCTTTTCAGTAGCACCCCACTCTACTGGTACAAATTTACTGTATTAGTCTGTTTTCATGCTGCTGATAAAGACATACCCAAGACTGGGCAATTTACAAAAGAAAGAGGTTTATTGGACCTATAGTTCCATATGGCTGGGGAGGCCTCACAATCATGGTGGAAGGTGAGGAGAAGCAAGTCACATATTGTGTGGATGCCAGCAGGCAAAAAGAGACCTTGTGCAGAGAAACTCCCATTTTTAAAACCATCAGATCTCATGAGACCTATTCACTATCACCAGAATAGCACAGAAAAGAGCTGCCCCCATGATTCAATCATCTCCCATCAGGTCCCTCCCACAACACATGGGACTTATGGGAGCTACAAGATGAGACTTGGGTGGGGACACAGAGCTAAACCATATCAGATGCCTTTGTGCTGTGTGGTTTAGTGACTTTAATGACTCAGACCTGGAACTCCCTGTCACCGGTGGTGACCCCTTCACTCATTTACCTCACCCGCCTGGCCCCTGGAGGCACCTAAGTTACAGCCCATGAAATTCTGGCAGTTTCTAAGGCTCAGACAATTTCATACAACTCTGCTTTCGTGAGGAAGCCAGTGGCCCAGAGAGCTAGCTGCAGGGATGGTCTTGCCCATAAACACAGAGCTAGTCAGAGGCAGAGCCAAGTATCCTGAAGAGTTCTCCTCTGTCCCACCAAGCTACCTCCATGCCTCCTGCTGTGTGGCACTGACAATGCTATTTTCTGACGTTATAAGGTTTCCAGAATTATGTCAAGACATGACCAAAACAGTTTTAAATTCCTAGAGTATCTTGTGAAAATGTTCCTCTTTGATAAGCTAAACACTTTAAAGTAGAAGGCATGCGGTTTTGGAGACATTTCATCTTATATTAGAGTCATGTATACATGAGCTTCCATGCCTATGACTTATAATGCTTCCCTGACCCTTGCAGTTGTCTACAAACTTCCCCACCTTTTTCTAAATGCCCTTTTGTTCAATTTATTCTCTTCAATGAAGCTCAAAAAGTAAGTTCAGAGTTACTTACAGACTTACATTTTTTTTTTTCCAAGACAGAGTCTTGCTCTGTCACCCAGGCTGGAATGCAGTGGCGCAATCTTGGCTCACTGCAAACTCCACCTGCTGGGTTCAAGCAATTCTCCTGCCTCAGCCTCCCAAGTAGCTGGGATTATAGGTGCCCGCCACCATGCCTGGCTAATTTTTGTATTTTTAGTAGAGGCGGTGTTTCACTATGTTGGCCAGGCTGGTCTCGAACTCCTGACCTTGTGATCCGCCCGCCTCAGCCTCCCAAAGTGCTGGGATTACAGGCGTGAGCCACCACACGTGGCCCAGACTTGCATTTTTGAGAATTGCTAGCAACTTAAGGAAAGTAGAATATAGTGGCAGAAACCTTCTGGAAAAAGAAAAAAACAAGATTTTGGTTGAATTTTTGTCATTGCCATCTAATCTGAGGAATGACTTTATTTTAAAAAGAACAGCAGGCTGCCTCTTCCAATCCTGTCAAGAGAGCACATTTCCTACCAATGGAATTCTTGCAGAGATTCTGTGTACTGTTGTGCAGATTGTACACTGCACAACTCCAGAGGGCACCATTCACATTGCCATCTATGTGAATGGTGCCAAATGGTCCCTCCTGGAGGAGACCTGTTGTATAGTTCACAATCCTGGCACTATACAGGGCACAATCTGTGCAACCACATGCTGAGGTCCTGACTGACACCCTCTGTGTGACTTTTCTCTGATAAAGACACCATCCCTCTGCTGCAGCTAGGGTTGCTTCATTTGCCAATCTACAGATCATTCAGGATAATCTTCATTTCAAACATACATTCACCTACTTTCTGTAAGCACTGTAGTGTTTGTCAAGCCAGGTGTCCTGGTTTCAAGTTTGGAAAATAGGTTGTTGGATATATCTTTTAAGTGCCATTTTGCCTATATTTTGCCATTTCATTTTTTTAATTGAGGAAAATGTAGAAAACAAATATAATCTCGTGGTTTGCTAGAAAATAAAAACATTTAATATGTTAATTTTTTAAAGGACATATTTTCATTAAAATATAGCTCTGTAAGTGAAAGTGAGAAGAAAATAATTTTAGGTGTACATAGAATCCATCTCCAAAGTATCTACACGTATAGACTAGTAAGTTAAGATTAACCCATTGGCTCTACAGAAATAAAAGAGAGCTACCATGCATCCAAGAAGGCCAACCTGTCTAATAGAGATAGATCTGGATTTTTAATTAGTGGAGGAACCAACTTTGTATCACCCAACAAGGAAGGTGATGAAAAGATTCGGAGACATTTTTATACTATATTTCTCATTGTTTCTAGAATGAAATCCATAGTCTTCAAGCTGGAAGTAGCTTTTTAGTTCACTCATTATTTATTCATTTAATTAATTGTTACTATTTGCCAAACACTGTGATCAAGTGTCTGGGCTCCTTCATGAGGAATCTGTGGTCATAAAGTTGGTTAGAGATAGGGCCAGAAACAAACCCCAGATGTTCTGTATCCAGGACCCTTTACCCCACAGGGCTGTTAAATATCTCCATGTAGTTATATTCAGGTGATTAAATAGGAGAGCATCTGTGTATTGCATGTGACCTGCATGTAATTCATGTAATAAAGATGAAATACAAACCCTTTGCCAGCCATTTCTTTATTACTCTAAATGCCACGACTTAAGGTTCAGCATCGGGGCTAATAATATAAGAATTAGTTTGGAAATTCTGCAAATAAATATTTTCCTGTCTATTCATACTCTTTGATTCAAATATTTCAATCATGTCCTTTCTCAAATGTTGCCTTTACAGATTAAAATCCTATAAATAGCACTGACCCCTGAGGAACATGATCTTCTTACCCCTATCTTTAAGTATTAATCTAGACAGTTTCCTACTGATGACAAAATAAATACCCCAGTCTCATGGTGGCTTTCTTTTTAAAGGATTTGTTTTGCAGGGGGGTGGGGGGGATATACAGCACATAGTTCATAACAATGTGAAATTGCATTTTTGGAAGTATCTATACTCTTCCTTTATACAATTAAATCTCCCTACTTGCTAAATATTGCTAGACTTGGTGGTTTAGGAGGTTGAGTACATGTGAGCAAAGGGGAACAGCTGTTCTTGCCAGATGCCTTCTTCACTGCACAGACATAAATACTGCCCAAGGAGCCTCTGCAGGGCAGACTGAGATCTAGTTTGAAGTAGCTGCAAGGAGACCCTTTCTGACATTTTTGCTTGGTAAATTCATTCACATGCACCTTGACCAAAGGATACTAAGCTGAGTGACTAGGACAAGAATTCTGAATGCAAACTACTCAGGTTCAAATCCTGGCTCTGCCATCTACCTTACCAGCTTTTTGACACTTGGCAAGTTACTTAACCTCACTGTCTTCAGCCTCCTCATCTGTAAGTGGGGATAATAGTAGTTTCTTCATAGGATCGAGGATTATATGAATTAGATATTATCGTTAATAATTCCAGCAACAAATACCTGTTAAGCTCCTATTCCATTCCAATTACCGTGAATGAGGGAAATTGTCCCCCACTTCATGGAATTTAGAGTATTTTTTTCACACTAGAAGCCCTGACCCATCTAAGGGTTGGGAAGTCAATGCAGTAAGGTGTGACCAGATTTAGTTTTACATGAATTCGAATATGATTTTACAAAATAAGAGTTTTATGAAACTTTCTTTCCCTTGCATATATTTTTATATGAATGTTTGGCCTATGTCTTGATATAAAAGTATTTCTTATGAGTCTAGTGAGAAGATTAGCAATTAAACAGCAACCTCAATACAGTGCATAAGATAAATGCAGTGAGTGTCACGGGCACGTGCGAATGTCACCCGACCCAGTAAGGGCAGGTACAGAGAATCAGGCAAGCCTTCCCTGAGGAAGTAACATTTAAGCTGAGACTTGAAGGATGAGTAAAAATTTACCAAAAGAAGTGGGGTGGAGGAGGAGAAACAGTTCCTTTAAGAGCAGTGAGTAGACCTGGGTGGGTAGGGGAGTAGTTAATGAAGCAAGGGAGAAACTTGTTCAGATTTGCATTTTAGTAAGGCCACTCTGGCTGCATGAAGAGAATGGGCAGGAATCAGTTGGGAAACTTTAGTAATTTCAGGACACAGCGGCCTAGACTGGGGTGGGGGCAGTGTGTATTTGAGAGGGATCTTGTACTTACGTAGAATTGACAGGACTTGTTGATTGATGGGGAAAGGTGCTGGAGCCAGAGCACAAAGGTGCTTATCCCACACTTCTGATGTCTAATTTACAAAGGTTTCAAGAGACAAATCTAAGTCTGAAAGCTCCAAGCTCCTAACTTGAAAAAATGTCCCTGTAAACAGGAAGACAGAATCTTTCAATCACTTTGCAAATCATCTCCCTATCCTGCTGGACATATCTGCAGGCTGTTGCTGGGCCTAGGAGTTGGCAGGGCTTCCTGTTCCAAAGTGGGAGGGTTCCTGGCAGGAGATGGAAGGCTGGAAACAGAAAGGAAACTGGGCTAGCCAGGCACCTTGCATGAAGAGAAAAGAAGGGAAACCTGGTACTTTCCCATCTGATCCAGAAATTATCTGGTCGGAAAATAATTTAAAAGTACAGGTAATTCAAAGATGTTTATATTTGGCTTTGAAATGCCATGCATTTTTGGCACTAGACTTACTTTGCCAAACATTTTTCTTAGGCCTTATTTTGCATTCCCTGAACATGGACCATCTGGGCAACAGGGGGATGAGCCCAGAGCTCAGAGGGAGTCTGGGTGGGTGGCTGAGGAGGTCCTAATATTCAAAACTTGGAATGAAACCACAACTCTCTCTCATCACCCCAGGTGATCAGTACTTATCTGTCTACCTGTGTCCTGCCACAGAGCAGGGAGCTTTTTGTGATCTAAGCCATGCCATGTCATATGGTGAACTGAAAAACAGCTATCTAATTCCCAGCACACCAAATGTTTCCTACTTACATCTTCCTACTCACAGGGCCACCTCCACCCCGCTGGAGTGGCAGGCAGGGCTCCACAGCAATCTCAAAATCAAACCGTATTTGGAGCACAAGACAGGCTGTTTACAGATGTTACCATAAAAGACAATTTAAATAATCATCAGTACCGTTTTACAAAACAGCTGGCCAGACCGGAAGGCCCCTTTTCCAGTTATTCCTAAGATTGCTGCTTCCAGAGGAGTTGAAAGGTTAGATTACCTTCCCTGGCTCAGGTCTACCTAGCACAGGAGAGTCGTGCCTCACAGAAATCACTTCAAAAAGGATCTCAGCACCACATCCCACTAGGGCTTAGAAGAATCCTCAGGGTGGCAGCCACTCCCTACTTAGGAATCCCATGCATTCCCCTCTTCTTCCATCTGGACTGTGCCACGCCAGGGAATTCATTTGGTCCAGGCTAGAATTCACTGGGAACAATTAGCAACAGGCCCAAATCTGGAAGTTCAGAGAAATTGGTTCTCTCCGATTTGTTATAAAATTAAGTAATATTTTTCACAATCACCACAGAGAAAAGGGCATTTCCTAGTTTCCCAGTTCTTACAGGTCAGAATGGTTGGTTCACAGGAAATCCTTAGTAGGCGCTCTGTGATGCATCTATGTTTTTCCAAGTGTTGGTATTTTTCATTTAATAGAACCTTCTTCCAAAGGAGATTAGCTGCCAGACTCAGGCAGCCCGTACGTTTTTGAAAACGCCAGCATAGGTTTGACTCAGGTACCTGAAATATCTAAGGAAGCAAAGGCAGCGGATGTGCCAAGGGCACCCTCACCTGATATCTACCTCTTCCCCTCCTTTAAGGTCCCCTTGATTGGAGGTGGCGGAAAGAGTCTCTGGTGGCTCGCCCAACCCTTTAGAACATTCGCCCCTACCCGCTTCCCCTGTCTCCTTGCCAGGCAGGAGTCCTTTCTCGCACTTACCCTCCATTCCCCTTACACACACCTCGCTGAGGTCATCCTCAGCGTGCAGCCCGGAGGGGAAGGGAAACGTGAGCTAAAGCAACAGGTTCCACCCACAGCCTGAACTTGGAAGGGGATGCGGCGGCGGCAAGGCGGCTGGAGCTGCGCGGTGGAGGGAGAGGAAGCGGCGAGGAGGAAGGTGGAAGGGAAATGATGGTGCATGACCACCGAGCACACGTCACTCGGGCTCCCACATGGGCTTGTGTATGTGCGTGTGTGAGGGGAGGGAGGTCCTTCACAGGGTCACTCGGGCACTTCCGCGTGGAATAGGAGGCGCCAGGCTCGTGCTTTGGGATGCCGGGTGGCTTCGGCGGGGTAACGAGTCACGCAGAGACGGCTTGAGGCAAGCCAAGAAAATACGGGTGTCGGCGTGAAAATACACCACTCTTCCCAGCGCGCCGCCCTTGCTAACTGGCTGGACCTGCGCCCCTAACGCCCAGTGCCCCCTTCTTTTGGGCCTATCTTGGCCCCTCCAACCCCATCCCAGCCTGCCTCCTGCTCCAGCCTGCCGCCGCGAAAACCGGGACTGCGGACTGCGCCGCGCCCGGCAGCCTCTGGGCATGCTCGGTGGCGGGACCGGCTCCACCGCCAGGAGGGCGCGTCCTCCCTCCCCTAGGGCGGTGACGGCGCCTGCAGCGACTTGCCGCCGCGCCCCGGCCAGGCACACCTTTTGGGGAGGCGGGGGACCACCCTGCCCGGCGTGGGCCGAGAGCGCCCCCCACCCCGAGCCTTCCGGCGGGTGGGAGGAGGGGCCGGCCAGGGAGACGCGGAGGCGGGAGTGAGACCTCCGACTGCCAGCGGTTCCTTACAAAGTAAAGCTCAGCTCGCGCGCGGACCCGGGCTCCCAGCCGCGGGCGGGGAAGGGGCGGGGCGGGGCGGGGCCGGGCCGGGCCGGGCCGGGGCGGGGGGTGGTCTCAGCGCCTAGAGCGAGATGCGAAATTAGTAGCCGCCCACCCCCTTCTCAGTTCCCGCCCCCAGGGAATTATAATTTCCTGGGAAAGTGTCTGGTTCTCGGAGAATCCTTGGGGCGGGGTAAAGGGGCGCGCCTGGCGCAAAATGGTTAATACAAAGTCTGCGCGCGCCGCGGGGCCCCTTGTATGAAAAGTGTGCGCGCTGGTGGCTGGGCACCCCTTTGCTAATTTGAGGGTTAGTTACCGGCAGGAAGTCTGGTTGTGCGAGAGGAAAGGCGGGCAGGAGGGAAGCCTCAGGCTGGTGCTGGCTCCCGCCCCCAGGCCTCCTTGGGGGACGCACCTCTGACCCAGCGGGCGCAGGGTGCGGGGCACTGAGCCGGGGCATTTGGGGCGGGTGGCGGGAGGCTGGAGCAGGCTTGGCCCAGCAGCTCACTCTCTACCTCCTCCCCCTAGGATTACCGAGAGGATGGGATGGATCTAGGCAGTGACGCCGGCAGCAGCAGCAGCAGCAGCCGCGCCAGTTCACAGTCCAACTCCACCAAAGTGACCCCTTGCTCCGAGTGCAAATCTTCATCGTCGCCGGGGGGCAGCCTGGACTTGGTGTCTGCCCTGGAGGACTATGAGGAGCCCTTCCCGGTCTACCAGAAGAAGGTGATTGATGAGTGGGCGCCGGAGGAGGACGGGGAGGAGGAGGAAGAGGAGGACGAGCGCGACCAGCGAGGGTACCGGGATGACCGCTCTCCGGCCCGGGAACCGGGGGACGTAAGCGCCAGGACCCGCAGCGGCGGCGGCGGGGGCAGGAGCGCCACCACCGCCATGCCGCCCCCGGTGCCCAACGGCAACCTCCACCAGCACGACCCCCAGGACCTCAGGCACAATGGCAACGTGGTGGTGGCTGGCCGGCCGAGCTGTTCCCGGGGCCCCCGCCGGGCGATCCAAAAGCCCCAGCCGGCTGGGGGCCGGCGCAGTGGCCGCGGCCCGGCGGCTGGGGGGCTCTGCCTTCAGCCCCCAGACGGCGGGACGTGCGTCCCCGAAGAGCCCCCGGTGCCACCTATGGATTGGGAGGCGCTGGAGAAGCATCTGGCCGGGCTGCAGTTCCGGGAGCAGGAGGTACGGAACCAGGGCCAGGCGAGGACCAACTCCACCTCCGTAAGTTGGCCGGGGTGCGTGCCCACGCGCGCACACACGCGTACACACCCCGCGCACAGCCCGCACGCCCCCTCCCTGCGCTCCCGCCCGCCCGCGGCCCCATTCATTCTTCCTCGAGGGTGGGGGCCAGGCCAGAGAGCCTGCCGTCTGCTCCCCTGGGGATAAGGTTGCTCGGTCTGTGAGCTGTCTGGGTTTGCAGGATGGGCGGAGAGGAAGGAGGAGCAGCCAGAGGGCAGCGGAAAGTCGGGTTAGTGGAACCGGCGACTCATTTTAATGGAATTACTTATGGAGACCAGGTTGTGAGTCACTTGCCTGAAAATAAATCCGGGGAGATTCTGGCACCAAAAGTCAGTGCCTGCGGGGGATATTTCAAATCGTAATAGTTGTGGCTTTGTCAATCGTGGTGGCTCTCCTCTCGTTGCCACTAATGTCTCATCCATATATAGGCTTGTTCCTATGCACACGCACACATTCGCCTGCCCACACCACCGGTCTGGCAGCGGGGTTCGTTCCGTCTTGTGTTAAGCAGATGCTCCTGTATTTGAATGGGTTGATTTTCCTCCTCTAAGACTTTCTTCCTTTATGAAACCCGAGTTATTGTTGACCTGGGGGAACGGGGTAAATGGACCTGTCAGGATAAGGGAGGGGTTCTTCCCTCGGTCGCCTGACTCACTCCCTCTGCTGTGAATCCCTCCTTGTTTTGATAACGGAGCCACTTACAGTTTCTTCCCGGAGGCTACTGCCTCAATTCAGGAAAGCCAGACAGGGAGGGGTGCTGGAGTGGAAAAGAGGGAGGGAGGAGAGGAGGGCTGCATCTATAATAAGAAGCACTGGCAGGTTCACACTTGTCTCAACATCTTTTTTGCCCCTGAGAGAAGAGCAGATAAATGACTTAAAAGAAAACCATCATGAAGGTAGCTCCCCTGTTTAGCACTGCTTTGAGATAAAGCAACAGTTGTAATTTGAAATCATTAATGATGACCCTAATTAGGGCTGAAGGGCGTAGTTGAAAGGAGCTGCTTTCTGTGTGTGGCAGCTGTGT